>NC_000006.12:60229934-60529934 GCF_000001405.40 Homo sapiens
GAATTCTCAGAAACTTCTTTGTAATGTATGCTTTAAACTCACAGAGTTGAATCTTCCTTTTAATAGAGCAGTTTTAAACTCTCTTTTTGTTGAATTTCCAATAGGATATTTAGCGCAGTTTGAATCCTATCGTAGAAAAGGCAATATCTTCATAGAAAAAATATACATATAATTCTCAGAAAATACTTTGTGATGAGTACGTTCAACTCACAGAGTTTAACCTTTCTTTAGATAGAGCAGTTTTGAAATGCTCTTTTTGTAGAACATGCAAGTGAATATTTGGACTTTTTTGAGGCCTTCATTGGAAACGAGATTTCTTCATATAAAACTTGACAGAAGAATTCTCACAAACTTCTTTGTGATGTGTGCATTCAACTCACAGAGTTGAACCTTCCTTTCGATAGAGCAGTTTTGAAATACTCTGTTTGTAGAATTTCCAAGTGGATATTTAGAGCCGTTAGAGGCCTATGGTAGAAAAGGAAATATCTTCATAGAAAAACTAGACAGAAGAATTCTCAGAAACTACTTTGTGATGTGTGCATTCAGCTTACAGAGTTTAACCTTTCTTTAGATAGAGCAGTTTTGAAACCCTCTCTTTGTGGAATTTGCAAGAGTATATTTAGAGTGCTTTGAGGCCTATGGTTTAAAAGGAAATATCTTCACATAAAAACTAGACTGAAGCATTGTCAGTAACTACTCTGTGATATTTGCATTTATCTCACAGATTTGAACATTCCTCTTTATAGAGCAGTTTCGAAACTATCTTTTTGTAGAATCTACAAGTGGATGTTTGGACCTCGTTGGGGTCTTCTTTTGAAACGTGATTTCTTCATATAAAACTAGACAGAAGAATTCTCAGAAACTTCTTTGTGATGTGTGGTATCAACTCACAGAGTTGAACCTTCCTTTCGATAAAGCAGTTTTGAAACTCTCTTTTTGTAGAATTTCCAAGTGTATATTTATCGCCGTTTGAGGCCTATGGTAGAAAAGGCAATATCTTCATAGGAAAACTAGACAGAATGGTTCTCAGAAACTACTTTGTGATGTGTGCGTTGAACTCACAGAGTTTAACCTTTCTTTTGATAGAGCAGTTTTGAAACACACTTTTTGTCGAATTTGCAAGTGTATATATAGAGTGCTTTGAGGCCTACGGTAGAAAAAGTAATATCTTCATAGAAAAACTAGACAGAATCATTCTCAGAAACCACTTTGTGATGTGTGCATTCAGCTTACAGAGTTTAACATTTGTTTTGATGGAGCAGTTTTGAAACACTGTTTTTGTGGAATTTGCATGTGTATATTTAGAGCACGTTGAGTCCTATGGTAGAAAAGGAAATATCCTCACATAAAAACTAGACAGAAGAATTGTCAGAAACTGCTTTGTGATATTTGCATTCAAAACACAGAGCTGAACATTCCTCTTGATAGAGCAGTTTTGAGACACGCTTTTTGTAGAATCTGCAAGAAGATAGTTGGACCTCTTTGAGGCCTTCATTGGAAACGTGATTTCTTCATATAAAATTGACTGAAGAATTCTCAGAAACTTTTTTGTGATGTGTGCATTCAACTCACAGAGTTGAACCTTCCTTTCCATAGAGCAGTTTTGAAACACTGTTTATGGTAGAAATTCCTAGGGCATATTTAGAGGTCTTAGTGGCCTATGGTAGAAAAAGAAATATCTTCATTGAAAAACTAGACGGGATAATTCTCAGAAACTACTTTGTGATGTGTGCGCTCTACTCGCAGAGTTTAACTTTTCTTTTTTTTTTCTTTTTTTTTTTTTTTGAGTCGGAGTCTCGCTATGTCGCCCAGGCTGGAGTGCAGTGGCACGATCTCGGCTCACTGCAAGCTCCGCCTCCCGGGTTCACGCCATTCTCCTGCCTCAGCCTCCCAAGTAGCTGGGACTACAGGCGCCCGCTACCACGCCTGGCTAATTTTTAACTTTTCTTTTGAGGGAGCAGTTTTGAAACGCTCTTTTTGTAGAATTTGCAAGTATGCATTAGGAGGGCTTTGAGGCCTATGGTAGAAAAGGAAATATCTTCATATAAAAAGTAGACAGAAGCATTCTCAGAAACCACTTTGTGATGTTGGCATTCAACTCACAGAGTTCAACCTTCCCTTTGATAGAGTGGTTTTGAAACACTCTTTTTCTTGAATCTGCAAGTGGATATTTGGACATCTTTGAGGACTTCTTTTGCTACGGGAATTTCTTCACATAAAAACTAGACAGAAGAATTCTCAGAAATATTTGTGATGTGTGCATTCAACTCTCAGGGTTCAACCTACCTTTTGATAGAGCAGTTTTGAAACAACCTTTTTGTAGGATTTCCAATTGCATATTTAGTGCGCTTTCAAACCCTACAATAGAAAAGGAAATATCTTCATATAAAAACTACACAGAATCATTCTCAGAAGCTTCATTGTTATGTGTGCGTTCAACTCACAGAGTTTAACCTTTCTTTTGATAGAGCAGTTTTGAAACACTCTTTTTGTAGAATTTGCAAGTGTATATTTAGAGCGCTTTGAGGCCAATGGTAGAAAAGAAAATATCTTCGTATAAAAACTAGAGGGAAGCATTCTCAGAAACTACTTTGTGATGTTTACCTTGAATTCACAGAGTTGAACATTCCTCTAGATAGAGCTGTTTTGAAACACCCTTTTTGTAGAATCTGCAAGTGGATATTTGGACCTTTTGAGGCCTTCGTTGGAAACGGGATTTATTCACATAAAGAAGACAGAATAATTATCAGAAACTACTTTGTGATGTGTGCGTTCGACTCACAGAGTTTAAATTTTCTCTTGATAAAGCAGCTTTGAAACACACTTTTTCTGGAAATTGCAAGTGTACATTTAGAGCGCTATGAGGCCTATGGTAAAAAAGGAAATCTCTTCTCCTAAATACTAGAAAGAAGTATTTTCAGAATCTAATATGTGACGTTTTTATTCAACTCACAGAGATGAACATTCCTCTTGATAGAGCAGTTTTGAAACACTCTTTTTGTAGAATCTGCAAGTGGATATTTGGCCCTCTTTAAAGCCTTCGTTGTAAACGGGAATTCTTCATATAAACAAGACAGAAGAATTCTCGGAAACTACTTTGTGATGCGTGTGTTCAACTCACAGAGTTTAACCTTTCTTTTGATAGAGCAGTTTTGAAACACTCTTTTTGTAGAATTTGCAAGTATATATTTAGAGCACTTTGAGTCCTATGGTAGAAAAGGAAATATATTCACATAAAAACTAGACAAAAGCATGCTCAGAAACTACTTCATGATGTATGCATTCACTCACAGAATTGAACATTACTCTTGATATTGTAGTTATGAAACACTCTTTTTGTAGAATCTGCAAGTGGATATTTGACCTCTTTGAGGTTTTTGTTGGAAATGGGATTTCTTCATATAAAACTAGACAGAAGAATTCGCAGAAACTTCTTTGTGAAGTGTGCATTCATCTCACAGAGTTGAACCTTCCTTTTGATAGAGTGGTTATGAAACACTCTTTTTGTAGAATTACCTAGTGGATAATTAGAGCTTTTTGAGGCCTATTGTAGAAAAGGTAATATCTTCATAGAAAAACTAGAGAGAATCATTCTCAGAAACTACTTTTCGATGTGTGCTTTCAACTCACCGAGTTTAAACTTTCTTTTGATAGAGCAGTTTTGAAACAATCTTTTTGTAGAATTTGCTAGTGTATATTTAGAGTACTTTGCGGCCAATGGTAGAAAAGGAAGTATCTTCATATAAAAACTAGATGGAGGCACTCTCAGAAACTACGTTGTGATGTTTGCATTCAACTCAGAGTTTAACATTTCTCCTGATAGAACAGTTTAGAAACACTCCTTTTGTAGAATCTGTAAGTGGATATTTGGACCTCTTGCAGGCCTTCGTTGTAAACGGGATTTCTTCATATAAAACTAGAAAGAAGAATTCTCAGAAAATTCTTTGTAATATGTGCATTGAACTCACTGACTTGAACATTCCTTTCGATAGAGCAGTTTTGAAACACTCTTTTTGTAGTATTTCCCAGCGTACACTTAGAGCGTTTGGAGGCCTATGGTAGAAAAGGAAATATCTTAATAGAAAAACTAGGCAGAATGATTCTCAGAAAGTAATTTGTGATGTGTGCTTTAAACTCGCAGAGGTTAACTTTTCTTTTGATAGAGCAGTTTTGAAACACTCTTTTTGCGGAATTTGCAAGTGTATATTTAGAGCGCTTGAGGCCTACATTAGAAAAGGAAATATCTTCACATAAAAAATAGACAGAAGCATTGTCAGAAACTACTTTGTGATATTTGCATTCAACTCACAGAGTTGAACATTCCTCTTGGTAGAGCAGTTTTGAAACCCTCTTTTTGTAGAATCTGCAAGTGGATATTAGGACCTCTTTGTGGCCTTCTTTTGAAACGTGACTTCTTCATATAAACAAGACAGAAGAATTCTCAGAAACTTCTTTGTGATGTGTGCATTCAACTCAGAGAGTTGAACCTTCTTTTCAATAGACCAGTTTTGAAACACTATTTTTGTAGAATTTGAAAGTGTGTATTTAGAGAGCTTTGAGGCCTATGGTAAAAGAGTAAATATCTTCACATAAAAACTAGGTGGAAGGTTTCTCAGAAACTACTTTGTGATGTTTGCATTCAACTCACAGAGTTGAACATTCTTCTTGATAGAGCAGTTTTGAAACCCTCTTTTTGTAGAATCTGCAAGTGTATATTCGGACCTCTTTGTGGCCTTCGTTTGAAACGTGATTTCTTCATATAAACAAGACAGAAGAATTCTCAGAAACTACTTTGAGATGTGTGCATTCATCTCACAGAGTTGCACCTTCCTTTTGATAGAGCAGTTTAGAAACACTCTTTTTGTAGAATTTCCAAGTGGATATTTACAGCGCTTTTCAAAGCCTACGGTAGAAAAGGAAATATCTTCATATATAAACTACACAGAATCATTCTCAGAAGCTACATTATGATGTGTGCTTTCAACTCACAGAGTTTAACTTTTCTTTTGATAGAGCAGTTTTGAAACACTCTTTTTGTAGAATTTGTAAGTGTATATTTAGAGAGCTTTGAGGACAACAGTAGAAAAGAAAATATCTTCATATAAAAACTAGACGGAAGCATTCTCAGAAACTACTTTGTGATATTTGAACTCAACTCACAGAGTTGAACATTCCTCTTGATAGAGCAGTTTTGAAACACTCTTTTTGTAGGATTTTGTAGTGAATATTTAGAGCGGTTGGAGGCCTACGGTAGAAAAGGAAATATCTTCATAGAAAAACTAGAAAGAATCATTCGCAGAAACTACTTTTTGATGTGTGCGTTCAACTCTTAGAGTTTAACCTTTCTTTTGATAGAGCAGTTTTGAGATGCTCTTTTTGTAGAATTTGCAAGTGTGTATTTAGAGAGCTTTGAGGCCTATGGTAAAAAAGGAAATATCTTCACATAAAAACTAGATGGAAGCATTCTCAGAAACTACTTTTTGATGTTTGCATTCAACTCACAGAGTTGAACATTCCTCTTGATAGAGCACTTTTGAAACACTCGTTTAGTAGAATCTGCAAGTGGATACATTTACCTCTTTGAGACCTTCGTTGGAAATGGGAATTCTTCATAGAAACAAGACAGAAAGATTCTCAGAAACTACTTTGTGATATGTGCATTCAACTCACAGAGTTTGAACTTTCTTTTGATAGACCAGTTTTGAAACACTCTTTTTGTAGAATTTGCAAGTGTATACTTACGGCTCTTTGACGCTTATGGTAGAAAAAGGAGTATATTCACCTAAAAACTAGACAGAAGCATTCTCAGAAACTACTTGTGATGTCAGCATTCAACTCACAGAGTTTAATCTTTCTTATGATAGAGCAGTTTTGAGACGCTCTTTTTGTAGAATTTCCAAGTGGATAGTTAGAGTGCTTTTCAAAGCCTGTGGTAGCAAAGGAAATATCTTCATATAAAAAATACACATTATCATTCTCAGAAACTACTTTGTGATGTGTGCGTTCAACTCACAGAGTTTAACCTTCCTTTCAATTGAGCAGTTTTGAAACACTCTTTGTGTAGAATTTGCAAGTGTATATTTAGAGCGCTTTGATGTCTATGGTAGAAAAGGAAATATATTCACATAAAAACTAGGCAGAAGCATTCTCAGAAACTACTCTGTGATGTTGGCACTCAACTCACAGAATTTAACCTTTTATTTGATAGAGCACTTTTGAAACACTCTTTTTGTACAATTTGCATGTGTATATTTAGAGTGCTTTGAGGCCTATGTTTGAAAGGGAATATCTTCACATAAAAACTAGACAGTAGCATTTTCAGAAACTTCTTTGTGGTGTCTGCACTCAACTCACAGAGTTGAACCTTCCTTTTGATAGAGCAGTTTTGAAACACTCTTTTTGTAGGAGTTGCAAGTGGATATTTAGATCGCTCTGAGTCGTATGGTAGAAAAGGAAATATCTTCATATAAAAACTAGACAGGATCATTCTCAGAAACTACTTTGTGATGTGTGCATTCAACTCACAGAGTTTGACCTTTCTTTTCATAGAGCAGTTTTGAAACCCTCTATTTGTTAAGTCTGCAGTTAGATATTTGGAGCGCTTTTAGGCCTTCTTTGGAAACGGGAGTATCTTCACATAAAAAGTATACAAAAGTTTTCTCAGAAACTTCTTTGTGATGTCTGCACTCAACTCAAAGAGTTGAAAGTTCCTTTTGATAGAGCAGTTTTGAAACACTCTTTTTGTAGAATTTGCAAATGGATATTTAGTACGCTTTGTGGCCTATCATGGAAAAGAAAATATGTTCATAGAAAACTACACAGAAGCATTCTCTGAAACACTTTTGTGATGTGTGTGTTCAACTCGCAGGGTTTAACTTTTCTTTTGATACAGCAGCTTTGAAACACTCTTTTTGTGGAATTTGCAAGAGAATATTTAGAGCGCTTTGAGGCCTATGGTAGAAAAGGAAATATCTTCATAGAAAAACTAGACAGAAGCATTCTCAGAAACTACTTTGCGATGTTTGCATTCAACTCACAGAGTTCAACATTCCTCTTGATGGAGCAGTTTTGAAACACTCTTTTTGTAGAATCTGCAAGTGAATATTTGAACCTTTTTGAGGCATTCATTGGAAACAGGATTTCTTCATATAAAATTAGACAGAAGAATTCTAAGAAACTTCTTTGTGATGTGTGCATTGAACTCACAGAGTTGAAACTTCTTTTTGATAGATCAGTTTTGAAACACTCTTTTTTGTAGAATTTCCAAGTGTACATTTAGAGCACTTGGAGGCCTTTGGTAGAAAAGGAAATATATTCTCATAAAAACTAGACAGAAGCATTCTCAGAAACCACTTTGTGATGTTTGCATTCAACTCACAGAGTTGAACAGTCCTCTTGATAGCGTACTTTTGAAATAATCTTTTTGCACAATCTGCAAGTGGATATTTGGACCTCTTAGAGACATTCGTTGGAAAAGGGATTTCTTCATATAAAACTAGACAGAAGAATTCTCACAAACTTCTTTGTGAAGTGTGCATTCATCTCACAGAGTTGAACATTCCCTTTGATAGAGCAGTTTTGAAACACACTTTTTGTAGAATTTCCAAGTGGATATTTAGAGCTTTTTGAGGCCTATGATAGAAAAGGAAATATCTTCATAGAAAAACTAGACACAATCATTCTCAGAAACTACTTTGTGATGTGTGCATTCAGCTTACAGAGTTTAACCTTTCTTTTGATAGAGCAGTTTTGAAACACTCTTTTTGTGGTATTTGCAAGTGTATATTAAGAGCGCTTTGAGGCCTACGGTAGAAAAGGATGTATCGTCACAAAAAACTAGATAGAAGCATTGTCTGAAACTACTTTGTGATATTTCCATTCAACTCACCGAGTTGAACATTCCTCTTGATAGAACAATTTTGAAACACTCTTTTTGTAGAATCTGCAGGTGGCTATTTAGACCTCTTTGTGGCCTTCGTTTGAAAACGTGAATTCTTCATATAAAACTAGGCAGAAGAATTCTCAGAAACTTCTTCGTGATGTGTGCTTCCAACTCACATAGTTGAACCTTCCTTTCGATAGAGCAGTTTTGAAACTCTCTTTTTGTAGCATTTCCAAGTGGATATTTAGCGCCGTTTGAAACCTATGGTAGAAAAGGCAATATCTTAGTAGAAAAACAAGACAGAATGATTTTCAGAAACTCCTTTGTGATGTGTCCGTTCAACTCACAGAGTTTAACCTTTCTTTTGATAGAGCAGTTTTGAAACACACTATTTGTAGTATCTGAAAGTGAATATTTGGACTTTTTTGATGCCTTCGTTGAAAACGGGATTTCTTCATATGAAATTGACAGAAGAATTCTCAGAAACTTCTTTGTGATGTGTGCTTTCAACTCACAGAGTTGAACCTTCCTTTCAATAGAGCAGTTTTGAAAGACTCTTTTTGTAGAATTTCCAAGTGGATATTTAGAGCAGTTCAAGGCCTGTGGTAGAAAGGGAAATATCTTCATAGAAAATTAGACGAATGATTCTGAGAAACTACTTTGTGATGTGTGCATTCAACTTACAGAGTTGAACCTTCCTTTCAATAGAGCAATGTTGAAATACTTTTTGTAGAATTTCCACGTGGATATTTAAAGGTGTTTGAGGCCTATGGTAGAAAAGGAGATATCTTCATATAAAAACTAGATTGAAGCATTCTCAGAAACTACTTTGTGATGTTTGCATTAAACTCACAGAGTTGAACATTCCTCTTTATAGAGTAGTTTTGACAACACGTTTTTTGTGGAATCTGCAAGTGGTTATTTGGACCCCTTTTAGGCCTTCGTTGGATATGGGATTTCTTCTTTGAAATCTAGACAGAAGAATTCTCAGAAACTTCTTCGTGATGTGTGCATTGAACTCACAGAGTTGAACCTTCCTTTCAATACATCAGTTTTGAAACAATCTTTTTGTAGAATTTCCAAGTGTAAATTTAGAGCGCTTGGAGGCCTATGGTAGAAAAGGAAATATATTCACATAAAAATTAGAATGAAGCATTCTCAGAAACTACTTTGTGATGTTTGCATTCTACTCACAGAGTTGAACAGTCCTCTTGATTTCCTAGTTTTGAAAGGTTCTTTTTGTACAATCTGCAAGTGGATATTTGGACCTCTTTGAGGCTTTTGTTGGAAAGAGGATTTCTTCATATAAAACTAGACAGAAGAATTCGCAGAAACTTCTTTGAGAAGTGTGAATTCATCTCACAGAGTTGAACATTCCTTTCGATAAAGCAGTTTTGAAACATTCTTTTTGTAGAATTTCCAAGTGGATATTTAAAGCGTTTTGAGGACTATCATAGAAGAGGAAATATCTTCATAGAAAAACTAGACAGATTCATTCTCAGAATCTACTTTTTGATGTGTGCTTTCAACTCAAAGATTTTAACGTTTCTGTTGATAGAGCAGTTTTGAAACACTCTTTTTGTACAATTTGAAATTATATTTTAAGAGTGCTTTGAGGCCTATGGTAGGAAATGAAATATCTTCACATAAAAGCTAGACAGAATCATTTTCAGAAACTACTTTGTGATGTTTGCATTCAACTCACAGAGTTGAACATTCCTCTTGATAGAGCAGTATTGAAACACAATTTTTGAAGAATCAGCAAGTGAATATTTGGACCGCTTTGAGGCCTTCGTTGGAAACGGCATTTCTTCATCTAAACAAGACAGAAGAATTCTCAGATACTACTTTGTGACGTGTGCGTTCAACTGACACAGTTTAAACTTTCTGTTGATAAAGCAGCTTTGAAACACTCTTTTCGTGGAATTTGCAATTGTTTATTTAGTGCGCTTTAAGGCCTATGGTAAAAAAGGAAATATCTTCACATAAAAAGTAGATGGAGGCATTCTCAGAATCTAACTTGTGATGCTAGCATTCAACTCACAGAGTTGAACATTACTCTTGATAGAGCAGTTTTGAAACTCTCTTTTTGTGAAATCTGCAAGTGGATATTTGGACCTCTTTGAGGCCTTCGTTGGAAATGGGAATTCTTCATATAAACATGAAAGAAGAATTCTCAGAAACTAGTTTGTGATGTGTCCGTTCAACTCACAGAGTTTAACATTCCTTTCGATAGAGCAGTTTTGAAACACTCTTTTTGTAGAATTTGCAAGTGTATATTTAGAGTGCTTTGAGGCCTATGGTAGAAAAGGAAATATCTTTACATAAAAACTAGACAGAAGCATTCTCAGAAACTACTTTGTGATGTTTGCATTCAACTCACAGAGTTTAGCCTTTCATTTGATAGAGCAGTTTTGAAACACTCTTTCTGTACAATTTGCATGTGTATATTTAGAATGCTTTGAGGCCTATGTTTGAAAGTTAATATCTTCACATAAAATCTAGACAGAAGCATTCTCAGAAACTACTTTGTGATGTTTGCATTCAACTCACAGAGTTGAACATTCCTCTTGATAGAGCAGTTTTGAAACACTCTTTTTGTAGAATCTGCAAGTGGATATTTGGACCTCTTTGAGGCCTTCGTTGGCAACGGGATTTCTTCATATAAAACAAGACAGAAGAATTCTCAGAAAGTTCTTTGTGATGTGTCCATTCAACTCACAGAGATGAAACTTCCTTTCAATAGAGCAGCTTGGAAACACTCTTTTTGTAGAATTTCCAAGTGGATATTTAGAGCACTTTGAGGCCTATGGTAGAAAATGAAATATCTTCATATAAAAGCTAGACAGAGTCATTCTCAGAAACTACTTTGTGATGTGTGTGTTCAACTCACAGAGTTTAACCTTTCTTTTGATAGAGCAGTTTTGAAACACGCTTTTTGTAGAATTTGCAAGTGTGTATTTAGAGGGCTTTGATGCCAATGTAGAAAAGGAAATATCTTCCTATAAAAACTAGACAGAAGCATTCTCAGAAACTGCTCTTTGATGTTTGCATTCAACTCACTGAGTTCAACATTCGTTTTGATAGAGCAGTTTTGAAACACTCTTTTTGTAGAATCTGCAAGTGGATATTTGGACCTCTTTGAGGCCTTCGTTGGAAGCGGTAATTTCTTCACATAAAAACTAGACAGAAGAATTCTCAGAAACTTTTTGTGATATGTGCATTCAACTCACAGAGTTGAACCTTCCTTTTGATAGAGCAGTTTTGAAACACTCTTTTTGTAGAATTTCCAAATGGATATTTAGAGCGCTCTGGAGCCTATGGTAGAAAAGGAAATATCTTCATATAAAAACTACACAGAATCATTCTCAGATACTACTTTGTGATGTGTCCGTTCAACTCACAGAGTTTAACCTTTCTTTTGATAGAGCAGTTTGGAAACGCTCTGTTTGTTAAGTCTGAAAGTGGATATTTGGAGTGCTACAAGGCCTTCTTTGGAAACCAGAATATCTTCACATAAAAAGTAGACAGAAGTATTCTCAAAAACTTCTTTGTGATGTCTGCACTCAACTCACAGAGTTGAACCTTCCTTTCGATAGAGCAGTTTTGAAACACTCTTTTTGTAGAATTTGCAAGTGTATATTTAGAGCGCTTTGAGGCCTATGGTAGAAAAGAAAATATCTACACTTAAAAAGTAGACAGAAGCATTCTCAGAAACTACTTTGTGATGTTTGCATTCAACTCACAGAGTTGAACATTCCTCTTGATAGAGCAGTTTTGAAACACTCTTTTTGTAGAATCTGCAAGTGGATATTTGGACCTCTTTGTGGCCTTCGTTGGAAACGGGATTTCTTCATATAAAACTAGACAGAAGAATTCTCAGAAACTTCTTTGTGATGTGTGCATTCAACTCACAAAGTTGAACCTTCCTTTCAATATAGCAGTTGTAGGAGAAAATTTTCACAACCTACTCATCTGAGATAGGGCTAATATCCAGAATCTACAATTTACAAGAAAAAAACAAACAACCCCATCAAAAAGTGGGTGAAGGACATGAACAGACACTTCTCAAAAGAAGACATTTATGCAGCCAAAAAACACATGAAAAAATGCTCACCATCACTGGCCATCAGAGAAATGCAAATCAAAACCACAATGAGATACCATCTCACACCAGTTAGAATGGCGATCATTAAAAAGTCAGGAAACAACAGGTGCGGCAGAAGATTTGGAGAAATAGGAACACTTTTACACTGTTGGTGGGACTGTAAACTAGTTCAACCATTGTGGAAGTCAGTGTGGCGATTCCTCAGGGATCTGGAACTAGAAATACCATTTGACCCAACCATCCCATTACTGGGTATATACCCAAAGGACTATAAATCATGCTGCTATAATGACACATGCACACGTATGTTTATTGCGGCATTATTCACAGTAGCAAAGACTTGGAAACAACCCAAATGTCCAACAATTATAGACTGGATTAAGTAAATGTGGCACATATACACCATGGAATACTATGCAGCCCTAAAAAATGATGAGTTCACGTCCTTTTTAGGGACATGGATGAAATTGGAAATCATCATTCTCAGTAAACTTTCGCAAGAACAAAAAACCAAACACTGCATATTCTCACTCATAGGTGGGGATTGAACAATGAGAACACTTGGACACAGGAAGGGGAACATCACACTCTGGGTACTTTTTTGGGGTGGGGGGAGGGGGGAGGGATACCATTGGGAGATATACCTAATGCTAGATGACGAGTTTGTGAGTGCAGCACACCAGCATGGCACATGTATACATATGTAACTAACCTGCACATTGTGCACATGTATCCTAAAACTTAAAGTATAATAATAAAAAAAAATGGTTTTGAGTCTTTTTGTTTTAAGAAACAGGAATTTATGGGAAATGTATGCAGTTTTAACAAGTGTGTTGGTGTTTAAAATTACTCTAGTTGCTTCTAGTCTGTTTGCCATATTTTATTTATTTATAAATTTATATCCTGTTTCACTTTGCTAATCATTTGAGGTGCATTATAATGAACCTGTACATTAAAGTAAGATGCATAAATTTGGATAAACTTGAAAGATTGGCTGAAGGGATGATTAATATCCATATTTATACATCCCAGTGTGGTGTTATACAGCTTCTAAAGGGAGCAGTAACTTTGCCTTCTTGTGTGACTGTTTCAGTTTTTCTAGTTCAGTGATTCTCAGTGGGGGGATGGGATGGAGAGGTGGTCCTCCTAGGGTGTTTATCAGAACATGGGTGGAGTTTAGTATAGAGTATAGTAAACATTATGCCTTAGGTTTTTGAAATATAAACCATAGAATGTAAAGCTTGATCAAGTATTTGTGGTTGATGGGGATTCATGGAAGATAGAGTAACAAAGTATTGCAGAGGGCTTGACAGAGGAACCATTCCCATGATAGTCTGCAATCACTTTCCAGGCAGAGACCTTTTCCCATCTTTTTCATGGACTCTCTCATGGCATCTGATACTGGTAATTAAGGCACTTGAATTCAGGTGCTGTTGATTAGCTTGTCCCCATGTCTCTGTAAGCTCTTTCCATTTCATTGTAGGCTTTCCCAACTTTTACCATTTCATTAATAGGAACATGCACACTTTCATCACTTTGGTTAGAATATTTAGTTTGCATTTGAAAACTACTATACCTAGTCAGGTATCAGTGATGTTTTTAGACTCATGACAAAGCAAGGTTTGGGGAAAAGTTACTAGCATTTGTTTCATGAGGTGGTGTCTGATGTGTGACCTGCTGCCTAAGTCAGGTGCTGCTGCATAAGTTGAGGTGGAAGGAAACAGAAGAGAGTGGGCAGCCACGGGGCCATCTTGTTTGTCACAGAAGCTGGATTGTTGGCACACATGTCTTTGAGTCAACCTGGACTTAAAGTGCTTGTGTGCTGTGTTTGTGAGCATTTCTCTGTCTTTTCAGTTTCCTCAATGCTGCAATTGCTTTTATGTTGATCTACTTCTGTAAAATAAATATATTTTTACCTTAGGAGGAGATGCAGTGTTATACTTGAGTTGTATTGTGTCCTTCGGTGGAGAAATATGTACATAAAAAGGGATCATTAATTTCTGGTGTTCTATTACTGACTTGGGCAGTGCATTGATACTTTTTTAGTCTATACTGGGTTTCTGGTGGATAGTAGATTCTGAATCCTTATCACGTAGAATGGGAAGCCTTAATATGAAGTGTTCAAAAAGGAAACACTGATATTTTTCATTCTTTGACCTATATGTAAATAAATTGGATTTTAAATCTGAAATTTCTAAGGTGCTTCAATGAGTAAATATTGCTGTCCATGGGGACTATTTTGCATCTCCCATTGCTGAGTTGATTGACTTAACCTTGGTCATATTAAAGGTGAATGAGTAAGGTTAAACAGATTCTATTAGTGTTTCTTCAGTTGGCCAGTTAGGGAAAGGTCAGGCTTTGGCAGCTGTCACCCTTACAGACAAAGGGTTTCTGTGCTCTTGCAGTCTAGAGTCTGACAGCAGCTTATAATTTACTTGGATGCTTTTTAAAACCTCCTTAAGACAGTCAAGAAATATTTCTTATTGGCTTTGCAATACCAGTGAGTCTAATGGTAGGATGTTTTTCATTAGAGTACTACAGAATGACAGGGACAGTGAAAATGAGCATTCTTAAAGATGTGGAAGAATATTCTGTGTGTCACAAATGGTGACTCTGCCTCATATTAAAAAGACCTAGTGTTCAGTTGCTATTTATGTTCAGGGAAGTGAGGGCTTTTAGGTGAAGGCAAGTGAAGTTGGTAACCTCGTTGCCTCACTGAAAACAAGTACACGTAAAACTTTGAATTACTTCTGTTTATTTAAAAGTAGTTTTTCTCATCCTGAGCCTGAAATTTAAAATGTTTCTCATCCCTTTTAGTTTAAAGCCTTAATTTCTTTTATCTTAGAAATTATTTCATGTCATTCTTGGTTGGTAATTACTTTTCAGTGAGGATGAATTCAAGTTTAATTTGTCATTGGTTATTGAAAATGTCAGTTATGAATTTATTAGGAGGCTTTGGAGGCTTTTCTCCAGTTAACACTGGAAATCTGAGTTTACGTTGATTTAATAGTTTTAGGTGTATTGAATTTTAAAATACTTTTGGTATTCTGTCTTTATTTCTGAGATACTGCAAGTTGGCCTTAAATAGTCATAGCTTTTTGATCATTTTGGCCCTTACTGTATTGTTTTTATTGTTTATTGGTATAGTTTGGGTTGTCATAGTTCGTTTCGAATGTGTATTCATTATCATGACCTACTCCATTTCTATTATGTAAAATATGAACATCCCATGCATTGATATACATGACTTTCTTTATACCTACCTTCTTGGGTCTCAAGTTATTATAAGCCTATTAACAAGTTGCAAAGCAATTTTTGTGTGATGCCTGCAAAATAGAGAGCTGTGTGTACCTTTTTATATCTTTTGACACAGAATGAACTACAGCCAATAAGGAGTGTGGTGGAACAGCTGAGACAGGACACACAGATGTAACAGTAGAACGGGCTAGAGAACACGTGTGTGATAAGCCTGGAAGATTTTCACAGGGCTTCTGGCAAGCCGTTGACTATGACAGGAGTGAAAATGGAGCCTGAAGAAGAGTGAAGTGGGATGGTAAAACACACACTCTCAAACACTCTTAGTGGAAATTACCTAAAAAGAATTAGGAGGAATGGGATTAATAATCAGATGAAGAGTGTTAAAGAAAAAAATTATTCATGTCATTTGTTAAGGATAGTAAGGAAGACTTTATTCAAAGGGGCTACTATAATAGGTTTTTGTAGTAGGGGAGAGAGATAAACTGAAGTTGGAATATGATAGGATAGGTGGGGATTTGGAGCAGGGGTCAGGGTGAATGGAAAATTATTAAGAGGTAGTAAAGTGACCTAGGGAATTTTGCTGAAGGCAGACCAGGATCATAAGATATTAAAGATGGTCAGACCAAGGGTGGGGGTTTTTCCCTAAACTTACTTAGCAGGATTCTCACTGAAACTGAATTAGCAGGCCTTATCAAGAAGAGGTTTCAGGAGCTTGACAAGAGTTAGGTCAAGGAGAGAGTCTTTGTCAAGTGTCAAACATAACTTCTGAATAGAGAAATAAATTGTTTTATGTTCCAAGGCTGTGAAGTAGGCAAGATTGACAGTCCCAGGCAGGGTACTCTCTGAGTGTTGAGTGAATGTTTAATGTCTAGAGAAAATACTAACTGAATTCAAAAGATTTATCTCAATT
This sequence comes from Homo sapiens, assembly GCF_000001405.40. Taxonomy (NCBI): domain Eukaryota; kingdom Metazoa; phylum Chordata; class Mammalia; order Primates; family Hominidae; genus Homo; species Homo sapiens. The sequence continues at coordinate 60,246,093 of NC_000006.12, forward strand.
CTGTTTCATAAACACTAGACATCTTTAAGATGAGTATAGCAAAATTGAGTACTTATTTTTTTTCAAGGTTAAATATTAGATAATAGGTATATGTTATATATGAAATGAGCTTTTCTATTGAGCTAGATTTGAGGGATTATGCTGCCTTGCAAACTTTTATTTGTTCTGTTTCTAGGGAAGTTTATGATTTAGAAAGAGCACTGTGTATTTCTGTTACAATTGAATACCTTTCAAAATGATTTAAATGAAGGCATTAACACAGGGCTTCCTTTTTAAAAGTAAACACTACAAGTATAATACTTTCATTCTCATAGTGGTTTTTGGCATCAAATAATTATGGAAGCCAACCTGTTATTATTTTACATATATTTATTGGGCAGTTACAGTAAAATATTGATACATTTTACATTTGGAGAATGGAGAAAAGTTTATTAAGTTTTCTAGTTAGTTGAGGCCTAACCGTTTATGCATATAGTTGTAAAAATACACCATGGCAGATGGTCTTAGTGACAATATTTTAGAGTTCACAGAATTTGGGTTTTTCTAATCAACCTACAAAATTAGATTCTGCTCATGATAATATGGTTTAAGCCTAGAGACGCTATGGCTAAATGTGAAACTTCAAGCTGAATTACCCTTAAAGGCTAAAATTAACATATGCAGAAATTTTCAAAATGACTTGTGAAAGTCATTTCTCTTTTTTAAAGTTTTCATATAGCTTTCGAATATAGGACTCTTTGTATTCTTATTGTTGATGGCTTTCCATGCCTATAACTTTTGCCCTTGAAAAAAAAGTATGTCTTTAAATTAGCTGAAGTTTCCCCCACACAGAGCTATGTCCTATTTGTTTTATAATGATATATATCTATTTCAATTTTATTAATTTTTTTTTGAGACAGGGTTTCACTCCATTGCCCAGGCTTGAGTGCAGTGACGTGATCTTGGCTCACTGCAACCTTTGCCTCCTGAGTTCAAGAGTTTCTCTTGCCTCAGCCTCCCTAATAGCTGGAATTGCAGACATGCACCACCAGGCCCAGCTGATTTGTGTATTTTTTGTGTTTTTAGTAGAGACGGAGTTTTGTCATGTTGGCCAGGCTGGTCTCAAACTCCTGGCTTCAAGTGATTCATCCACCTCAGCCTCCCAAAGTTCTGGGTCTACAGGCGTGAGCCACCATGCCTGATATATATATATATGTGTGTGTGTGTGTGTGTGTGTGTGTGTGTGTACATACATACATATATATTTATATCCTCAAAGAATGAAATTAATTACACTAAATATAATTTCCAGTGTTAAATATTCTCTGTAGTTTAACATTTACATTATGGAATGTAGTTTCCAGAAAGGGGTTCCGATCCAGACACCAAGAGAGGGTTCTTGGATCTTGTGCAAGAAAGAATTTGGGGTGAGTCCATAGAGTAAAGTGAAAGCAAGTTTATTAAGAAAGTAAAGAAACAAAAGAATGGCTACTGCATAGGCAGAGTAGCCCCACAGGCTGCTGGTTGGCTATTTTTAAGGTTATTTCTTGATCATATGCTAAACAAGAGGTGGATTATTCTTGAGTTTTCTAGGGAAGGGATGGACAATTCCCAGAACTCTGGGTTTCTCCCCTTTTTAGACTATATAGGGTAATTTTTGGATGTTGCTATGGTATTTGTAAACTGTACTGGTGCTGGTGGGAGTATCTTTTAGCATGCTAATGGATTATAATTAGCATATAGTGAGCAGTAAGGATGACCAGAGGTCACTTTTGTGGCCATCTTGGTTTTGGTCGGTTTTGGCCGGCTTCTTTAACGCATCCTGTTTTATCAGCAGGGTCTTTAGGACCTGTTGTCTTGTCATAGCCAGTCTTGCCGACCCCTTATCTCATCCTGTGCCTGAGAATGCCTAACCTCCTGGGAATGCAGCCCATCAAGTGCGAGCCTCATTTGATCCAGCCTCTGTTCAAGATGGAGTTGCTCTCGCTCTACTAGAGTGTTTTGGCAGTGTTACTCATGTTTTCTGAAGGTGTTCTGAAAAAAGATACTGAGCTTTTAAATGTATACTTTTTTTTTTTTTTGAGACTGAGTCTCACTCTGTCACCCAGGCTAGAGTCCAATGGCATGATCTCAGCTCACTGCAACCTCCTCCGCCTCCTGGGTTCAAATGATTCTCCTGCCTCAGCCTCCCGAGTAGCTGGGATTACAGGCGCCCACCACCATGCCTGGCTAATTTTTGTATTTTTGGTAGAGACGGGGTTTCACTATATTGGCCAGGCTGGTCTTGAACTCCTGACCTTGTGATCTGCCTACCTCGGCCTCCCAAAGTGTTGGGATTACAGGCATGAGTCACCACGCCCAACCATGTATACATTTTTAAAAATTCCATAATCTTTATAATCTTTCCCTCTTTCCTCCAAGTTCCCTGAAAAGTTAATTCTTTTTGGCTGAAGTCTTGTGTCATGGTCTAGTTCAGAGTCTAGGTCAGATTGCCTTATCCTAGGTCTTTTGGATGAGAATAAGAACCAGGGATGTGGAGGGCAAATGGAGTTGTAAAGGTAATCATTTTGTGTTCTCAATCTTTGAGTGACTTAATCTGAGTTACAAAGGGAGGAGGAAGTAGTTGCTTAACAGATCCATTTGGCCCAGGCCCTGTGAATATATCCATTCTGCTACTCCCCACCCCTCTGAAGGCATACAAAGGACAACAGCACAGTTAATACCCCTATTCTGGACTTGTCTCCATTTATTCTCTACCTGCCTCTGTTTATCTCCATGACTTTCAAATACCTTGTGCTGTACTTCAGCTATTGATACCTGCCTCCTGTCTGGCTTTGTTTCCTGTTCATCTCTGGTCAAAGTGTGCTCTCCCCATTCCAGGAGAATCTTTCTGTTATCTTGGAGCTTAATAGCCAAATATATTCCAATTCTCTTTAGTTGGTCCAAGGAATAAGGCTTCTGTATGAATATTGGAAAACCCAGAGGACTGTTTCCAGACTTGCATGGGGTCCTTGTTTTCTAAAGGAGGAATATTTATTGATGACTGTATAAGTAGTGGACTTATTAAGGTTTAGATTTATCTGGTGATATAAGGAGACCGAGGAGAGATTATCACTAATAGCTAACATTTGTAATGTGTTTGTTAAGTGCCAGGCACTTTGGTAAATACTTCACATGGGTAAAAAAATTTAACTTCTTCTTCTGTGGTAGAGACAGTTTTGCTCTGTCGCCTAGGCTGGAGTGCAGTGATGTGATCACAGCTCACTGCAGCCTTGAACTCTTGGGCTGAAGTGGTCCTCCCACCTCAGCCTCCCAAGTAGCTGGGACTACAGGCGCATGCCACCATGTCTGGCTAATTTTTTCTTTTTCTTTTTTTCTTTTATAGAAATAAGTTCTCACTGTGTTGCCTAGGCTGGTCTTGAACTTCAGGCCTTAAGTGATCCTTGCAACTTGGCCTCCCATAGTGCTGGAATTACAGGTGTGAGTCACTGTGACCAGCCAGGTTTATGTAATTTAATCCTCATAACAGCTCCATGAGGAAACTGAAGCTCAGACAGGTTAAGTAACTTTCCTTAAAATTAGTCTTCTAAATATTTAGAGATGTATAAGTCACAAAGCATGTTACTAAATATATGAGTAGATTTCACAGCTTAACTATTGAAATGAAGTGGAATAGATGCTGACATTTAAGGTGACAGGGCCCATCAAAAGTGCTATACAAACACAGGTGTGAGTTTAGAGATTTACATTAGTGTCGGAAATTAAAGCATTAACTATAATTTTACTGAGATGTTTCATTTTAGCTGACAGTTGTTGGCAGGAATGGAAACCAAATATATTAAATATACCATTGGTAGCTTTCTCGGTATAATATTGCCATCTCTAGGGAAAACATTATATTCACCCAACTTAGTCGTTGAGGGGTTTGTTTCCTAGCCCGTAGTTTTTCTATGCCCTTTTTGTTTTTCTTCTCTGCTACCTTTTGTTTATCTTTTTAAAAACATTTTTCAGATCACATTGTATATTTTAGTTCATGTTGAACAATTGACTCATGTATAATATTCAAAGATCAGTGTAAATCAAAATCCAGGCAGTAGATAAAAAATATATTTTTAAAATTTTAAATTAAATTTTATCAGGCAGTAGATTCTGTACTTGAAGTGGGAGTCATTATTTTAATAGGCCAGGAAAAGAAAAGTTATGGACTTGAGTTGTTTTTTTTTACTATCTCACAAGAGAGATGCCATAGAGGAAAGCCTACTGTTTCAAACTGGGCCTTTCACAAGGATGGCTTGTTGGTTCAGTCCAGTAGTTCTGGACTATAGGGGTTATAGTCACCCCTGCTGGATATTTTGGCCATCTTTATGGTATTTTTTGTGTTTGTAAAAATGATTGGCAAGTACAACAGGTGTTTAGTAGACAGGAGATGGGGATGCTGGTGCATTTACAGTGCACTGAGTAGTTCTGTACAACCACAGATTTTCCCACATCCTTCCTGCCTTTTTTTTTTTTTTTTTTTTTTTTTTGAGACAGAGTCTCTCTCTGTTGCCAAGCTGAAGTGCAGTGGCGCGATCTCGGCTCACTGCAACCTCTGCCTCCCGGGTTCAAGCTATTATCTGCCTCAGTCTCCCAAGTAGCTGGGACTATAGGCGTGTGCCACCCCGCCCAGCTAATTTTTGTATTTTTAGTAGAGACAGAGTTTCACCATTTTCATCAGGATGGTCTTGATCTCTTGACCTGGTGGTCCGCCTGCTTCGGCCTTCCAAAGTGCTGGGATTACAGACGTGAGACACCATGCCTCGCCTCCTTCTTGACTTTTTATATTCATGTGAACAACAACAGAAACCCAGAAACCAAAAAACTAAACTGTTTCTAATTATCTGAATCTACAACTAAACACTGTTCTATAAATCAACACAAAATATTTTTCCCCCATGTTTTTGGTATACCCTCATTGTTCCTGGACTGCAACTAGCCTGTGAGTTGAGGAAGATAATACTTTGTTTCGTTCTGAGTGTTTCTGAGTTCGCTTTTTTGACAAAGAACATCACTGATGTGGTATTTGAAACACCAATGCACACACCGTGTCAGTTTGCATTGGTAGGTGGGTTATTCCCGATGTTTTTGCTGATGGGTATGGTATCTAACTACTTGATCATGTAGTCTAGGGCACTGTGTCTGATCAATTATGTATGCCACTATTTTTTTGTTTTAAATTTTTAAATATTTTATATATATTTAGTTATGGAATTCTATTGATATTAAAAAATTGTGAATTTTATTTTTGGATAGTAATACAAGTATTGCAACATATTTTAAGTATTAAAATATTTAAAGAAGCATTGGGTCTGATCAGGTTGTTAACCACTAGTTCCACCCAAGGTGTGTTCCTTTGCTTTGCAGATTCTCAGGTATGATTCTGTTACATTCTTGCGTGTAGTATTATTAGCACTGACTGTAGCATATTTCTTATTTTTTTTTTTGTCTTTTTGGAAGATTTAAAGTAGTTTTGGCTTACTGTTGTACTTTTCTAACACTTTTCTCTTTTTAAAAAAAGATATTGTTTGCCTCGCTAATACTAAAGTAGCTTTCACTGCAGTCACATTGTTTTCATAACTCAAGTTATATCTGGATATTTTCCTATTTTTTGTAAAAACAAAAAAAAAAATCTTCTTAAACCTTCAATATGACTTACTTTCGGTACCCTTAAGAACTTATTAGCAAAGTAGATGAAGGAAAGAGCCCAAAGCAAAAATAATAATAATAACTTCTTCTTGGACCCCTTCATATACAGAGCTCAAAGCTCTTCATTTCTTGTGAATGCAGAACTTCCCAGAATCCCTGTGGAACAGGGCAAGCTAACCTCTCAGATAGGAAGGATTAAGACTGATTGTCTGTTTACAGATTTTTTGGTGGGGATATTCAGTTCTTTCTATTTCCCTTGGAGAGTTCTTCATAGAACACGTAGTGAAGGTGCCTTTTTTTCTGAGCTTGTGCTGTTGATATAGCGAGGTTTCTGGTCTTTGGATCACTTTTGTATAGAATCCTAGAAATCATCCATTTATGACTATGATTTAAAATAGTCAGTCTTGAGGAGTTCTAATCATATAAAGAATTCTAATTTTCAAAATTAATTTTATTTGTTTATTTACATTTTGATGATGTTAGTGTAAAGAAAACCATAGAGAAATCTCACATATCATAAATCACTGAGAGAACTTTGCCTTTGGATTAAGGGACCGCTGAAATTTAACTTGTCAATCTGCAAGCCTCGAAGATAAATAAACCTCAGGGGAGGCATAGGAGGGGTGGTTTGGGATGAGATGAGTAGGTCGGGGTGATCTCTTTCCCTTGCTTCTTTGAGAAGGCTAAGTGCTGCTAGAGCTCTGTTCTGAGGACCAGCTGGTGATAGATGAGCTTCAGTTCCTTCTTTTTTCCAGCAACAGCAGCCTTAGTGCAATAGTTCCTCAGTGCCGCGTGGTTCTTTCTTCCCTTTCCAGCTTGAACACAGACATAGGCCCATCATCTCATTTTTTCTAACCATAGTATAACCTTTACTTTTGTGGACATTTCCTAGATGTCATATATTCTGTTTACTTAACATTATTTTAATGATACCATCTCCTTTTTTTATTTCAAGGAAATGTGCTCATATATTTTCCACATTAATCTTGATTCTGGTTTTACATTTTTACTAAAAAGAAGTTTGTCATGGGAAAGAGTGGAAGATGAGACTAGCAAGATAGGAGGGCAGGAAGGAATTGTGGAAGGTTTTTGAGGATCAGGGTGACATGTTATAATCTAGTATGATGAAGAGAACTGCAACAGCTGAGTAAATAAAGGATTGGGGAATTGAGACCCAAGTTGAGACATAAGGTCACCAAGTAATTAATTATAGGCTGAGTATCCCTTATCTAAAATGCTTGGGATCAGATGTGTTTTGGATTTCTATTTTTTTTCAGATTTTGGAAAGTTTATCTTATACACTTACTGGTTGAGCATCTGAAAATCTGAAATGCTCCAGTGAGCATTTAATCTGAGTGTCATGTTGATGCTCAAAATGTTTTAGATTTTGGAGCACTTTGGATTCTGTATTTTCAGGTTTGGGATGTTCAACCTGTTGAATGTTGAGACTTATGGTAGAGACCTCTTAGAAGGATATTGCCAGTGTTCAGGTTAATGATAAAGATGATTATTTGTTGAGCAAATAGTGAGTGACCAAATGAAAGACTGAATGAGGATGTGAACTATATTAGTAGCTGTGAGAATGGAAAGAAGTGGGCAAATGTGGTAGACATTATGGAAATAGCCTAAAGACTTGATGGCTAATGGAATGTGCAGTGAAGATGACTCCAAGCCATCTGGTATAGAGGACAAGAGTAGTGTAATGTTAGTAATGATAGTGAACATAAAAAAAAGGAGTATGTTTTTGGGTTAGGATAGTATATTTGATGTGAAGATATTGCTTGTGAGTGCTATGGGCCAGTAGAGATAGACAGTGGGCAGTTCAAAATGTTAGGTTGAGTTCAGGAGATCGTTGTTGAAAGTATATAATCACAATATCACAGAAAATAGTATTTGCAACTGTGAAAACAAAGCTTGCTAAGGGAGAGAGGATGAATAAGATCTGGGAAAATTAATCTTATAGTAGATTTTTCATGACCCTGTGTTAGTTACTGACCCTTTCAATGCCTCATTTTCTTCTATTATAAAATGAGGAAAATTATAGTATCTCCTTAATAGAATTGTTGTGAAATTGAATGGAATTATCTATGTAAATTGCATAGAGCTTGGCAGGCATATAGTAAGCATTCATTAAAGGTTAGCTATCTTATTGTTTATTGAAGGTTTAAAATTAAACAAGTGATCTTATTAGCAGTGATATTTTTATTTCTCAAGTTAAAACTGTTTGGTTTTTGTAGGTGTGGTTAGTTGTAATCTTGGAACTAATTTTTTGTGATAAATATGTAATTCACGTTTGAGTATTTTTATTTAAAGTGTTCACTTTTCTTTTCTTTTTTTGAGCCAGAGTCTAGCTCTGTAGGCTGGAGTGCAATGGCGTGATCTCGGCTCACGGCATCCTCCGCCTCCCAGGTTTAAGCAATTCTCCTCCCTCAGCCTCTTAAGTAGCTGGGATTACAGGTGTTCGCCACCATGCCTGGCTAGCTTTTGTATTTCTAGTAGAGATGGGGTTTCACCATGTTGGCCAGGCTGGTCTCAAACTCCTGAGCTCGTGATCCATCTGCTTCGGCCTCCCAAAGTGCTGGGATTACAGGTGTGAGCCACCACGCCCGGCTTATTAAAGTGCCCACTTTTCTTGACATCCTCTAAGATGTAGACTTTACCCTTGGTTGAATATATAATGTTTTTCTTTGATTAGAGTGGGGTAAATGAAGGGTGATGATACTCACACTGAATCTTGAATTTGACACATTTCTTCCAATGAAAATGGGCTGCAAGGAACCCAGTTGTATCTGGCACCGTTTTTTAGTTTTTTTTTCTCTGACACAGGATTATTGTGCTGTAGAAGTGTCATTTGGGGGAGCCAAAGCACTGTACTATAATATATATACCAGTCCATTCAGTGTAGAAGGGGAAAAAAAAATAGTGTCATGAATTGAAGTTCATGCTTTTCAGGTGTTTGTATGTTTCTTCCTTCTGCTTTAATAGTAAATGGTTAGAGGGATTTGTTAAATAGTAAATGAATAAAACTAAATGCAGAGCACATATATAGCTAGAATTTTAATTTTTTTACATTTGTATTTTAGTTCTATTGATATTTTAAAGGTAATGAGAAATTAGCATCTTCAGTTGGATATGTATCATATCCCTTCAAAGCTGTAATTGCTTTAAATTAGACTGTCAATTCCTTGTCTAATTGAGACCCATGGTGAAATCCCAAAAAAAAAAAAAAGCAGTCTTTGGATTTTTCCGGTCAGTGAACTGGCTAATATTTTCTGAGTTCCTGTAGATACAAAGCACTGTAAATTATATTTACAATATCACCACTTGAGTAAGTACTTAAAGAGACAATTTTGGAACTGTTTGGTTGATTAGTGTACATCAGAGCTATTGTTTGGTTTCTCTAGGTAGAGGTTGTTCAGGGATGTAATAGGATCTGCATACAAATAGATTGCAATTTGTGTTTAGAAAGGATAACTTACTTTTAAAGTTCTGTCTCTCCTGATTTTCATTCAGTTTGCTGTATACCACTTAAAACAGATTAGAATTCATTTTCTTATTCCTGTCTAAAATAACCTTGGCCTGATTACTTTTCTTTTTATTTACCACTCCTCTTGAGACAGGTGTGTGTGCATGCACACATACATAAAAGAAGATCTACGGTTTTGGTGGTATTTATAGCAGGGAAAAGAGATGATTTATTTGAACTTTTTAGTAGATTACTATCGGTAGTCTTAGGAAAAGTCTATTTTGGAATTTCACTGCCTCTTTTTTATTTTTTTATTTTTTGGTGAGAGGTTGCTAGAGCAGAGGGGCTGTCTCCAAGACCATGTCTTCATCAGAAACTGGGGTTTAATAGATGTTAGAAATGGTATATATTTCTTCCACCATCTCTTAAGCTCTTCTGTTTATTACCTGACTTTTGTTTATCAAATTCCAGAGTTGCTTACTTTTGTTTTGTTAGCTAATAGGGGTGCTTTGGGTGGGTTAAGAGAAGAAATACTTTTTTCAAAAGTCACCATCATTCTGTGTGAGAGAGAATGTAATTCCTATAGAGAAAAGTAATTAGTTAGCTTGGTGTGTTGTAATGGCAGCTTTGCTATTTTTTTGTACTCTTTCTCTTTCTTCATTTCACAAAGAAGGTTGACAAGCTACTTACCTTTCTATGAATCCTTTTCTTTAAAACTATATAATTGAATGCCTAGAGAAATGAACCTTGGCTTCAGCAGTACTGAATGGCAAAAGTGGAAAGAAACTCATTTTTCCCTTCCTTCCTTCCCTACTTCTCTTTCTCCTTCCATGCTTTCCTTCCTTCTTTCCCTGTTTCTTAAAAAATGAGATTTGAATCTAGTTTGGGTAAAGTTGACCTGTGGGGAGTTGAAGGAGAAAACTGAAATTAAGTATTTTTCTTCTCTTATGAGTATTGTGTTAATTTGCTCCAAATGACAGAATTAGCCTCAATGTTGAGAAGTGCTAAGTTTCAGCAAATGAAGTTGAGCTTAATTTGTATTTCTTTATGTTTACTGTGTATGTGGTAAAATTAGATAATTAATAAAGGTTTAAAGGGATTCTAACTGATAAACTCACGGTTTCACCTTCTTAAACCTAAGAAGCATAATTTGCCTAAATTATGCAAAATGCTAATTAAAGGGTTTAATTTGCTAATCATATCCATTTGATTAGAGGCAGATGCTGATTATCTGCACAATTCTAAAAGGACCTTTCAAAGATGGCTTTCATTATTTAAAATCAACTTGTCAAATTAAGGCATAAACTTAAGGAATAACAAATACCAGTAGTTAACTACATACTTCCAGTGTAACGCAGGGCAAGATGATTCACAAATGCTGTGCATCAAAGACTTGGTGTATTCAATGTCATTGTGAATTTCAGTAGTCCCAAAGTTTAAGAGTTGAACTTTGTTTGGCTTTTTTATTGAGCTTATTAGATTCTCTAGTCATACCTTTGTTGGTCCTTTGGGTCTTTGACTATTTTCCCGGCTCTTTTTTCTTCCTGCTGTGAGTCAGACAGCACAAAGAGCAGAGGCAGTCTTGTCCATGTGCATTCACACCATGCATAGAAATGGTCAGAACATATCGGGCCGGGCGCGGTGGCTCACGCGTGTAATCCCAGCAATTTGGGAGGCTGAGGTCAGGAGTTTGAGACCAGCCTTAACAGCATGGTGAAATCCCGTCTCTACTAAAAATACAAAAATTAGCTAGATGTGGTGGCGGGCGCCTGCAATCCCAGCTACTCGGGAGGCTGAGGCAAGAGAATCACTTGAACTCGAGAGGCGGAGGTTGCAGTAAGCTGAGATTGCGCCACTGCACTCCAGCCTGGGTAACAGCGAGACTCTTTCTCAAAAAATAAATAAATAAATAAATAAAAAAGAGGAAAAAAAAGAATATTTAACAGACAGGTATGCCACGCTCCCTTTATAGGTTACCAAATCTTCCTCTTACATATCTAAGAGATGTGGCAGGAAACAGACAACAGGTATGGGTCAGTGTTACTGCCGGGAAGGAGGGGGAACATCTCAGTTCAATAACTGAACAAGAATTTGGATCCAGGCACCCAGCCTTTGTATACTCCCTGGCTTGTCTTTTTCTTAGAGTGAAGACAGAAAACTATTTATAGACTGGTCAAGTGTGTCTGTGGCTGATTTAGGGCAAAGACTAGGGAAACCAAGGCAGAAACTGCATTACTTTTTTCTTTTTTTTTGAGATGGGGTCTCATTCTATTGCCCAGGCTGGAGTGCAGTGGTGCGATCATGGCTTCACCTCCCCAGGCTCAGGTAATCCTTCCACCTCAGCCTCTTGAGTAGCTGGGACTACAGGCATGAGTCACCACGCGTGGCTAAATTTTGTACTTTTTTTTTCTGTAGAGATGGGTTTTGCCATGTTGCCTGGGCTGGTCTCAAACTCCTGGGTTCAAGTGATCTGCCTGCCTCGGCCTCCCAAAATGTTAGGATTGCAGGTATGAGCCACTGCGCCTGGCCAAAACTGCATTACTTCTAATCCAAGTTAGAAACAAATGGCCCAGTAACAGAAAATGTTTGGGGTTTTGCATTCGAGACCTAGGGTGTTAGGATAGGGCATCTGAGCTATAGACATATGAATCCTGCTTTGACCTGCATCAAGATCAAGGGTAGTAGGATGAGAGCATGCTGTCTAAGTGGGGATACACCAGAGAGGTCATATAGCTTGTGAGTGAAGAGCATAGGCTCTGGTGCTGTAACACCTGTAGTTGAATACTGGTGCTGCTATTTACTAGTTGTTTTTCTTCTCTGACTTGGTTTCCTCATCTGTAAAATACAGTATATAATAGTAATACCTCATAACTTTGGGAGGCTTTAATAAGTTAGTACCTTTTATAAAGTACTTATTAACAGTGCCTAGCATATAGTAAGTACACAACAAATATTAACTATTATTTATTATTATTTGTTACCATTCTAGCTTTTGTATGAGATTTGCAAATGATAATGTATAGGGAGAACACTGGATTTCATCCCCCAATACCCACTTGAGTTGTTTAACTGTGCTACAAATATATGTAGAGTAATAAGTTATAAGAACTTCAGTAGTATAAAGCTAATAGAACTTGAAATACTAGAGTTTTATTAAAATGAATAAACACAGATTTGAGTCCAAATCTTCTTTTCATGCAGTCTGAGGAGGTTAGGGATATGTGTAAATTGTTACTAAACTGACAACTATTGGAAGAACCTGATCATGAGCACTTTTTACATTTGAACTCAAAGGGTAAAAGGGGAGGTTCCTTTAAATTTAGTTATTTTTTAGCTTTTAGAGGATTAGATTTGTGATAGGATAAGGAATAATAGAGTGCTGTTGATTTTATCCTGGCTAAGATTAATAGTCTGTTTGCCACTTCTATGCCTAAATGTCTCTAGAATCTGTCCATCTCCTTTCAGTTTCATCGTCACTATTCTAGCTTGGGCTACCATGATTACTTATCCAATCCATTCTTTTTTTTTTTTTTTTTTTTTTTTTGAGACGGAGTCTTGCTCTGTTGCCCAGGCTGGAGTGTAGTGGTGCAATCTCAGCTCACTGCAACCTCGGCCTCCTGGGTTCAAGTGATTCTCCTGCCTCAGCCTCCCAAGTAACTGGGACTACAGGCGCACACCACCATGCCCAGCTCATTTTTGTAGCTTTAGTAGAGACAGGGTTTCACCATGATGGCCAAGCTGGTCTCGAACTCCTGACTTTGTGATCCCCCCACATTGGCCTCCCAAAGTGCTGGGATTACAGAAGTGAGCCACTGTGCCGGCCCATCCAATCCATTCTTTATCCTGAAGCAAGAGTGCAGATATTTACAGATGTCTATACTACAGCCCCTCCCCAACTCTTCAGCAATTTCCTATTAATATAATGTTAATCTTCCAAATTCGTAATAAGTTACCTCAAGCTCTGATCCCTGTTTACCTCCCTAGCCTCATCTCTTACCACTAATCTGTAAACTCTATGGACCAGCCATGTGAACTTCCTTTAGTTGTGAAAACATGTTTTTTTCCCTTGACTTTGGATACTCTTCCCTACATTTCATCTAATTCTGACTCATCTGTCATGTATCAGCTTAAACAGTTTTCTTTCTGGGACATTTTCTTAAGTTTGGCGTAGAAACCCATCCTCTGTGGCTTTTTTTTTTTTTTTTTTTTTTTTTGAGACAGTTTCGCTCTTGTTGCCCAGGCTGGAGTGCAGTGGTGCGATCTCGGCTCACTGAAACCTCTGCCTTCTGTGTGTTCAAGAGATTCTCCTCCCTCAGCCTCCTGAGTAGCCAGGATTACAGGTGCCTGCCACCACTCCTGGCTAATTTTTGTATTTTTAGTAGAGATGGGGTTTCACCATGTTGGTGAAGCTGGTATCGGATTCCTGACCTCGTGATCCACCCGCCTTGGCCTCCCAAAGTGCTGGGGTTACAGGCATGAGCCACCGCACCCGGCTTCCTCTGTCAGAGCACTTGTACTTGAGGGTTATCACCCGCCTGTCTTGAAATGGGCTCTAAGTCTCCTGAAAGCAAAGGACCCTGAATATGGTGTTTATTACCTAACACAATGTCTAGCCTATAGGAGGTACTTAATATATGTTGGTTGAACAAAGGAGTAAATAAATGAAGTAGCTACCTACAGTTGTTCCCCAGAAGATACATTACTTAAGCACCCTAGAAACTGTTTGGCCTTTTGAATGTTTATTGTAAAGTTTAAATTCTCAGTCGTTTGTTCTTAGTTTGTGCTAACAGCTTCATAAAATGGGTGGATCAAGCAATAGTGTGCAGTTAGCAAACTGGGTCCACAAACTCAAGATTCAAATCACTTTTGGCTAATTGTGTACTTATGGACATCAGATTGCTCTTGCATTAAAATTTATTAGGCAGACTTTGAGTGGGAAAATAAAAATCTTGATTCGGTAGATGCTGGAGAACAGTAAAAAATAGAAACATTTGCAGGTTGGTGAGATTTCCCAGATTCAGTGTGTGGTGTATCTCTAAAGTTCAAAATCCTTCAAGAAGGTTGCTGGTGTATGCTGGGTGTCAGAACAGGAGAGATGTTTTTAACACCTAGCACAGCTGCAAACTAGATGGTCTGGAATTTGCAAGTACATCTTTCAGTTTTATTTCATCTTGAAGCTTTCACGTGGGTTTAACAGTTATTCAATGTAATTGAAGTTAATGTAGCTAAAATTGCATATTATTTTTGAAGTGTTAAGAATGAAAATAATTTATGGTCTTTAAGAATGAGTATGCCAATATTTCATATTCTGTATTGGCAGTACAGTAAAAATTAATTATTTTTGCTGTAAGTATTATATAAATAATAAAGATATTTAGGAGGGAGTATATATGCTTATAGGAAATAAATGTTTTGCCTCCCAGGAGATCATCTTAGCTGGTACAGTGGATTAAAAATGGCCTCAAATTATTTGACATTTTCTCATTGAGAAGTGGGATCTATGTCACCACCCCTTGAATCTCAGTGGGTTTAAAAAATAATGGTTAAATATACATAATCTTTACATTTTAAACTATTTTTAAGTGTACAGTTCTTTGTCATTAAGTGTATTCACATTGTTGTGCAACCATCCCCATTCATCTCCAGAACTTTTTCATCTTCTCCAGCTGAAACTCATTACCCTTTAAATACTAACTCGTCATTCTTCCCCTGCCCACCTCTTGATGTGAGTGGGTTTTGGCAAATAGAGTATGGATGGCAGCAGTGACAGAGTACCAGTGTCTGGGTACAGGCTTTAAGAAACTGGGGGCTTCCACTTTCTGTCTCTGGTACACAGTCTTCAGGAGCTCTGGGATGCCATTAAGAATTCTAAGTAGACTTGATGGAGAATCTGTTCTGAAACCTGGCAGTAACTAGTAATTGCCATACTGGAGAGGCATGTTGACATTCCCACCTGAGCCCAGCCTTTTAAGCATCCCTGTCAAGGTGCCATACATGAGAGCAGAGCCATCTAAGAACCTCCAGATTAATCTGTTCACCAGCTCAGTACCTCTGGTGACTTCGTTTGGTGCCACATGGAGTAGAGACATTGTCAGCAGCACCCTTTCTGAATACCTGACCATCAGAATTGAGAGCTGTAATACAATGGCTGTTATTTTAAACTGTTAAGTTTTGGGATAGTTTGTTATGCAGTGACAGATAATTAGAACTGGTAGCTAGAGCTTCTGGCTTCTTGAGTTTGAGCTGAAAATAACAATCAGTGTATCCTAAATACCTCAAAACAACTGTACTATGATTTGGAAAGACTATATAAAATGTAATGAAAGATGCTATTAACAATAAATAATATGGAAAATGAAATTCCAATAATTAGTTGAGTGGAGAAGACAACTCTGAGGAGCCCAGATTACTTAGAAGGGACAGAAATGGGAAAATTGTTGATAAATGCTTTTCACCTTTCAGAAATTTGATTGGTGAATCTGCTTAAAATTAGCTGAGAAGTTTGTGGCTTTTTCATTTTGAAGAAGAGATTTGCCAGGAGTCAGAATCCTTTAAATTTTTCCAAAGACAGCTTTATTATGTTTAGGACAGTGGAAAGTAATGTAATAAGGTATAAGGTATGAGATAATGAGGTTGATGTTTTTATGTGGTGCCCTTAGCCCCTTAGAGTTTGCCAAAATTTAAAGCAGACCAAGTTTAATGAGTGTACTTCATAGTATAGATTGTGGACAGTCCTTTTTGCTTGCTAAATTCAGTTTAGCTCAGTTGGTGAATACCAATATGCTCAGAGTACTGTGTAGGTGCTATGGGGGATTTAAAAACACCTTCTTAAGTAGAAAGAGGTATAAATAAATGAATAAAACAATCACAAGTTACTATAGACACCACATTATACAGGCTTCTTAATTTTTGTATGCCATTTCTAAATGGTTGCAGATTTTTCTCCTTTTATTTTCAGCATTTAATGCTTTATATTGGCTCTTGATATACGGAGTTTGGATTATGGAAGGTAAGGGGGAGATTTTAATTCATATGGAAATCTATGGAAATTATTTCTTACTGAAAAACTGAAAATAGATAAAATAAAAAAATACAATTTCATAAGTGCAGGAAAGCAGGACAGTTGAGGCCTAATACCCTTTTGTGTTGGCAGACAGATTTGCTGCTATTATGACACTTTGCTTAAGGAATGGGAGTATCGTGGATGAGTACAAACCTATACACAGCTGTTTGTGTTTGCTGCACAGCTTCCTGGATACCTTAAGCTGTATCACTTTTGGATTGTAATGATTTTACTGGAGGCAAGAAACAAAGTGAACAAGATACAGCATCAAAATTCTCTTTTAAGTTTCCCAAGGCTGCTCTTATTTCTCTCTACAAAATAGAAATAATAATTTTGCCTTTTTTTGATAACACTAGCAGTAGCAAGCAAAGTATAGATAAGAACAAGTGACATATTTTGAGTAAGTGATCAATGTCAGGATCTTTACAGAGAACAATAGGATGGATCTAAAATGAATGAACTGAGTGTTTTCTCTTTTTTTTGCAGTTTTGGGGGACATCGAATGAAAATGGCCACATTTAGGTAGGGTAGGAGAACAGGCTTTGGAAGGAGCGGGTATTTTATTACAGTGTGAATAAAATAAATATTTAGAACATTACAAGAATGATGGCTGACACTGAGAGATTCATGTTAATGTTATAGGTTTCTCAAGGCTAATAGGAGCTCTTATCTTGTATTTCTAATGTAGAGGAATAGAAGGAAATCTATGGATGGATGGGGTGCAGAAGAATGGCCCTTTGGCAGTGTCGGTAGTGCTGCTTCCTGTCACACTCTAGTGTTACAGCACTTATAAACTGGATGTGCCTTCTGAGGATACTATCCTTTCTGAGTGCATTGTGGCCTCTTCCTATATTTGAATCCATGTTTTAAGTGCAGATGAAGCACTTGGACACTGTGGCACTGTAAGTAGGATTAGAACCGTGACTTAGGATAGGGTATAACCAAGGGGAGGAAGCTTGGTGGACCTTGAAGTAAGATAAATGTGTGAGTAGCCTCTTTCTCCTTCTTGATGCAGGGCACATGGATGAGATGGTTGGGAAACACTTTTTAAGTCCCTGTCAATGTCAAGAAGTGGCTTGAAGGGGCTTTAATCTCTCAATCCCTTCCCCACCAAGGTACCCCAGATTAATGAACAATTGATAAAAAGTGTGCTTTCTATGCAAATGTGTCTTTTAAGATAAGTTCCCTAGCAAAATCCCACTCCTAAGCACATCCTATGTAGAAATTCTGGAGCCACTGTTGTCCTTTATATTATTTTATAGCTAATATTTAATAAATGCTTTATGTGTGTCCAGCATTATGTTGTATGTTATGGAAGATTTGCATTAACATGTTTATAGTTGAAGAGAGCAGGAAAAGTCTGATTTCAGGAAACAGAACAAGGTAAAATAATCTGGTGTCAGAATATTTAATATGGTCTACAAGGGTTATAGGGGGAAAAAAAAAGTGGGCATTGCCATGGGCTGGATTAATGTAGGAAGGCGTCATTGAGCTGACAGCTGTGAACAGCATCTTAAAAGATAAGGCAGAAAGGAGGTAGCAGAGATACTCCAATGGATGGAATATCATGTGCCAACTGCAACTTTAAATGTCTGAATAATTTTCTGAGGAACTAAAAATATTGAATTGGGTCAACAAATAGGATACCTCTGTCAAAGCCATAGAGCAGACTTCTAATATTTTCAGTTACAAATATATATATTTGAGCATCTTTTAGAATAAACACCTCCCTTCCCTTCACACCACGTAAAAAAATAGCTGGTATTCTACCATCCATATGAATTTGAAATATATGATAGAAATATAAATTTAGTAACACCTGACTTATTAAAACTTAATTGCCAAAGAGTTGATTTCCTATGGTCTATAAGAGAAAGTTGCTACAAATCAATTTATTTTTTGGAATTTATTTTTCCTTACTCTTATTGCTTGAATAAACGTGGCTGCATCAGTGGTTCATGTTGACTCGAAGCAAGTTTCTCCCTTTCCTCTCCAGCTAAGGAAAGCCATATTTTTTTTTGTACTATGCTAATGTTAGCTGCTTGACTAGGAAGACTTCGGTTATCATTATATCTTTCATGAATCAGAATCTGGCTGCCTCTCTTTCAATGATCTTGAAAATGTCCAAGATGCTGCATGGTTTAGAAATGTAGAACCAAGTTAAGTTGAACAGTTTTCTACTGGGCTACATTGTAAAAATGGGAAAGGGAAATTACTTCCTTTTTTTTTTGGAAAACATTTGCCAGTTGGAGCCTCAAAGAAGATTGAGTTTGAGAGGCCTTTAATTGTGCACCAAAAGGTTATTGCAGAAGATAACATAAGGGAGATGTCATAAAGAAGAAAATTTGAAGCTCAGTAAGAGAAAGCTGTGTGAAAAAATAGGCATTCTGCCAATTAACTGGGTGCTTGAAATAAATAGTTTGTAATTAAAGAAACGGTTGCAAATTTCAAAGACTTGATCAGTTTAACTTAGCTCATAGGGAAACTGGGGTGGTGGTGGGTACAAATTTCAGTTGTGAAAGCATGCTTACTCCTATTCAAGTTTTGCTTATCATTCATTAAATATTTACTGTTTGTAAGGTTTAGTAATATAAGATCAGAAAGTTTGTTAATCTAATATTTAATGTTAAATTATTGAAATAAAATTTCAACTACATTTGGGTAAAAGTGAATTATGATCTTAGGAGTTCAGTCATGAACTATTGACCATCTCAGTAGTTAATATTTCCCAAACTGGGCAAAGTATGGGTGAGAGTGTGTAGAAACATATAAATGGTCCATCACCCTTGGGTCTACTCATCTACTGAAGAACCATGACACAATTATATATGTAAGCAATTAGTAATAAAAAATCATATGTTTATAAGTATAAAGGAGACATACAAGAAAACATTAAATGTTCATGTTTCCATACATGTCTGTCTTCATCTTGCATTAGTTTCAAGTGAAATGTGTTTTTTATGTTTTATTACTATATACTATACCTTTTCATCCAAAGAAGAAATAAGAGATTGTCTCCTTTATTGGAAGACATTTTTGCTGGATGTAGAATTCTAGGTTGGCATGTACTTTCTTTTAGCACATTAAGATATATCACTCTGCTGTCTTCTGGCTTCTCCTCTTGCTGTGGGGAAATCAGCTGTTAGTCTAACTGTAGCTCATTTGAAGGTAAGATAGCCACCCTGCTCTTAGTCTCCTTTAAAGATATTCTATTTAATTTACTTTTGTTTGATTTAAATATTCTGTTTGTCTAGGAGTAGAATTCTTTTTATTTATCCTGCTTGAGTTTCACCAGCATTCTTGAATTTGTAGATTGGTGTCTTGTATTAATTCTGGAAAATTCTCAGCCATTATTGCTTTTAAACTTCCCTCTACCTGTTCTTTCTCCTCTCTGTCTGGTGTGTTAGTCAGCTGTATTTTAGGTCTTCTGAGTCATTCACTTTTCATCCTCAGGTTGTGTCTTCCTTCTTTTTGTTCTTTCTCTGCTGAGTTACAGATTATTTTTTCTGAACTATTTCCCAGTTTGTTATTTCTCTATTCTGTTTTGTCTGTTCTACTCCCATTGAATTTTAAATTTTGGCTACTGTAATTTATTTGTTTTTTTTTTCCACATCTGCTATGTTACTTTTTGTGGATTCCTATTCCTTGCAGATATTTTAATATTTGCTTTTCTTTTTCAAATTTGTTGTAGGTTGCTTTTTAATCTGTCTGATAATTCTAAGAGTTAAAATCTGTGTGGTTTGTTCCTGCTATGGTTTGTGATTGTCTTTCACCCATGTTGCCTTATTTCCTTGAGTGGTTGGTTATCTTTAACTGGTTATTGCCCTCCCACAGCCTTTTTTCAGGACATTTTCAGGGTGAATGTGCTCTCCTCTGAGAGGTACTGTGTTTGCTTTTGCCAGGTTTCTGGGAGTATTACTTTAGGGGTATTATGTCAGGTATTAAGTCAAGGACACTTTTTAAACCGCATTTAGGATTGTGTCTCTGGCCCATCCACACCATATATACTTTGGGTGGCCACAGCTTCTCAAAAACTTCATTTTTCTACCTTTTTCTTTTCCTGCTTTGCTCAGTGACAAGTCAGCTTGCCCTTCATTCTTATGTGGTTAGGAGAGAGATGGTGGGTCAATTCTAGTTCACTCTTTCTCTGAAGATGTTATCGTTTGGGTCTCCAGTTTAATATAGGGAGGGCCTCTTGCAAGAGTCTTCCGCTTGGCAGGCCCTAATCCTTGTCTTTTGCTACCTTGCCCCTTGAGACTGAAGATCTGAAGTATGAGGAGATGGCATTTACTAATGTCCTCAGAGCAAAAATGGCATTAGTTCTCCTGGGTTTGCCTCAAAATTTGGCCAACAAGTTCCCTTTTAAACTAAATATTAGTTTAACAGTATTTTTTAAATGCTGCTAAGCTAATATTTTTAAGTGTTTTGTCCATCATTTTTGTTGTTTTCAGTGAGATGTAGATCTGAATAACTTAAGAAATCAGAAACTGCTAATAGCACAGAGCCCATCTGCTGCTGTGCTGTTGGTGATGTTGCAAATCGTTCCCCTCTCCCCTTAACATATTCTGAGCGTCAAGTCAAGACAGCTTACTGGGCTGGAGAGGTGATGGTCTAAAGAATTATAAAGATTTTTTAAAAATTTAAGTTAAAATAGCTTCTTAAATTATTATATCAAATTAATAGAGAAGTATTATTTCTTTAATTTGTTTAACTACCCTTGTGCTCATCTGGAGAAACTGTCAGGAAAGATGATTTTTATTAAAGGCACTGCTGTTACATTCACTCAGGCATGATTCTGTCATAACTTCTTGGTATTTCCTTTCTATCTTTCTTAATTGCATGTTTTCCCTCTATCTCTGTCACAGTGCCAATTCTAGGACTGCCTTATTACTGCTTGTTGGTCTAGCAACTTCTTAACTGTTCTTTAATTATTAGCGGAATTGAACATTATTTTGTGTGTATGAATTTTTGTGCCTTTTCGTGAATTAATCTGTTCTTTATCTTTTGATGAATTTATTTTATTACATCCTATCATTAATAATTTTTAGTTTTTTGGGGTTTCATCACACAGAATATTTATTTTTCTCTTATTCTAAGCTTTTCTGTATTTCTTCAGTTTGAATATTGTCACTTTCCATAGTTTGTATATTTCAGTCAGTAAACATTGCATCAGGTATTGTGGTAAGAACTGGGAATACAGGCTGTGTGTGGTAGCTCGCGCCTGTGGTCCCAGCACTTTGGGAGGCCAAGGCAGGAGGATTGTTTGAGCTAAGGGGTTTGAGACCAGCCTGGGTAACATAATGAGACCCAGTCTCTACAGAAAATTAAAAATCAGCTGGGCATGGTGGCGCGTTAGCACGCCTGTAATCCCAGGCTATTTGGGAGGCTGATTCCGGAGAATTGCTTGAGCTTGGGAGATCAAGGCTGTAGTGAGCTGTTCCAGCCTGAGCAACAGAGTGAGACCATATCTCAAAAAAAAAAAAAAAAAAAAAAAACTGGGAATATAATCGTTATGACATATTTACCCGTGCTTAGGTTCATATGTTAGTGAGGGAAATATAAATGCTTATAGTATTGTACATAAATAATATAAAAAAAACTGTATCTTCAAGCAGACAGGTATGTACCAGCATGGATGTGGGAGTAACTATGCCTGAGGAAATCTGGTGCAACTTTGCAGAGGTAACGTGTTAGTTGCATAGAAATTTGCCAGTAGAAACACAGGGTATAGAAAGACATTTCAGATGTGGTAAATATGTGTAAAGTCATAGAAGTGAAAGAAAGACATGGTGGGCTATAGGAAGTGCAGATAGGTTGGTATAATTGGAGGGCAAAGTATTTTAGGGGAAGAAAATTGAAACTAGAAAGAGTTTAAAGGCCTGGGATAAAAAGGAACTTTGATGGACACAAAGAGCCTGTGTAGTGGGGATAATGGAGTAAGTGAGCAGGAAGGACATGGAGATGTGGTTGGGGAAAATGTGTGAGGGTAGGGGTGATGCGTTGCTTGTGAATTGTGCTGTGATCGTGGGAGTGGGCTGCAGAAGTGGAGTGTGAGTGGGTCAGAGGATGCCGGCGACTGTGTGAAACTAGTGTTGACTGGATCATCCATATGGGTGTAGCAGTCCATTTGGACAGTGGCAAGAAGGTGGATGTTATGATGTCGACAAGATTTGGATTTGGACCGTGCCTGTTCCAGTTTTAGTACTGAAAGTCCCACATCCTTAGAAACCTCTCATTCCTGGACAAACTGGGATTGTTGGTCACTATAATGAGGTGCCAGAAGGATATGATGAACTTGAGGCATTGAAACGTGGAGAGCAATAATCTGTAAGTGGGGAGCAGCTGGCTAGGGTGGAGGAAAAAGGAGGGAATAAGGTTATGTTAATTTACGGTAGCACGGTGTTCTCATGAGATAGCAAGGAGGTAGAGGTCTTGATTAAATTACCTATTTTCTTTCAAAAATATTTGTTTTCTTGTAGAAGAGAAGAAATATGCTTTAGTATAAGTAAATAATCTTTCCTTTTTAGTGTTAATTTTACTATATTCCAAATGTGCCTATGCTATTAAAAAAGAAACAGTAATGAAGTAACCAGACAATTGATTTTTATATTGATTAGCTTGACAGTATTACTGAGACATCAACATACTAATTAGAATGTCAGGATATTAAATTATTCATTTTCTAACTTTTAATGTTTTGGATGATTATAAATGACAAAAAAAATTTGTGAGTGAAGTACCATACTATCCTATCAATTTTAGTTAATTAATTCAACCACAGAGTGGTAATTATTTCCTTTTTTATTTTCTATTTTTGTCTCTTTGTTAAAGATTTTCCAATTAAAGTTTTTTCCTATTATATGGCTCTCCTTTATACATTTAAATGAAGAAAGTACATTGTAAGAATTGGATTACAGATAGAAAAAAATGTTTAACTTATTTTAGGTTGATAAATATTTGGGTTATTTATCACTGTGTCAGAAATACCTCCAAACCTAAAATAACAATTACAAAACCTAACATTAAAACTTAAAATCAAAACTTAATTCTAAAACTTAAAACAATACCCATCTTATTATATCTCACACTTTTGAGGGTTAGGGATTCAGATTGGGCTTACAGGGCAATTGTTCTGTTCCACATAATATTATATATGGGGTTTCTAGGTCTAGGATGTCTAAGACAGCTTTACTCACATGCTTGTGCATATGTGAGGACTTCTAAAAGGCTGGACTCTGCTGGAAGCCTTTCCATGTGATCCCTCAAACGAGGTGGTTGGAATTCTTACTTCGTGATCTAGGACTCCAAGAGAACAAGGCAGAATCTGCCAGTCCTCTCAAAAAATAGGCCTGGGCCTGGCAGGGCATCACTCGTTCCTGTCAAAGTAGTCACAGGCCAGGCCAGATTCAAGGGGAGGGCAAATAGATCTTAGCTCTCAATGGAGAATGTGTCAAAGACTTTGCAGCCATCTTTAATCCCCATGTACTCCAGATTGATGATTACATCACAGTGCATATGGGAAACAAATTGCCCTTTATAATCACAGTATTTGCTACCAATATAGAACCTATATTTATTTGAAATGATAATAACAGTATTAAAAAGTATGATATTTGCTTTCAGCATTTGATCTATTCACAAAGTTTTAATTTCTTTATAAATGAAATGATTCCTAATTGTTTTATTTTATATATATATATATATATATATATATATATATATATATATATCTCATACATTTATTTTAGAAAAGCGGATTCTTTTCCTGGGATATGCTGTTTAGACCAGTGATGTATGTCGAACCACTAATGGACCTTAAAAAAAAACATACACCTCAGGGCTTCAATCTGTAGGTCTGGGTGGCACCAGGAATCTGTAATTTTAAAAAGCTTCACTGGCAAGTAATGTACATACTTACTTAATGACCAGGGTCTAAGAGAGCTCTGTAGATTCAAATAGAAAACTATCCAAACTATTTATAAACGTGATTGAGTATTGTTGATCGGAAGCTTATAGAAGCTTAAATCTCTGAGAAGCCTTATTTATATCTTTACTTTTGAGGCCAGTGTACTAGACTAGTGGTTCCAACATGGCATCCCTGAGATGATCATTTGGGAATGTGGGAAAGAAATAAATAATACAACATATATTTTTAGTCTCATCCGTTCCACATTTTGGGGGTGGGTATGGCATGTTTTAAGTGCAGAATGTACAGTAATACATACATATAATTTATAAATAAATATACATATATTGGAAGTATGTGCTGAAAACACTTTATTGATGACAATCTGTGATGCAAAGATGAAGGTCACTATTCCAGTCAGTTTAGGTTATGCATTGGTAATGACCCCCAAACCTCAGTGACTTATAGAAAGGTTTGTTCCTTGTTCATATTCTATGTCTTCATGGGTCAGCTACAACCCTGCTTTGTGTCATTTTGTCCCTGGACTCAGGCGGATCGAGTAGGCTCTGTATACCGAAACTTCACCAGTTGCTGAGGCAAAAGGAGGAGAGAACTGGGTAAACTACATGCTCATAAAACTTTTGCTTAGGAATGACACACGTCACTTCCACTCACATTTCACTGGCCAAAGCAAGTCACTTGGCTACGCTTTAGTTCAGCAGGTAGGGGGTGTATAATTCTCCCTCAGTGAGGGACTCAGTACAGGGTGAATAGCGATACAGTCTACACAGACATCCATTACCCTTCTATTTACTGTGTAGAGTATTTGCCTCTCTAGAGCTGCTCCTTAATCTGCTTTCAGGATTTCAACAGAGTGAAATTGCCTCTCTCAGTTCCTGGTTTGATGCAGAATATAAAAAAGAAAAAGACACACAGCCAAAATCCTTAATTCTATTAGCAAGGCAGCATATAAAACAACATAATTTTGGAATATGGAAATATAACTTTGCCAAAACAGTTAAAACCCAGTGTAATTTTTACTTGATAAAAAATTGTACCATTATACCATTTGAAACATTGAGGTACTGACTGTTGAGTGGGTGGATATGAATAATAGGGATTGAGATGTGGGGAATTATGAGTAGTAGTGGCAAGAGCAGAACTTCAAAGCTAGAATGTTCAGAGTCTCTATTGATTGAACATTAATCAGAGTGAAGGTTGAGCATCTCTAAAATAGTAATGTAAGTCACTCAAAAAATGTGTGTTTCATGTTGAGCCATTTGTTTATACACCTCTTTTTAGGAGGATGTTTACTTTGTGAAGCATACTACACCTTGATTATAAGATGTTGCAGTGATAACCTAGCTGGCTTTTATCAGTTATTTTGAATTCCCCTATACACCAAGACCTGTGCTAGTTTAATGAAATGACAAGTTTATAGAAACTGCATTAGTTGCAGTAAACATTTCACTTTATTACTTGAGGAAAAAGCCTGAAATATAGAAACTAATCAAAATGTAAATTACAGGTAGTAACAACAAGTGTTTACCATGTACTAAGGGTGTGCTGTATGTTAGGCCTATTGTACACACTTCACGTACTTTATTTAATCCCAAGAAAAGCTACATGAGATAGGTATGATTTTCTTCATTTTATCCCTGAAGAAACTAAGGTGTAAAGAGGTTAACTAACCTGTTTAAGATTCAAAGACAAGTTTCTATGATTTTGAAAACTATTCTCTCTACTACTTTACTCTGCTTTTATAATTATTCCACTCTATCTGTTTTTACTTGTATTCTTTGTTAGTAGAAGTAGGAAGCCATTTAATCTTGTCTTGCTCTTTCAGAGAATGAGTATTTTTTTTAGGTATGCAGCAGGTAATCTCATTTAGGAGAACCTAAATAAATGAAATATCCTTACATTTTGTCCAATAGTTTTTAAGGAGAAAGAAAGAGTAAAGAGAATATTCAGGATTATTTTAGGATTTCAAAATAATGAAGTTAATAGCAGTTTATACTAATTATTTAATAGTAAAGTTTCAGACAGTCATCCTACATTTTTCAGTGAGAATTGTCTTGTATTTTCCATTTCCATTTTGGTTATAACTAAATAGATAAATGAAGATTTAGAATTTGTTTGACAAATGGATGTATTTTTTAATTCATCAAAGAAAACCAGAATATTTACTCATAGGCCATGAAACAGGAAGTGACATGAAATTTAGATCGAATGTGCATGATTTAGAGTGTGTTTGCTTACTTTGGGTGAAAAGTTTAGAAACACATTGAATTCCTTAGAATTCTATCTATAACCTTTTTTTTTTTTTTTGAGATGGAGTCTCACCCTGCCACCCGCGCTGGAGTGCAGTGGTGCGATCTCAGCTCACTGCAACCTTTGCCTGCCTCCTAGGTTCAAGCTATTTTCATGCCTCAGCCTCCTGAGTAGCTGGGATTACAGGCATGGCCCACCATGCCCGGCTAATTTTTGTATTTTTAGTAAAGATGGGGTTTCACCATGTCGGCCAGGCTGGGCTCAAACTCCTGACCTCAGGTGATCTGCCCACCTCAGCCTCCCAAAGTGCTGGGATTTCAGGCATGAGTGACTGCACCCAGCCCAGAATTTTATCTATAACTTCTAATCTGAGCAAGACTAGATAGCTTTTATTCTTCTTTGGGTGGGGGTAGATTTCAATGAGAAGAAATATTGCATTAAACTCTAATTTTTATTTAAGTTCTTGAGGTTTTTTTTTTTTTCAAAATTATATCTTGTATATTTCCAAGGCAGAAGAGTATTTGGAGAAGTAAAGTCTCTTGTAGCTAAAGTATTCTGTTGTGTGGCAGTTGAACTGATGTGTGCTTCCCTGACATTTACTTGGTAAGTAGTTAATTGCTTACCAAGTTAGAAATAACTGTGGTATCAGTAATACAAATACTTGAATTCAGGGAAAGGTGAGATACTATATTATGCTAGGTGAAGTATTAGTGGTACTTAGTTATTAATGTGGGATTTGTTTAGTTAGAACCTAAAACAATATTAGGACAAACATCTGTATGTTCAAAGATACTAGTTTCTTTATTGCTGGGTAAAAGGTGATTATAAAAGGATCATGACAGGTTAACACATTTGGCTTCAGTTTCAGTTTTGCCAGATCTAGGCAGGATTTATTTGGGCAACAAACAATACATGTAATCAATTATAATTATTCTTATTAATGGTGGGGAACACAGAGATGTATATTAAAATTTCATTTAATTTCAGATAAATGTTTACTGGGAAAATTTGAAATATATTTTTATATTTAGATTGGATGCTTACTTAAAAAGCAATGAAAGAACATTGTGAAGACATGAAGATTTCTTCTCCTTTCACCCTATCTCCCCAATCAGTTTCTTCCTTCATTAATTGCTGTTTGAGAATTATAGCTTGGCTCTAAAACTTAAAATAGCTACTTCCTCGCAGATATTTTCTGCATTGTGTGTCTGGTTGCCTATTTGAGTTTCAGAGAATTTCCCTTATGGAATGCAAAGTGAAAGGTAAATAGTCAATTAAGTAGAGAAGTTACTGTCAACAGAGTTATATGTAAACATAGCAAATGCTAAAGCAAAATAATCTGGCTTTAGCTCTTAGGGAAATATTTGCTATTGCTAAACCTCAATTTACATACTCTACAATGAGTGTTGATTATCTGTAATTTGTGCTCTGACCCTTTAAAATTTTTACCTATGAAACTTCTCATGGCATCTAGTTGTATTACATTTTTAGTTTCTGTATCTTTATCTTGTCCATCACCAAAGAGGAATTGAGGTGAAAATTTCCAGTTGATGAATTTGTCTTCCATTGCTTTTAATGTTACATGTTTGTTTAGCTTTCCTGCAAAGTAGTATCTGTTTATTTGCTTGGAGACCACATGGCTTAGTGGACCTTAGCACTGGATAGACTTTGGTTGGAAATCCAGTTTGGTTTCTACTCATATTAATTAGCTATAAAACTAAGATAATATCCAGCTTATAGGGTTATTAGTAGGATTAAGTGAGATAGTATAAGTAAAATAGCATAGTAACTAGTAGATAGTACACATGGATTTCAGTCGTCATCAACTTTTGAATAATCTACTAGATTGACACACCTAAACTTCATCCTCTGCTGTATTTCAACTTTCATATAATAAATGGTGAGTGAGGTATTAAGCCCAGCATCTGATGCGCTCCCTCCTCTCACCTCCCACCCTCCAAAAGGCCCAGTGTGTGTTTTTCTCCACCAAGTGTCCATGTGTTTTTATCATTCAGCTCCCACTTATAAATGAGAACATGTGGTATTTGGTTTTCTGTTGCTGTGTTAGTTTGTTAAGGATAATGGCCTCCAGCTCCATCCATGTCCCTGCAAAGGACATGAGCTCATTCCTTCTTAAGGCTGCATAGTATTCCATGGAGTATATGTACCACATTTTCTTTATCCAGTCTATCATTAATGGGCATTTGGGTTGATTCCATGTCTTTGCTATTGTGAATAGTGCTGCAGTGAACATATGTGTGCATGTATCTTTATAATAAAATAATAAAATGATTTATATTCCTTTGGGTATATACCCGGTAATGGGATTGCTGGCTCCAATGGTATTTCTGCCTCTAGGTCTTTGAGGAATCCCCACACTGTCTTCCACAATGGTTGAACTAATTTACTCTTCCACCAACAGTGTAAAAGCATTCCTTTTTCTCCACAACCTTGCCAGCATCTGTTGTTTTTTGACTTTTTAGTAGTAGCCATTCTGACTGGTGTGAGATGGTACCTCATTGTGGTTTTGATTTGCATTTGTCTAATGATCACTGACATTGAGTTTTTTTTTTTCATATGTTTGTTGGCCGCATGTATGTCTTCTTTTGAGAAGGGTCTGTTCGTGTCCTTTGCCCACTTTTTAATGTTTTTTTTTTCTTGTAAATTTGAGTTCCTTATAGATACTGGATATTAGACCTTTGTCAGATGTATAGATTGCAAAAATTTTCTCCCAATCTTTAGATTGTCTGTTTACTCTGTTGATAGTTTCTTTTGCTGTGCAGAAGCTCTTTAATTTAATTGGATCCCATGTGTCAATTTTTGCTTTTGTTTCAATTGTTTTTGGTGTTTTCATCATGAAATCTTTGCCTGTGCTTATGTCCTGATTGGTAATGCCAATTCTGGGGTTTTCATAGTTTTAGGTTTTACATTTAAGTATTTAATCCATCTTGAGTTGATTTTTGTATATAGTATAAGGAAGGGGTCCAGTTTCAATTTTCTATGTATGGCTAGCCAGTTCTCACAGCACCATTTATTATATAGGGAAATCTTTCCCCGTTGCTTGTTTTTGTTAGGTTTGTTGATGATCAAGTGTTGTAGGCATGCAGTCTTACTTCTGGTTTCTCTAATCTGTTCCATTGGTCTATGTGCCCGTTTTTATACCAGTGCCATGCTCTTTTGGTTACTGTAGCCCTGTAGTATAGTTCGAAATAGGGTAGTGTGATGCCACCAGCTTTGTTCTTTTTGCTTAGGGTTGTCTTGGTTATTTGGGCTCCTTTTTGGTTCCATATGAATTTTAAAATAGTTTTAAAAAAATTCTGTGAAGAACGTCAGTGGTAGTTTGATGGGATTAGCATTTGAATCTATAAATTGCATCAGGCAGTATGGACATTTTCGTGATACTGATTCTTTCTATCCATGAGCATGGAATATTTTTCCATTTGTTTGTGTCATCTCTGATTTCTTTGAACAGTGGTTTGTAGTTCTCCTTGAAGAGGTCCTTTACTTCCTTTGTTAGCTGTATTCCTAGGAATTTTATTCTTTTTGTGGCAATTGTAAATGGGATTGCCTTCTTGATTTGGCTGTTGGCTTGGCTATTGTTGGTGTATAGGAATGCTATTTATTTATTTATTTATTTATTTATTTATTTATTTATTGAGACAGAATCTTGTTCTGTCGCCCAGGCTGGACTGCAGTGGCGCGATCTCAGCTCACTACAACCTCCACCTCCCAGGTTCAAGGGATCTTCCTGCCTCAGCCCACTGAGTAGCTGGGATTACAGGTGTGTGCCACCATGTCCGGCTAATTTTTGTATTTTTAGCAGAGACGGGGTTTCGCCATGTTGGGCAGTCATGAACTCCTGACCTGAGGTGGTTCACCTGCCTCAGCCTCCCAAATTGCTGGTATTACAGGTATGAGCCACCTCACTCAGCTGGAATGCTAGTGATTTTTGCATGTTCGTTTAGTATCTTGAGACCTTGCTGAAGTTGCTTATCAGCTTAAGAAGCTTTTGGGCTGAGACAATGGGGTTTTCTAGATATAGGATTATGTCATCTGTAAACAAAGATAGTTTGACTTTCTCTCCTCCTATTTGAATACTCTTTATTTTTTTCTCTTGCCTGATTGCCTTAGCAGGAACTTTCAAGACTATGTTGAATAAGGGTGGTGAGAAAGGGCAAACTTGTCTTGTGCGGGTTTTCAGGGGGAATGTTTCCAGCTTTTGCCCATTCAGTATGATATTGGCTGTGGGTTTGTCATATATGGCTCTTATTATTTTGAGGTATGTTCCTTCAACACCCAGTTTATTGAGAGTTTTTAACATGAAGGGATGTTGAATTTTATTGAAGGCTTTTTCTGCATCTATTGAGATAATCATGTGGTTTTTATCTTTAGTTCTGTTTATGTGATGAATCACATTTATTGATTTGTGTATGTTGAACCAACCTTGCATCCTGGAGATGAAGCCAAGTTGATCGTGGTGGATAAGCTTTTTGATGTGCTGCTGGATTCGGTTTACAAGTATTTTGTTGAGGATTTTTGCATCAGTGTTCATCAAGGATATTGGCCTGATGTTTTCTTTTTTTTGTTGTGTCTCCGCCAGATTTTGGTATAAGGATGATGCTGACCCTTCCTCTGTTGCCCAGTCTAGAGGGTAGTGGTGTGATCATAGTTCACTGTAGCCTTAAACTCCTGGGCTCAAGAGATCTTCCCACCTCAGCCTTTTTTTTTTTTTTTTTTAAATTAGCTGTGTGTAATGGTGTGTGTCTGTAGTCCTATCTCAGCTGGGACTACTAGGTATGCACCATCACACCCAGCTAATTAAAAAAAAGTTTTTTTAGGTTGGGTATAATGGTTTATGCCTGTAATCTTAGCCTATTGGGAGGCCAAGGTGGGAGAATCACTTGATTCTAGGGATTTGAGACTAGCCTGGGTAACACAGTAAGACCGTGTCTCTATAAAAAATTTAAAAAATGGCCAGGCATGGTGGCTCACATCTGTAATTCTAACACTTTGAGAGGGCAAGGGAGTAGGATCCCTTGAGCCCAGGAGTTCGAGACCAGCCTGAGCAACATAGGGAGATCCCATCTCTATAAGAAAAAATATAATATTAAAACAATTTAAGAATAATTAGCTGGGCGTGGTGGTTTGTGCCTGTAGTCCCAATTACTCAGAAAGTTCAATTACTCAGTGAGCCGTGATCATACCATTGCATTCCAGCCTGGGTGAACAAACAAGACCCTGTTAGAGATGGGGTTTCACTTAGTCGCCCAGGCTAGTCTCAAACTCCTGGCCTCAAGCGATCCAACCGCCTCAGCCTCCCAAGTAGCTGGGACTACAGATGCCAACTCCCATGCCTGGCCATTTGTACATTTTAACCATTCTAATTGTCATGTAGTGGTATGTCATTGAGGTTTCCATTATGGTTTCAAACCCTGATGACTAAGGAGGTTGAGCATCTTTTAATACATTTTTTGGCTCTTTGAGTTTTCTCATTTGTAAAGTGCCTGTTAATGTCTTTTGCTAATTTTTCTATTGGATTGACTATTTTTTTTGTTATTTCTGTTCTGGCTGTTCTTGGCCCTTTGCATGTTCATGTACATTTTAGAACCAGAATGTCCACACACAGAGGCATACGCAAAAGCTATTACGATTTTGTTTGGGATTGTATTGAATCTATAGGTTAATTTGAAGAGATTTAAAACATTTACAGTATTAAGTTTTCTGGTTGATGTTTAGGGTATCTCTGTTAATTAATTTTTCTCCAGTTTCTCTAAGATTTTATATTTTTGTTGGTGAAGGCCTTGCACATATTTTGTTAGATTTATTCCTAAATCCTTGATAGTTTTAATTCTGGTGTAAATTGTAGCTTAAAAAATTCCCTTACTGAATTTTGTTGCTGGCATATAGAAATACAATTAGTTTTTCTATATTTTTTTATTTCTATTTTTTATTTTTTGAGACCGAGTCTTGCCTTGTCACCCAGGCTGGAGTGCAGTGGCACAATCCTGGCTCACCGCAACCTCCACCTTCCAGGTTCAAAGCAATTCTTCTTCCCCACCCTCCTGAGTAGCTGGGATTACAGGCATGCACCACCATGCCCAGCTAATTTTTTTTTTTTTGATATCTTTAGTAGAGATGGGGTTTCACCATGTTGGCCAGGCTGGTCTCAAACTCCTGACCTCGTGATCCACCCGCCTCAGCCTCCTGAAGTGCTGGGATTACAGGTGTGAGTCACCGCACCCTGCCGGTTTTTCTATATTTGAATCCAGAAACCTGACTCAATTAGGCCAATAGTTTTAATAATTTATCGTGGATTCTTCTGGATTTTCTAAGTATACTAAATCATATAATCTGCAAATAGAGTTTCAGTTCTTCTTTTTCAATCTTGATACTTTTTTGTTCTTACCTATATTGTTTTTATTCATGGAGTCTCATTTCCTGGTGTGCTTTGTTACTGTTGTATGCTGGAGATTGTGTTTCGAAAGTTATTTGTGGACTATATTGAAGCTTAGGAGGATTATATCTTTCTAGAAGGGTTTTCATTTGTTTTTTTTTTTTTTTCATTGGCCTGGGGTCATTGCTGGTCCAGGACAATTTTAATTTAAATCTGGGATCTGAGATCTCAGAACCACTAGATAAGTTGAAAATGGGTTGTAGATCCATATGAAGGCTGATAAGGTTCTGGTTCATCCTCAAGTAATTGTTCACAGCTACAGGAATTTCAGGGGTTTCTTCCTGACTCCATTGAGTTTTAAATTTCTGTGCCTAAATTTTTTTGTCTATTTCTAGAAATTTTTTTTTTCTTTTTCCTTTTTTTCCTTATATAGGCCTAATCATCTCTGAAATGTCATTTCTTACATTCATCTAAACGTGTGTTTGGAACCTGTTTAATAAAACACAGGTTTCATTTATTGATATAAAACAACACATCACAAAGGTTTTGTGCACGCTGCTTGATTTTAGGTCTTAGGGCTGGATGTTTGTATGTTCCTGTAAGGGCTCAATGGGCTCAGAAATGTCATTTCTTAGATTCTACAAACTGTGTGTTTGGAACCTTTTTAATGAAAACCCAGGTTCCATTCAGTGATGTAAAACAGCACATCAGAAAGCTTTTTTTTCTTCTTCTTCTTTTTTTTTTTTTTTTTTTTGATAAGGGTTTGCTGTGTCACCCAGACTGGAGTGCAGTAATGTGATCATGGCTTACTGCAGCCTCTAACTCCTGGTCTCAAGCAATCCTCCCACCTTAGCCTCCCAAGTAGCTGAGATAACAAGTGTATACCACCATACCTGGCTAATGTTTTAATTTTTTTTTTTTTTTTTTTGTAGAGATGGGGTCTCACCGTGTTGCCCAGGCTGGTCTCAAACTCCTGGACTCAAGTGATCCTCCCGCCTTGGCCTCCAAAAGTGCTGGGATTATAGACATGAGCCACCGTGCCCAGCCTTTTGCTTTTAAAAAGAAAATCACTTTTTATAGTTTCTACTTCATACAGATTGTGCTTGTCTTTTATATCTGTACACATGGTAGCATAGTTATTATCTGTAAACTTTGTGAATTCTTCTCTGTTGTTTTTGTTAGTGAAGTATAGTTTTATTCTATACCTTGTTATAAAATACAACGTGCTTGACATTGTATTTGGAAATTTATTTGTAGGAATACTTTGAGGTGTACTGTGAAGGTTCCTCCAGAGAGGATTTGAGTTTGCTTTTGCGAGGTGCCTGGGCATTTGAATCAGGTACCGCCTTAAAACAAGTTCAAGGCTTGGGATTCCCTGATATCCTACATCATTTGAGCAGGAAGGTCTCTCGTCAGATATCCCACTTTGTGTGGGCCTGACTTTGTATATTAACTTTCTGTGCTGTAAAGATGTTTTTAAAATTTTATCAGTGTTTTGTTTTGTTTTGTTTTGTTTTCTCTAGGAGGTTGACCTAAATAATGTAGCCTGTTTTACTGAAACAGCAAGTTCTACTGCAGTTTGTTTAACTAGATACATGTTGGACATTTAGTTTTTTTCTTTATTATTATAAATAACACTGTAATAAAGAAACGTTTTTATTTGTGTGCTTGTCCTGTTATTTACTTGTGATTAATCTGAAAATAAAATAGTTACAATCTGCATTTTTAAAGGCTATTTGATATGTATTATCAAAGTATGGTACACAAAGATTGTCCTAACACTGTGTATTCTAAATCTTTTTAACTTTTACCATTTTGATAGATGGAAAATAGTACACATTATTATTTTAATTTAGCATTTATTATTTTTACTTATATAACTATTGGCTGTTCATGTTTTACTACTTTTGGGTTATGAAAGCTTACATACTGCCAACTAGGGGCTTACTGAGGCTAACTCACACATCAGATGATGTAAATATTTCCCTCAGTTTGTCACTTATATTTCATCTTCATTTACAAAAATATATATATGTTTTGGTATAGAAGTTTAACGCTTGTACTAATCAGATCTATCAATTTTTTATAAAGCCATAATCAGTCTGAGATAATAAATTTATAGTTGTTCCTAGAAAAACTAGTGTTTTAAGTTTGGAATTGTCTTATGTGGTTAGAAAATTGAGAAATAGTCAAACCACTCTAACCTCAATTAGGATATTTTAATGTATTAACATAACTCAAATTAGGATAATGCTAATTTTTAGTCTATGTTAACCTGAGTTTTTATGATAAGTTTTTTCCTTTTTCTCATTAAAATATTTTCTCTTTGTCTGCTACTGTTCTTTTGATGTATACCTTCAGAAATTGGCAGGGTTGAAATCTGAAAGAATATTCAATGTAGGTTTTTTTCTGTATTTTGCCTTCACTAATGATAGTGATTCAGATATCATGTTAGAAATGATTTGAGATATCAAGGTTTTAAAATTTTTAATAAAAGTAAACAGTATTCATTAAAACAGGAAATCATTTTATTGAAACTGAATGAGGACTTCAAATTTTTATAACAGCTTAAAATATGTTTTTTTAGATAAGTGATGAAGAGAAGACTCTTCGAGAACAGGAGATTGTTGCCTCATCACCAAGTTTAAGTGGACTTAAGTTGGGGTTCAAGTCCATTTATAAGGTATGTAAACATGTAAAATACTTCCTAGGTTTTGTAAAATATGTCGCATTGAGCTTTATATACATATTTAATTAATCCATTTTTATAGCCTCTCATCACCACAGCTACTCTGTCTCCTGCACAGATACTGTCCTCATTGCACTAATGGTGTGCCAATGTTCTCTCCTGGGCTGTCTCCTTCCACAGATGCATTCCCAACCCTGCTTGGGCTCTGACCTCCCATTACAGGCTGTTTTCCTAATGGAATACCTCCTTGCATTGTTTGGGTTCTTACACCCTGCACTGGGCCAGGAAACCCTCATCACCCATTTGGCCCAACACTCTGTTTGGATTGCTGCCTTGCGTGGAAGCCCCCCTTCCTTTCTCTTGGCCTCTGACATCGTGGTGTCTCGCCTCATGGTCTCTCTGTCATTCCACTGGGCTCTGACATTGTAAGCCTACGTTTTTTCCTATGGGAATGCCCTCCTTAACCTACTCAGATTCCATCATCCTGTGCTTGGCCACCTCAGTTTCCCCTCCCCACTCAGTTCAGATAACTACTTCATATGAACCCTTCCAGAAGGGGAAGAGGGAAGAGTTTAAATTCATTTTACAATTTGATAACTACAACCCCACAATTTCCTTTGAAAAGAATGTGCTAATTATTACGAGTGAGTGCCAGTAGTTTAAAGTCCTGCCCCATTCCAGCTTCTTCGTTTCGACTGTTGGGCCATCATTCAGTCAGCCTTTCAAGCCTAGAGTGTGGCGATCAATATTTATTTCTCTTACACCACACATTTCCAGTTACTCTGCCTTCACATCATCTTTTGCTTCTACTTGGGCATTTTTGTTTCCACTGTGACCACCTTAATAAGCTAGAATCATGAAATACTATGGCTAAAGAATCCCTAAGGGTCAGTTAGCCTCTCTCTTCCTCCCCTCTCTCAGCTTTACAGATCTGGCTGCTGAGATTTAAAGGCATTCATTAAATTCACCAAATAAGTCTAGTCAGTATCAGAGCTTGGACTAGAACTCATGTTTCTTCCCTATATTATTGCAGTAAACCCTCTTACCTGCTCATCTGATATGTCCTATGTAAGCTACCTATTTGGTGCAGTATCACACAATTCTACCCTGTAGGGCTGTTTGACTTTCCGTGTGTGCCCATGAGGGCAGGGACTGTGTTGTAGTTGTAGAAATCGGTAAATTAATTGAAAGTTGTTAAAAAGCACATGATCTGTTTATAGTGTGAGATGTCATTGGATATACAGAAAATTGTATGCATTTATATTTAATTCTTCCTTAAAACTTGAATGAACAGGCAATTTGGGAATCATTTTTCACCTAATTTTTTAACCTCGTTTTTTTAAAAAAGAAAAATTCTATTGGAGAGTAAGAATGATTTTTACAGTTTACTAATATCATACTTTGCTCATCTCTTAGAATTTTAAGATTGTTCATAGGGTTTAAAAATCTAAGATTTTTAAAAATAAATTCTTGGGGCAAATACTTATTTTAATAGCAAAACTGAATGCTTATTATTTCCATTTCTTAGCACTGAGATTAGCTTTCTCAATATATTTCTCTGGAGTGAGAATGGAAACATATATGAAGAAATTAGAATTTACTTACAAGTAATTTTCAGCTCTGAATATGTTGTTTACAAATTAGGATTCTCTCTGATGCAGAATACAATGTGGGATATGTGAGGTGAATGCAACATGTGTAGAAGTCTTGAGTTAAGAGTTTGAAATCCTGGGGATTATGTTTTGTAAATTCAGAGGTTAAGGAATAAAAGAAAGCATTCCAACTTGGCCTTTTAGTGTTACTACTTTTCAAAACATCAACTCTGAAATGAACATATTTTTGTACTGCCACTGTTTGCTAATGCTGTTGAGTTTTAAGGAGGATAAATTAATCATTTTTATATTCTTTTGGCTCTGCTAGGACTAATGAATTTCTTTGTTTATACTTTATACATATGAAGACTTAGGAGGATTTCTTACTGACAGGTGCTGACTTATTTTGCCTGTTTCACTCTTAATTCAGATCCCTTTTGCTGATGCTCTGGATTTGTTTCGAGGAAGGAAAGTCTATTTGGAAGGTGGCTTTGCTTACGTACCACTTAAGGACATTGTGGCAATCATCCTGAATGAATTTAGAGCCAAACTGTCCAAGGCTTTGGCAGTAAGTATTTTACTTTATTTCTGTATCTGACATGTTCACACTTTCAGTTATATACTCCTGGTAGTTTTATTCTGTGTTTCTCTAGGAAATAAGTTAATTCAGTTTTCATAATGATATTCAGATTACTTATGATGTTGTACTATTAATCCCAAAACTCCTAGGTTTTTATTTGTTACTATCCATAGTTGGTTTTTAAGTTTTTTTTCTTGATCCTACTAATACCAATGCTGAGTGATTAATTTTGTGAGTAACCTCTGTGGGTTTCTTCATGGTCATGTCTTTTTTCCTTAGAAATAGACTTCGTATATGGCTCTTAACAATTAGTGTGGCCTGTGGTAGATATAACTCCTAGATTTCTGTTCTGAATTAGTATTTGGTATCAGTAGAAGACAATATAGAAGAAAATCTTAAGTACTAACACTGTGATATGCTAGTGCTGCAATGAGTAGCTCCGTACTGGGTGAATTTGGAGGTAGCTGTGTTGAACAAATGACATGATCAGTGATTTTTAAGTAGTTTGTTGGAAGTGTGACTCTTAAGTGGTGATATCTTAAAACTATACACATTTTTATATGTAAAACACGTATTTTACAGTTGTTGTCTCTTAATCTGAGTCAGTTTTTAATATTTTTTTTGTACCTAATGCAGAAGAAGACTTCAAAGGTTTGTGACATGGCTGTTTTAAACTGTACTGATTATAGTGTAAGCATATGCCAAGCTTTCCTTCTGAGTTAAAAACTGTAGTATTTTCTGATATAAATAAATTTTTATTGACTCTCTGGGGTTACCTAAATATGTATAATTTAGCTATGTCAGCACTTGGGAAGACTAAAATACTAACTCTGTGTTTATTAAATGAAGGAATTTATGAGAACACCTAGCATAACAGGTATTTAGTAACTGTTAATATTCTTTCTCCATTCCTAATCCTGTTATTTCTTTATCCTCATGAAAGGTGATGCTTTTAAATTTTTTCTTTACTTGTCTGTCACTACCCTAGATTATATTCTAGTTATAGCTAAGAATAGTGTCTTTCACCACTGTGGAAGACACTGATACTTGTCTACTGTTTGGCCATTGCTCTTTTATTATTCTTAGTTTTATTCACCCATATTCTCTCTGTTGACATTTTAGACCACACTTCTTTGTGTGAAATAGACAAATATTTTCCAGCATATTGGATAGTTTTAGCTGTCATCTATTAAATGCTGGTGGTAGACCCCAGTCTCCATGACAACCAAAAATATCACCATGCATTTCAGAAAACTTCTGGCATGTTAATGCTACTATTAATCTGATCATAGTCATTTCCTTCTTACCAAATTTTTAATTTATGCCTGTGACAATGTAATTGTGGCTAAAAAGTATGAGTTCTTTGGGGGCTTCTGAAAAAAGTTTTTCTTGCTAAAAAAAATGCATGTGGGATGAAGTAGTCTTTTTTCCCCCCTCTGGATATTGTTGTAACTGAATGTGATGCCTGGAACAGCTACAGCCATCTAGAGATGAGGCAGGTAACTTCGGGACGACCCAATTTGCTGCATAGACATGTAGAAAGATGGAAAGAATCTGAGTCCTTGTTGCTGTCGTTGAGTTGCTGAATTAACCTATTCTGGAACCACCAAACTTTTTATTACATGGGATAATGAAGTTTTAATTTTTAAAGGCACTAACTTAGGTACTCATATTTGAGTGGAATTCTCTTTCTCTAGTAGCAGAAAGCATCCTGGTACCTAGATCAGTGTCTGCGTTAGTTAGTGTTTTCTTTTCTAGTTGCAGGTAACAGCCTATGCTACATTAACCAGTAAATAGAATCTGCTAGCTCATAAAAGTGAGAAGTCTAGATATAATATGGACTTCAGACATAGCTTGCCGAATGTTTCATCCCTTTCTCTGAATATGTCTTTACCCTTATGTGTATGCCTTATCCTCAGTCTGGCTTTCTGATGGTTGCAAAAATAGTTACCATGGGATCAGGCTTTATTTCTGTATAGCATACTATCTGAAAGAATTTCTTTGTCCCTGGGCAGAAGTTTGAAATCAAGGTGTCCGCATGGCCATGCTTCCTCTGAAGGTGCTGGGGAAAGATCTATTCCACATCTGTCTTCTGGCTTCTGGTAGTTCTTTGACTTGTGGCAACATAACTCCAGTCTTCACATGGCATTCACCCTGCATGTCCCAAATTCTGCTTTTTCTAAGGATATCAGTCATATTGGGATATCATTTTTCTAAGGATATCAGTCACCTCTCAACTCCAATGTGACCTCATTGTAACTAAGTACATCTGCAACAATCCTATTTCTAAATAAGGTCACATTCTGAGGTACTGGGGGTTAGTACGTCAACATATGATTTTCTTGGGACAGAGTTTAACCCGTATCACATGTCTATCACTAAAGCAGCTATTGTGGTTTAAGGGATGGCCTAGCCTAAGATCATGTGTCTGCCCTTTTAGATGGGGGATCATGGGAGCTGAGAGTCAGTGTGTTCCTGAAACCACAATATCCCAAACAAAAATGGATGATTGTTAGGAATGGGGAGAGGGGAGAATGAAGATGGGGAGGCAGACAACAATTGTCTACTACCTAGAAAAGACACTGAATGTGAATTAAATGTACAAAATTTTTCACTTTGTAATTTCTTTCAAGCCAAGCTGCCCAGTGCCCAAAAACCTAACTATGAAAATGAATCTGAAATTCTTTTACTTTTGGGTTTAAAGCTACTTCTGATTTTGTGTATTGCAAAGTTTAAATAAATTTTTAATAAGTTTTGACTGTTTGTTTTATAAATTTGCCTTGAAATCAACTTTAAAAATGTAAAAAAAAATTTTACATTTGCCACTCATTTTTATTTTAGATAAGTCAAGATATTCTATGTATATTTGTGATTTATCATCCCAATATTCCAGTGTAGAAAGAAGGATATGTGGCAGATTTTTGCAAAATTTTACAATTTTTTTCTACTTTCTGGGTAGAAAT
The DNA here is from genome assembly GCF_000001405.40 of Homo sapiens. Classification (NCBI taxonomy): domain Eukaryota; kingdom Metazoa; phylum Chordata; class Mammalia; order Primates; family Hominidae; genus Homo; species Homo sapiens. The sequence goes on from NC_000006.12 coordinate 60,286,681, forward strand.
GAGGGGTCTATACTGAGAGAAAAGACAAAACTTGGGTTCCTAAGTTTGTAATAAATTCATTTCAGCCAACTGCACCTAAGCTTTCTACCTTGTTGATAAGAAATTAGTATTTATGAACTTTGAATTCCATTCTTCTTCACTTCTTTCTACTCATTCTTCCCCTTCCAAACATACTTTTTAAAAAATTAATACTTTAAAAAAATTTGAAATATCACAGACTTACAGAAAATTAAGTAGAAAATAGCAACTTTTTCTTTAAACCATTTGAGAATAAGTTCCCAGCCTGATGTCTTGGCACCCCCAATACTTGTTAGTGTTTATTTCCTTCAAACAGAACATTTTCCTGCATGACCACAATTCAACATCAAAATAAGAAAATTAATGTTGATAAGTTACTACCATCTATCCTCCAGACCCCATTCAAGTTTCACCAGTTTTCTCAATCACATCCCACAGGCAATTTTAATTCACATGTATTATTTAGTTGTCACGTCTCTTTAGTCTCCTTCAGTCTGCAAAAGATTCTTAGTTTCTCTTAGATTTTCATGGACTTTGTTACTTTTGAAGATTATCAGCAGTTATTTTGTATCTCTCAGTTTGGGTTTATCTGATGTTTCTGCCTAGATTCAAGTTAGACATTTTAAGCAGTACTGTAACAGAAGTTATGCTATGTTCTTTTCATTGCATTCTATCAGATTACATGATTTTGATTCAGCCCAATTCTGATTGACTTTATCAAAATTTGTCCATTCTATTGTTGATAGGCATTTAGCTTTTGTTTTCTTTTTTTTTTTTTTTTTTTTTTGGTTATCACAAATACTGCTGCTCTGAACATTGTAGCACATATTTTGGAAAACATATTTCTGTTGGTTATGTGTTTTGGAATGGAATTGTAGGGTATTGAGTATATCTGTGTACAGCTTTAATGGATTTAGATTTACTTTAAATGGATTTATTCTGGCTGAGTGGGGTGGCTCACACCTGTAACCCTAGTCCTTTGGGAGGATGAGGTGGGAGGATTGCTTGAGCTCAGGAGTTTGAGACCAGCCTGGGCAACATAGTGAGAATCCGTCTCTACTAAAAACAACAACAACAACAACAACAAACTAGCCAGTCGTGGTGGCATGCGCCCGTAGTCCCACCTACTTGGGAGGCTGAGGTGGGGGGATTACTTGAGCCTGGGAGATCAAGGCTGCAATGAGCTATAATCATGCCATTGCACCCCAGCTTGGGCGACAGAGTGATACCCTGTCTCAAAAAAAAAAAAAAAAAAGAAAGAAAGAAAGAAAAAGAAAGAAAGAAAGAAAGAAAGAAAGAAAGAAAGAAAGAAAAGGATTTGTCCTGATTACAGGTGGGTTGTGGAGAGTCCTGGCCTTGGTGTCTTGGATTTAATAGAAGACAGACAGTGACTTGCTTTCTCCTGGGTGGTTCAGGGCCGAGCCTGGTTGAGAGGAGGTCCAGAGAACACTTTTTCTTATGTAGGAGAGTGGTGGGAGTTGTTGCCTGGGAGCCTGTCCTGACAGCTGTGGAAAGGAGCAGGAGGGAAGCGAAGGAGTTCATTTAGGGCTGTGGCGAAGTAGAAATCTAAACCTATTGCTATGGTCTCTTTATTACTGTCCTTTCCATTGAGGAAGGTTTTGACCTTGGAGTATGTAATTGAAAACTTTCAGCTTTATAAATGGAAATATTCTTGTAGGATAAGAAAAAGTACCCTAAAGTAGATTTTTTGAAAGGTATTTTGATGAGTGGTAGAGGATGAAATAAATGGTTCTGGGGGAAGATGTAAATTGATGAGAGTTTTACCCCAGGTGACAACTGAAAGCTTATTCTTAACCTATGACCATATGACTTTTATAATATAACTGTCTAGCTTTTGAACATGGTTTAGGACTGATAAAAAATTGACATTACTTTTTCCTTTGATAGGAACTCTGTGGCCCTACTTCCTCTCAGAACCTTCCCTTAAGTCCCAAGATTGTGCTAAGTATATCTCCTTTGTGTTCCCACAGCATTCTGCACACGACCAAATTACGGTGAAATTATTCTCATTATGTGTTTTCCTCCTCAATTAAAATGTAAGTTCTTTGAGAGTGAGGGATTTCTCTTAATTCAAATTTTGATCTGGTATAGCATGTGGCACATAGGGTTAGTGGTCAGTAAAATTTTATTGAACTGACAGATACCAAATAATGATATAAACTTGCTTTTGTTCACAGTTTACTGTTTATACATACTGTTAATCCCACTATAAGTCACTGAGAGAGAAAGGGGTTATAATGTGCATTATATGGATGAGGAAAATGCAGCACAGAGAGACCAAAGTAATTTGTCTAAGATTATGTTGGCTAATAATTGCTGGAGCCCTGACTTGATCTCAGGTTTTCTGATTGTAATTCTTAGGGTCTTTTGATGGTAACTGTGCCTTTGTCAGGAGTTGTATAACCAGGTGATTTAGGTCTTCAAACTCTGATAAAATATTCATAGGTAAGTATATTAAGGTCCAGTCACAGAGCAGGCACAAGGGGTGAATTTGGAGCTACGGTAGAATAGATTGATAACCAGTTAGGGAAAAGAATGAGGGAAAGATAGATTTTTTTTGCTTCATATGGCAATTTTAGAAGCTATAGCCAGTTCTTTTATTTAATGGTTTATTTTTAAATAACTTTTTATTTGTTCATCCATGCATAGGTTTGGGTACTAGAGATACTACTTAACAAATTAGATGAGATTTCTTCTCTTACAAAGCTTATATTCTAGTGGGAGACAGACAATTACTGAAGAAATAAACAATAACAATATTGTAAATGACATGAAGGAGCCAGCTGAACAAATATAGAGGAAACTGCATTCCAGGCAGGAAAAGTCACTAATGCAAAGGCCCCCAAAGGGAGGAATCTTGGCCTGTTTTTTTAGAATCAAAAAGGCCAGTGTAGCTAGAGCATAGTGAGCTATGGTAGAGTGCTACCATGTGAGGCTGCAATGGCTAGGTGTAGACTCTGTGAGACTTTGAGGTAGAGTCCCAGGGTAAAGAGTTTGATTTTTTTTTAGCCTAATGTAGTGGAAAGACATTGGATGATTTTGAATAAGTGAGTGATATGATCTGATTTGTGTTTTAAATAGATGACTGTGGCTGCTGCTTGAAAGCCATTTTGGAGGACAAAAAAGGAATGGAAGCAGGAGGACTAGTCTGGAAGTTTTCACATTAATCTAGATAGCGGCTTGAAATGGATTGGTTGTGGTGATATGACTGACAGAAGTCAGTGGATTTCAGTTAGTTTTTAAAGTATTATTGACATGGTGGATTGGTTGTGAGAGAAAGAGAAGAATCAGCATGATGATGATGATGAGAGCTTAAGCATAGTGAAAATTTAATATTTGCCAAGTGCTATTCTAAATTCTTTATATGAATTAATGCATTTAGTCTTTATGGTAACCCTATAAGGCAGGTACCATTATCACTCTCTGAGGCTTGTAGTATCTTTATACAGGTAGTGAGGAGCAGAAGCAGGACTTGAATCCATACAGTCTGGCATCAAGGTCTATGTTCTTGACCATTATATTACACTGCCTAGAATTTTGGCTTGAATAATTTATTAGGGGGTGATGCCTTTGCCAAGATGTAGAAGACTCTGAGAAAAATATGTAAAATAAAATAAAGAGTTCTATTCTGACCACGTTAAGTAGAAGGTGCTTATTGGTTACACAAATGGAGATGGCAAGTTTGAAGTTGGATTTGAGTGTCTAAATTTTTGGGGAGGAGAATGTGAAGCCATGAGACTCCAGGAAGAGTGTGGGATGTCAGTGGAGAAGAGAGGGGGCCCACAGCTGAGCTTGGTTTCCATGCACTTCCACTTGATGTCATTAAGCAGAGAACATACTTCATTTGTTGTTAGGAAATGGGGCAGATCCTTAAATTGGAGCTGGATTTCTTTAAGGCAAAAATCTCTTTCTCCTCACACAGTGTGACTATTTATTTTTATTTTTATTTTTTATTTTTAGACAGGGTCTCTACTCTGTCACCCAGGCTGGAGTGCAGTGGTGCAATTACAACTCACCATGGCCTTGACCTCCCAGGCTCAAGCCGTCCTCCTGCCTTAGCTTCCTAAGTAGCTGGAGCCACAGGCCTGTGCCAACAGTGCCTGGCTAATTTTTTAATTTTTTATTAATAAAAGTTTATGTAGAGTTGGGGGTATCCCTATGTTGCCTGGGTTGGTCGAGAACTCCTGTGCTCAAGTGATCCTTCTACCTGAGCCTCCTAAAGTTCTGGAATTACAGGCATGAGTCACCATGCCTGGCCTTAATTTCACTTTCTATTTGTGAGACTCATCTTTAGAAGGTACTGGTAAAACGTTAAAGAAACCAGACTTCCAAAAAATGTATTTATACACATCTTATTTAGATACAGAAAAAAGGACTGAGAAGTTCCCAGGAAGATAATTGACAGGCAGGTAAGTGGCTCTTACTTGGAGTCACAGAGAAAAGCAAGGATTTTCTTTTTTGAAAAGGATTTCCTTTTTCACATTTAGAAAGTACCAGTTGGGTCTGTGGCTCATTAAGTATTTGTTGGTTTGGAAAAATATGCTTTGTAGGCACTTAATCAGGTAATTTTTATTTCTAAAGAGTGGAATCCTCTTAAATCTTGTATCCTCTTTTTAAAAGTAGTGTTCAATTTTCTTCCTTAAACTGTGATTAAATATAATTAATTTTCTTGAATGGTTACTTAGTTGGGAATCATATAGGAGTTTTCTTACTATTTGTGTACAACTAGCTGATTTCTTGGGTTCTGGTTAACATGTCTTTTTAAATATACTGATCATTTAATGCCATTTTAAAGTGGGTCACTGTGAACTTGTCAGTGCTGCAGCAAATCCGTCAATATGCAAGTAGCATATCGCGATATGCAAGCACAACATGCTTTCACTTCCACCATTACTGTCAGGCACCAGTTCATTTGGTCTCCCTTGCTGCTGATCTGTGGGAAACAAAACGTTGCAGTTGAAAGCCATGAGGCTATTAGGATGGTGCAAAAGTAATTGTGATTTTTTTCTTTACTTTTAATGGCAAAGACTACAATTACTTTTGCGACAACCTAATAACACACAAAAAAATCATTTTTGGGGGGAAAATAAGCATATGCTCTTTCTAGTTTGACAGGTTTGTTGACTGAGGATGCTCAGCTGAACTTGATTGTTGTTCTATTTGTGAGATACTGGTTTGTTAACCTTTTTCTAAGATGCAGTTTACAATCTGTTGTCTATTCAACACATATTTCTCTTTTTTTAACTTTTAGGTTTGGGGGTACATGCGAAGGTTTGTTACATAGGTAAACTCATGTCACGGGGGCTTGTTGTACAGATTATTTCATCACCCAGGTATTAAACTCAGTACCCAATAGTTACCTTTTCTGCTCCTCTCCTTCCTCCCAACCTCCACCCTCAGGTAGACCCCAGTGTCTGTTGTTCTTTTCTGTGTGTGCAAGAGTTCTCATCATTTAGCTCTCACTAAGTGAGAACATGTGGTATTAGGTTTTCTATTCTTGCGTTAGTTTGCTAGTTAGTAGCCTCCAGCTCCATCCATGTTCCCACAAAAGACATGATCTCATTCTTTTTTATGGCTACATAGTATTCCATAATGTATGTGTACCACACTTTCTTTAGTCTGTCACTGAAGGACATTTAGGTTGATTCCATGTCTTTGCTATTGTGAATAGTGCTGCAATGAACATTGGTGTACATATGTCTTGATGGTAGAATGATTTATATTCCTCTGGGTATATACCCAGTAACGGGATTGTAGGGTTGAATGATAGTTCTGCTTTTAGCTCTTTGAGGAATCAGTATACTGCTTTCCACATTGGTTGAACTAATTTACACTCCCTCCAACAGTGTAAAAGTGTTCCCTCCTCTTCGCAACTTCATCAGCATCTGTTATTTTTTGACTTCTTAGTAATAGCCATTCTGACTGGTATGAGATGGTATCTCATTGTGGTTTTGATTTGCATTTCTCTAATGATCATTGATATTGAACTTTTGTTCATATGCTTCTTGGCCACATGTATGTCCTCTTTAGAGAAGTGTCTGTTCATGTCCTTTGCCCACTTTTTAATGGGGTTGTTTATCTCTTGTATATTTAAATTCCTTATAGATGTTGAATATTAGACCTTTGTCAGATGCATAGTTTGCAAGTATTTTCTTCCATTCTGTGGGTTGTCTGTGTACTCTGTTGATAATTTCTTTTGCTGTGCAGAAGCTGTTAAGTTTAATTAGATCCCATTTGCCAATTTTTGCTTTTGGTGTCTTTGTCATGAAATTTTTGCCCATTCCTATGTCCAGATGGTATTGCCTAAGTTGTCTTCCAGGGTTTTCATTGCTTTGGATTTTACATTTAAGCCTTTAATCCATTTTGAGTTGATTTTTATATATGGTATAAGGAAAAGTCCAGCATCAATCTTCTGCATATTGCTAGCCAGTTATCCAGCACCATTTATTGAATAGGGAGTCTTTTCCCCATTGCTTGTTTTGTAGGTGTGTGGGCTTATTGCTGGGCTCTCTATTCTGTTCCATTGGTCTATGTGCTTGTTTTTGTACCTGTACCATGCTGTTTTGGTTACTGTATCCTGTGCTGTAGTTTGAAATTGGTAGTGTGATGCCTCAAGCTTTGTTCTTTCTGCTTAGGATTGCCTTGGCTATTCGGGCTCTTTTTTAGTTTCATATGAACTTTAAAATAGTTTTTATTTATTTATTTTTGTAGTTCTGTGAAGAATGTCATTGATAGTTTGATAGGAATAGGACTGAATTATATAAATGGCTTTGGGCAGTATGACCATTTTAATGATATTGACTTTTCCTGTCCATGAGCATGGGATGTTTTTTTCCATTTATTTGTGTATCTCTGATTTCTTTGAGCAGTATTTTGTAATTCTTATTATAGCAATCTTTCACCTCCCTGGTTAGCTGTATTCCTAGGTATTTTATTCTTTCTGTGGCAATTGTGAATGGGATTGCCTTGTTGATTTGGCTCTCAGCTTGGCTTTTGTTGGTGTATAGGAATGCTAGCGATTTTCGTTCATTGATTTTGTATCCTGAAACTGCTGAAGGTGTTTATCAGCTGAAGGAGCTTTTGGACTGAGACTGTGGAATTTTCTAGATATAAAATTACATCATCTGCCAACAGGGATAGTTTGATTTCCTGTCTTCCTATTTGGATGCCTGCCCTTCATTTCTTTTTTTTAAATTAATAATAGCTGAATAGTAACTTTATTCTCCCTTATTCTTAGCATTTACATTATATTTATAGTTTATTAATCTATCTGATTCTAAAAAGTTTTGCAATAGCCAAAAATTCATCAAATATCAAAATTCTTTCCTAAATCCAAAACTAGTGAAAAATTAGTTCTCAAATAAAAAGGAACATAGAACTGATAAAGACAGTCATAGTTTTCATGGAATAGAAGGGCCACTAATAGCCTAGAGAGGGAAAAGGAAAATATTCATTTTTTTTAGTGGATATCCAAATTTTTATTTATTTTTATTATTTTTAATTTTTCCATAAGTTATTGGGGTACGTACGGGTGGTATTTGGTTACATGAGTAAGTTCTTTAGTGTTGATTTGTGAGATTTTTGGTGTACCCATCACCCGAGCAGTATACGCTACACCATTATTTGTAGTCTTATTTTTTGTCCATTGTACATTCTTATGCCTTACATCCTCATAGCATAGCTCCCACATATCAGTGAGAACTTATGATGTTTGGTTTTCCATTCCTGAGTTACTTCACTTAGAATAATAGTGTCTCATTCAGGTCACTGCAAATGCTGTTACTTATTGCTTTTTATGGTTTCATAGTATTCCTTACTTTATATATATATATACATACACACACACACCACAGTTTCTTTACCCACTCATAGATTGATGGGCATTTGGATTGGTTCCATGATTTTGCAATTGTCAGTTGTGCTGCTATAAACATGCATGTGCAAATACCTTTTTCGAATAATGACTTCTTTTCCTCTGGTAGATACCCAGTAGTGGTGTTGCTGGATCAAGTGGCAGTTCTTGATTCTTTTAGTTCTTTAAGGAACCTCCACACTGTTTTCCATAGTGGCTGTACTAGTTTACACTCCCATCAGTAGTGTAGAAGTGTTCCCTGTTCATCACATCCATGCCAACATCTACTGTTTTTTGATTTTGATTATGGCCATTCTTGCAGGAGTAAGGTGGTATTGCAATGTGGTTTTAATTTGCATTTCCCTGATCATTAGTGATGTTGAGCATTTTTTCATATGTTTGCTGGCCATTTGTATATCTTCTTCTGAGAATTGTCTATTCATATCCTTAGCCCACTTTTTGATGGAATTGTTTGTTTTTTTTTTTCCTTACTGATTTGTTTGAGTTTGTTGTAGATTCTGGATACAAGTCCCTTGTCAGATGTATAGATTGTGAAGATTTTCTCCCACTCTGTGGGTTGTCTGTTTACTCTACTGACTGTTCCTTTTGCCATGTGAAAGCTCTTTAGTTTAAGTAGGTCCCAGCTATTTATCTTTGTTGTTATTGCATTTGCGTTTCGGTTCTTGGTCATGAAATCCTTGCCTAAGCCAGTGTCTAAAAGGGTTTTCCCAATGTTATCTTCTAGAATTTTTATAGTTTCAGGTCTTAGGTTTAAGTCCTTAATCCATCATCAGTTGATTTTTGCATAAGGCGAGAGATGAGGGTCCAGTTTCATTCTCTTACATGTGGCTAGCCAATTATCCCTGCACCATTTGTTGAAAAGGGTGTCTTTTCCCCACTTTATGTTTTTGTTTGCTTTGTTGAAGATCAGCTGGCTGTAAGCATTTGGGTTTATTTCTGGATTCTCTATTCTGTTCCATTGGTCTGTGTGCCTGTTTTTATACCAGTACCATGCTGTTTTGGTGACTATGGCCTATAGTATAATTTGAAATCAGGTAATGTGATGCCTCCAGATTTGTTCTTTTTGCTTAGCCTTGCTTTGGCTATGCGGGCTCTTTTTTGGTTCCATATGAATTTTAGAATTGTTTTTTTCTAGTTCTGTGAAGAATGATGATGGTATTTTGATGGGATTGCATTGAATTTGTAGATTGCTTTTGGCAGTATGGTCATTTTCACAATATTGATTTTACTCCTGCATGAGCATGGGATGTGTTTCCATTTGTTTGTATTATCTATGATTTCTTTCAACAGTTTTTTGCGGTTTTCCTTGTAGAGGTCTTTTGACTCCTTGGTTAGGTATATTCCTAAGTATTTTATTTTATTTTTTTGCAGGTATTGTAAAAGGGATTGAGTTCTTCATTTGAATCTCTGCTTGGTTGCTGTTGGTGTATAGCAGAGCTACTGATTTGTGTACATTACTCTTGTATCCGGAAACTTTGCTCAATTCTTTTATCAGTTCTAGGAGCTTTCTGGAGGAGTCCTTAGGGTTTCCAAGGTAAACAATCATAGCTCCAGCAAACAGTGACAGTTTGACTTCCTCTTTACCGATTTGGATGCCCTTTCTTTCTCTTGTCTGATTGCTCTGGCTAGGACTTCCAATACTATGTTGAAGAGGAGTGGTGAGAGTGGGCATCCTTGTCTTGTTCCCGTTCTCAGAGGGAATGCTTTCAACTTTACCCCATTCAGTATTATGTTGGCTGTGGGTTTGTCATAGATGGCTTTTATAACATTAAGGTATGTCCCTTGTATGCTGATTTTGTGGAGAGTGTTAATCATAAAGAGATGCTGAATTTTGTGGAATGCCTTTTCTGCATCTATTGAGATGATCATGTGATTTTTTGTTTTTAATTCTGTGTATGTGGTGTATCACATTTATTGACTTGCATATGTTAAACCATACCTGCATCTGTGGTGTGATACCCACTTGATTATGGTGATTATCTTTTTGATATGTTGTTGTATTCGGTTAGCTAGTATTTTGTTAAGGATTTTAGCAGCTATGTTCATCAAGGATATCAGTCTGTAGTTTTCTTTTTTGGTTACGTTGTTTCCTGGTTTTGGTATTAGGGCAATGCTGGTTTCATATAATGAATTAGGGAGGGTTCCTTCTTTCTCTATCCTGTAGAATAGTTTTAAAAGGATTGGTACCAATTCTTCTTTGAATGTCTGGTAGAATTCTGCTGTGAATCCATCTGGTCCTGGACTTTTTGTTGTTGGTAATTTTTAAATTACCATTTCAATCTTGCTCCTTGTTATTGGTCTGTTCAGGGTACCTAATTCTTCCTGATTTAAGCTGGGAGGGTTGTATTTTTCCAGGAATTCATCCATCTCTTCTAGGTTTTCTAGTTTATGTGCATAAAGGTGTTCATAGTAGACTAGAATGATCTTTTGTATTTCAGTGGTGTCAGTTGTAGTATCTCCTGTTTTCTTTCTTAGCTATGTTATTTGGATTTTCTCCCTTCTTTTCTTGGTTAATCTTGCTAATGGTCTATTAATTGTATTTATCTTTTGAAAGGACCAGCTTTTTGTTTCATTTATCTTTTGTATTGTTTTTCTTGTTTCAGTTTCATTTAGTTCTGCTCTGATCTTGGTTATTTCCTTTCTTCTGCTGGGTTTGGGTTTGGTTTGTTTTTCTTTCTCTAGTCCTTGAGGTGTGACCTTAGAATGTCAATTTGTGCTCTTACAGTCTTTTTGATGTAGGCATTTAGGGCTATGAACTTTCCTCTTAGCACTGCCTTTGCTGTATCCCAGAGGTTTTGATAGGTTGTATCATTATTGTTATTCAGTTCAAATAATTTCTATCTTGATTTTGTTTTTGACCCAATGCTCATTCAGGAGCAGGTTATTTAATTTCTATATATTTGCATGATTTTGAAGGTTCCTTTTGGAGTTGATTTCCAGTTATATTCCATTGTGGTCTGAGAAAGTGCTTGATATGATTTCAATTTTCTTAAATTTATTGAGGCTAGTTTCATGGCCTGTCATATAGTCTATCTTGGAGAAGGTTCTATGTGCTATTGAATAGAATGTGTATTCTGAGGTTGTTGGATGAAATGTTCTGTAAATATCTGTTAAGTCCAATTGTTCCAAGGTATAGTTTAAATCCATTGTTTCTTTGTTGACTTTCTGTCTTGATGACCTGTCTAGTGCTGTCAGTGGAGTATTGAAGTCTCCCACTGTTTTGTCTTGCTGTCTATCTCACTTCTTATGTCTATTAGTAATTGTTTTATAAATTTGGGAGCTTGAGTATTAGATGGATATATGTTTAGGATTGTGATATTTTTCTGTTGGACAAGGCCTTTTACCATTATATAATGTCCCTCTTTCTGTCTTTTAACTGCTGTTGCTTTAAAGTTTGATTTGTTTGATACAGGAATAGCTACCCCTGCTCACTTTTGGTGTCCATTTGCATGAAATGCCTTATTCCACCCCTTACTTTAAGTTTACATGAGTCCTTATGTGTTAGGTGAGTCTCTTGAAGGCAGCAGATAATTGGTTGGTGAATTCTTATCCATTCTGCAATTCTGTATCTTTTGAGTGGAGCATTTAGGCCATTTACATTCAATGTTAGTATTGAGATGTGAGGTACCATTCCATTCATTGTGCTATTTGTTGCTTGTATATCTTGGCTTTTTGTTTTTGTTTTTTAAATTGTATTTTTGTTTTGTAGGTCTTGCGAGATTTATGCTTTAAAATGGTTCTGTTTTGATGTGTTTCCAGGATTTATTTCAAGATTTAGAGCTCCTTTTAGCAGTTGTTGTAGTGGTGGCTTGGTAATGGCGAATTCTCTCAGCATTTGTTTGTCTGAAAAAGATTATATCTTTCCTACATATATGATGCTTAGTTTTTCTGGATATAAAATTCTTGGCTGATAATGGTTTTGTTTGAGGAGGTGGAAGACAGGGTCCCAATCCCTTCTAGGCTGTATGGTTTCTGTTGAGAAATCTGCTGTTAATCTGTTAGGTTTTCTTTTATAGGTTACCTGGTGCTTCTGTCTCACAGGTCTTAGGATTCTTTCCTTCATCCTAACTTTGGATAACCTGATGAAAATGTGCCTAGATGAAGATCTTTTTGTGATGAATTTCCTGGGTATTCTTTGTGCTTCTTGTATTTGGATGTCTAGGTCTCCAGCATTGCCGGGAAAGTTTTCCTTTATTATTTCCCCAAATATGTTTCCCAAGCTTTTAGAATTGTCTTCTTTCTCAGGAACACCGATTATTCTTAGGTTTGCTTGTTTAACATAATCCCAGACTTCTTGGAGGCTTTGTTCATATTTTCATATTCTTTTTGCTTTGTCTTTGCTGGATTGGGTTAATTCGAAGACCTTGTCTTCAAGCTCTGCTTTTCTTTCTTCTACTTGTTCAGTTCTATTGCTGAGACTTTCCAGAGCATTTCACATTTCTAAAAGTGTGTCCACAGTTTCCTGAATTTTTGATTGTTTTTTCTTTAAGCTATCTATTTCCTTGAATATTCCCCCCTTCACTTCTTGTATCATTTTTTGGATTTCCTTGCATTGGGCTTCACCTTTCTTGGCCCCTCCCTGATTAGCTTAATAACTAACCTGAATTCTTTTTCAGGTGAATCAGGGATTTCTTCTTGTTTTGGATACATTGCTGGTGAACTAGTTTGCAAAAAAATCAACTCCTGGGTTTGTTGATCTTTTGAATGGTTTTTCATGTCTTGAATTCCTTCAATTCAACTCTGATTTTGGTGATTTCTTGTCTTTTGCTTGCTTAGAGGCTGATTTGTTTAGGCTTCTCTAATTCTTTCAGTTGTGATATTAAGTTGCTAATTTGAGATCTTTTTTTTTTTTTTTTTTTTTTTTTTTTTTTTTTTTTTGAGACGGAGTCTTACTCTGTTGCCAGGCTGTGAGATCTTTCTTTCTTTCTTTCTTTCTTTGAGACGGAGTCTTGCTCTGTTTACAGGCTGGAGTGCAGTGGCATGATCTCGGCTCACTGCAGCCTCTGCCTCCCGGGTTCAAGCGATTCTCCTACCTCAGCCTTCTGAGTTGCTGGGACTACAGGTACACACCACCACACCGACGTAATTTTTGTATTTTTAGTAGAGGTGGGGTTTCACCATGTTGGCCAGGATGGTCTCGATCTCTTGACCTCGTGATCTGCTTGCCTCCGCCTCCCAGAATGGTGGGATTACAGACATGAGCCACCACGCCTGGCCAATCTTTCTAACTTTTTATGTGGCTATTTAGTGCTATGAATTTCCCTCTTAACACTGCCTTAGCTGTATCCCAGAAATTCTAATATGTTGTATCTTTGCCCTCATTAGTTTAAAAGAACTTCTTAATTTCTGCCTTAATTTCATTTTTTACCCAAAAGTCATTCAGAAGCATGTTAATTTTCATGTAATCACATGGTTTTGAGTGATTTTCTTAGTCTTGACTTCTATTATTATTGCATGGTGGTCCGTGAGTGTGTTTGTTATGATTTATGTTATTTTGCATTTGCTGAGGATATTTTATGTCCAATTATGTGGTCGCTTTTAGAGCATTTGCTGTGTGGTGATGAGACGAATGTATATTTTATTGGTTTTGGATGAAGAGTTCTGTAGAGGTCCATCAGATCCATTTGGTCCAGTGTTGAGTTCAGTTCCTAAATATCTTTGTTAATTTTCTGCCTCAATGATTTGTCTAATACTGTTGGTGGAATGTTGAAGTTTCACAGTATTATTTTGTGGGAATCTATGTCTCTTTGTAGGTCTCTAAGAACTTGCTGTATGAATCTGGGTGCTCCTGTGTTGAGTGCATATATATTTAGGATGGTTAGGTATTTTATTCAATTGAAGTCTTTGCCGTTATGAAATGCCCTTCTTTGTCTTTTTTTTATCTTTTGTTTTGTTTGAATTCTGTTTTGTCTGAAATTGGGATTGCAACCCCTGTTTTTTTCTGATTTCCATTTGCTTGGTAGATATTCCTCTATCCTTTTATTTATTTAATTATTATTTATTTATTTATTCTATTATACTTTAGGTTCTAGGGTACATGTGTACAACATGCAGGTTTGTTACATATGTATACATGTGTCATGTTGGTGTGCTGAACCCAGTAACTCGTCATTTACATTAGGTATATCTCCTAGTGCTATCCCTCCTCCATCCCCTGACCCCACGACAGGACCCAGTGTGTGATATTCCCCACCCTGTGTCCAAGTGTTCTCATTGTTCAGTTCCCACCTATGAGTGAGAACATGCAGTGTCTTGTTTTCTGTCCTTGCAATAGTTTGCTCAGAATGATGGTTTCTAGCTTCATCCATGTCCCTACGAAGGACATGAACTCTTCCTTTTTTATGGCTGCATAGTATTCCATGGTGTACATGTGCCACATTTTCTTAATCCAGTCTATCATTGATGGACATTTGGCTTGGTTGCAAGTCTTTGCTATTGTGAATAGTGCCGCAGAAAACACACGTGTGCATGTGTCTTTATAGCAGCATGATTTATAATCCTTTGGATATAATGGGATTGCTGGGTCAAATGGTATTTCTAGTTCTAGATCCTTGAGGAATCGCCACACTGTCTTTCACAATGGTTGAACTAGTTTACAGTCCCACCAACAGTGTAAAATCGTTCTTATTTCTCCACATCCTCTCCAGCACCTGTTGTTTCCTGACTTTTTAATGATCGCCATTCTAACTGGTGTGAGATGGTATCTCATTGTGGTTTTGATTTGCATTTCTCTGATGGCCAGTGATGATGAGCATTTTTTCATGTGTCTGTTGGCTGCACAAATGTCTTCTTTTGAGAAGTGTCTGTTCATATCCTTTGCCCACTTTTTGATGGGGTTGTTTGATTTTTTTTCTTGTAAATTTGTTTGAGTTCATTGTAGATTCTGGATATTAGCCCTTTGTCAGATGTGTGTTCCTTTATTTTGAGCCTATGGTTGTCATTACGAGACCCATTAAGAAATGGGTCTCTTGAAGACAGCATACCATTGGGTCTTGCTTTTTTATCCAGCTTGCCACCTGTGCCTTTGAAGTGGGACATGTAGTCCATTTACATTAAATATTTGTATTGTATGTGTACATTTGATCCTGTCGTTGTATTGTTAGCTGGTTATTCTGCTGGCTTGTTTGTGTGGTTGCTTTATATTGTCACTGATCCGTGTATTTAAGTGTCTTTTTGTATTAGCTGGTAGCAGTCTTTCCTTTCTATATATAATGCTCCTTTCAAGATCTCTTGTAAGGCAGGTCTGGTGGTAATTAACTTCCTCAACATTTTCTTATCTGAAAAGGATCATATTTCTCCTTCCCTTAGGAAGCTTAGTTTGGCTGGATATGAAATTCTTGATTGAAGTTTTCTTTAATGAATATTGAATATAGGCCCCTAATCTTTTCTGGATTGTAAGGTTTCAGCTGAGTGGTCTGCTGTTAGCCTGATGGGGTTCCCTTTGTAGGTGACATGTCCTTTCTCTCTAGCTGCCTTTAACATACTTTCTTCCATTTTGACCTTTGAAAATCTGATGAATATGTGTCTTGGGGATGATCTTCTTAGGTAGAATCTTGCGAGAGTTCTCTGTATTTCCTGAATTTAACTGTTGGCCTCTCTCACAAGATTAGGAAAGTTTTCATGGATGATATTCTGAAATATGTTTTCCAAGTTGTTTGCTTTTTCCCCTTCGCTTTCAAGGATAAAAGTGAATAATCCCATACTTCTTGGAGGTTTTGTTCATTCCATTTTATTCTTTTTGCTTTATTTTTGTCTGACTGTCTTATTTCAGAGAGCCAGTCTTTAAGTTCTGAGATTCTTTCTTCAGATTGGTTTATTCTGCTGTTAATACTTGTGATTGGATTGTGAAATTCTTGTATTGTGTTATTCAGCCCTGTCAGATGCGTTACGATCTTTTTTATACTGGTTATTTCCTCCTTCAGCTCCTTTATCATTTTGTTGTGATTCTTAGTTTTCTTGGATTGGGTTTGAGTCTTGATGATCTTTATTCCTGTCCATATTTTGAACTTTATTTCCATCATTTCAGCCAGCTCAGCCTGGTTAAGAACTCTTGTTGGAGGGCTGGTGTGGTTTTCTGGAGAACATGCATCACTCTGGTCATTTGAGTTATTGGAGTTCTTGCTTTCTCATCTCTGTATATGGCTGTTACTTTAACCTCAGTGTAGATCGAGTAGTCAGTAGTCTATTGAGAAGTCAATAGACTTCTTTTCTTGTGTTTTCACAGGGCCAAGCCCTTGTGCAGGGTCTTGATGTGAAGCTGACTTCTTGTCTTTAGTTTAAGAGGAGGATATATTAGCAAGCTATTTCTGGTGTTGAAGCTTTGGGGTGTGATGCGGTAGGTGGCATTTAGGCATATTAATCAGCTGGTAGACTCTTGCTTGGTTTTGTGGTTCCCTTATATTTCCTCACAGTTGGAGCCATGTTCCCTCTGAATGTGTGGGGTCCTCTCCTCTTTGAGTGCTGGCTGTAGATTGCAGCTTGGCACTCCTGGGCCTGCCCAGTGCAGTTCTGGATGTGCTCAGTGTTTATGTTCCTTCCCCATCTTGGAGACAGCAGAGAAAGGGGCCTTAGTAGTGTTTGTGCCAAGGGTCTTTTGCTTGTCTCATGGGGGCTCCACTCCAGAGAGGTGCAGGTCTGCAATCACCCAGTGCAATCAGCCCAGGATGGAGGGCCTGTGCTGTGGCCCCAGCCAGGGGTTCTCTGTCTGGTGATGAGCACTGGGGGTGGGTAGGTGGAACCCATGGGAGATGGACTGGTCTCCTCCCCTTGGCTCAACTGCAGCTTGTTGGAGGTATGGATAAGGCATTGAGGGTCTTTGCTCCTTCATTAGTCTGAGGGTAGCAAGGGCAGTTCTGCTGCAGAGGCAGTGGCAGGGAGGCTTTCAGTTGCCCCTGGTTGCTCAGTCAAGGGAGTTGCAGAGCTTCTACTGGTTTGATATATCTGGCAGTGGGTGGCTGGAGGCCCAGGCCTGGAGGACCTGCCCAGTGAGGAGATAATATGGGAACGTGCACCTACGTAACAGGCTGGACACTTTTCAATAGGGCTTCTGTGGTATCCTGGGGGCCCACTCCAGTCCCTAGTCACCTTGGATTTTCCAGTACCTGGAGGTATCAACAGTGAAGACTGTGAAACAGCAAAGATGGTAGTCTGCTCCTTCCTCTGGGAGCTCTATGCCAGCAAGGTATGGACCTGTTGCTTGCCCAAACGCACCTGTAGTTGGTGGCTGGAGACCCCACATTTCTCTAATATATGTCAAGTTTACTGCATGGTGCCTAGGTCTGGGAAATGGGAAGTTGATGAGACATAACCCTGGTCCTCAAGAACCCTCTTTGTAGTGGGGGGAGCTAACATGTCCATAAAGGACTCAATGACAAGGTGAAAGAGAGGAGTAGCCTGAGAGCTGTATTACCTAAGTTCAGAGAAGTTTGAGAAAAGATAGAGTTGATACTGGCTTTAAATGATTTGGGTAAATGGAGATGTGCAGCTTACAGAGAGTAGTAGATGTAAATGGTTAGGTGCTGGAAAGCATAACTATGTTTGGGGAATGGTGTTAGTGGTATGATTGGTATGATTTAATGTCTATGAATAAGAATAGCAGAAGATCAAATTGTCAAAGTAAGTATTACCAAGCTTATGACTTTGAATTTTAGTGTGTGTGCTGGTGGTTTCCAAACTTTTGATTGTGTCCCCTCAGTTAAAATATTACCCCTGCCCACAGATGTAGGCAATATAAAATGGGGGTTTTAAAAGGAGAAAAATAGAAATACATATTAGTAATTTCTTTCCCCACCTCAGTAGTTCCTCTTGCACATATCCAGTTTAGAATCATTGTCAGCTACTGGTGTTATTGTTGGAGATGTGTTTTAGCAATAGGGATATGAAACATCTTCATGTTTTTCTCCATATGTATATGTATGTACAGAAAAATTACACATTATATATACACACATAATTTTATTTTAGAAAAACAAAGCTATTGGCAATATTCACGGAATAGTATTGGATAAAAGTTATTTTCTCGTTTTAGTGAAATATTTTAGGTTTTTGATAGAACTGGTTTCATTCATTACAGAAGTCAGTATTGTATATGAAAGTTTTTTGAAAATTCCAAAGTGCTATGTATATTAGGTGTTTCTTTGAAGGGATAGTTCAGGTGAAGAATTTTTTTTTTTTTTTTTTTTTTTTTTTTTTTTTTTTTTTTTTTTTGGAGATCCAGTCTCGCTCTGTTGCCCAGGCTGGAGTGCAGTGGCGCGAACTCGGCTCACTGCAAGCTCTGCCTCCTGGGTTCACACCATTCTCCTGCCTCAGCCTCCCTAGTAGCTGGGACTACAGGCGCCTGCCATCACACCCGGCTAATTTTTTTTTGTATTTTTTAGTAGAGACGGGGTTTCACCATGTTAGCCAGGATGGTCTCAATCTCCTGACCTCATGGTGCATCTGCCACGGCCTCCCAAAATGCTGAGATTAAAGATGTAAGCCACCGAGCCTGGCCCATGTGAAGAATATTTTAAGAAGTTTTGGATTTTCCTTTTATTTCTCTCTATAGTGCTTTTCACAGTTCTGTGTTTCATAATTATGGAAAATATTGGCAAGAATTTTAAGGATTCTCTCATTTCAAGTTTTCTTTGTTTTCTAGTTGCCAGTAAATTTTATCATATAGAAATAATTTTTAGAGGAGGAAAGCATTTTAGAGTTTTTGTAGTGATTATTTGTGTGCTATCTTGCCCTCTTCCTTGGCAAGTAGACTATAAAAAACTGTAGGCTTATAGATATTGTCTTAGTTTGGGCTGCTGTAACAAATTATCATAGACTGGGCAACATCAACAACAGACTTTTGTCATCATTTTGGAGGCTGGTGGGGGCCTGCTTCCTGGTTTGCAGATGGCTGTCTTCTCATTGTATCTTCAAATGGTTGAGAGCAGAGAAAGAAGCAGCAAACTCTCATGACCTTATTACCTCCCAAAGGCCAATGGATATATTTGCTTGTTCTATTATTCATGGTAGTACTTAGCAAAGTGTTTTCTAAGAGGCTGTCTATAAAACTTACCAAGCAGGCCTCTTCATTTTGCCCATGAACGTCTAGCCTCAGAAAGGTTGAGCGGCCTGCAAGAACTCACGTTGCTCATTAGTGAAAGACCTGGGTCTTTTGCTATATGTCTCTCGAAACTCAAGTTCATTGCCTGTTCTACTATAGTTTGTTGCCTCTCCTGCTTTCTCTGATTTACCCTCAAGCAGGTGTTTCCATTGCATATTTTAAATACTTCAGCAGCTCCAGGGTACAGATTGTGTTATATTCAACTTAGTGATCTCTGATACCCAGCACAATGCCTTATGGAGTAGATGCTCAGGATCTGATGAATTACCTTGTGAGAGCTGCATGTTTGCATACTCTTGATTTGTTGAGAAAACTAAAGTAACTTGGGGTTGCACCTCAGTGTACTGTTTATAAAAGCAAAGATTAAACTGTATACCTGATAATATGTGTGAAGTGCTGTACATGCAGAATATTTCTGAAATCCCAATTGCAAATGTTTATGCACTCAGAAAACTCCTGAAGAACTGTTGCAGTTGGCTGCAGTAGTTCAAGCTGTTATTCATTGGACAGTTTTTCTCTGCAGTATGTAAGATGTGAATTTTATATTTTGCTTCAAAATTTATGATGCAGCATAAACCAGGTTTAAAGTCTAGCTACCTTGCAAGGAGCAGCTTCCTTCTTCATGGTTGAACTCTCCAGAGTAATCCTTGGGTTGCTATTTTTGTGGTCACCTTTGTGGATTTTTTTCTCTTTCCTCATTCATGGAAAAGATCAGACCCCCTATACTTTTTATAATAAACTCTAATTTTCCAGATCATTTATCATACTTAAGAATTATAATTACCCATTTTAAAAGCTTCAGCCTAGATTGGCTAGAAAATACTTAATATTTTTATACATTATTTATCCTTTTTTTTTTCACTGAGCTGTGTTGCTTTCATTGACACCTGAATGCACTGAAACACAGATTTTATCCCTATGCCTACTTGTGATGAGAAAGTATCAGCAGATTCAGTTGCTAGGAAACAGCTGAATACTGAAATAGTTTTTTTTTTTTGGGGGGAGGGGTACTTGTAAATTCAGTTCTTTGACACGTCTACTCTCATACAGCAAAAATTTCTTTGGTCACTACAAAGAAATATGCATCACCTGTTAGTTTTCCAATTTAGAAATTTTGCACAGGGGAGCTGGGCATATGTAAATGTTACAGGGTTGATAAAGTGCTGAGAGTGTAATTTTTAACAGTGACTGGACATTGTAAAGTAATGATTATGTATATGCCTTTGAGTTTCAGTTTTCTCAAAATTTTCTGATTCATCATTAATGAGAGAAAGAGCAAGAACAAGAGAGAAACATATGCAAACACATACACATGACACATAGGAATTTAAACCAAAGTAAAATACTGTATTAATTAAACTAACTTTCTCATAGTAATAGGATTGGCCACATCCTATATTAAATTACCCAGCTCTGGATTTTTACCTGTGATGCTTAATAATTATGTGCCAGAGCAAGAATAAATGTTAAAAAGAAGTGTGTGGTTTAACTTTCTTTTATAACTGATTGCCATTTATTTTTGTCATAGTAGTATAACCTTTAAGTAACTTTTCCTGAGTACCCACTATGTGCCAGGCAAAAACATGGGAGACATAGGTATGTTTAAGCTTTCAGGGTGCCTAGTATGTGTGAGAGGTGGCAGCCAACAGATTAAATTGAGAACATATATGAGAAATTTAATTGTGTCTGGTACACAGTATATGCTTATTAAAAAATTAGAAACCTGCCTTCATCACCAGTACCACCATCATCATCATCACCAATTCTTCAACTAAAATCAGTTCAGAGTAAGCAGGGAGACATATAAACAGTCATCATCTGTGTGGTCAATGAAAAGAGAAGTCTGTACCAGGTAAAGAGGCAGCACAGAAAATAGAGTGATGGACTTGTCTGGGGATTGCAGAGAGAGCTTCAGAGATGTCAGGTCTGAGCTGGATTTTGCAAGGCTCTCTCTTAGATGTAAGCATTCCCTTGACCTTGTCTTTTTTAGGGAGTAGGGAGTGGGGAGTAAGACCACTGCTTTTTTTTTCCTTGTTAATTTTTTTAAGTTCTCTCATTTCTTCCTTGTCCATACACTTGCTGATAATGAAGCTTGACATCTATCTTCCTGCCTGCTCCATTCAGACAGATGAGTACCGTCCATGGTTTCTAATTCTGTACCTTCAATTTTCACTGCTTGTCTGTTTAATTGCACATATACATTTAGGAATTTGTCAAGGAGTACAGAATCCATCTTCTGATTTACATGTATTGAGAGTCTTGTGTCTCAGAAATGAAAATCTTAATAAGGCTTTTCCATCTTTATCCGAGTGATGGAGAGAACCCTGTGAACTTAAGTAGGCAGTATATATACTAAAATTGGAGTGGTGCAGAAAATGTTACCCAACAAGTTCTAGGAGAGTAATGTGTAAGTTCAAATAAAAAATAAAAACAAAAAATGAAAATCGTCTGAGACTAGTTGATTGGAAATAACCAAGGAATGAGAGAATTGAGAATAACAGGCTTGGTTTCCCTTAAAATTTTAAAGGGGTACTAAGAGTAGAAGGAAATGTTTTATGAGACTCTTGCTGTTTTGTATAAAATCTTATTTTTAATAATTTTATATTTTTCATGCCTACATTTTAAAAGAGAAACCTAACATACAGTTAGGAGACTTTAGAAATATCATGGAAAGTACTTATGCTCTGGTTGCGGTTGTCCCTTGTGGCACTATGATTTTGTTCATGTATAAGATTATATTTGTTGAGTTGCAAAACAGCCAGGTGAACAGTGTCATTGAGTTTACTAAATTGAGGTGTGAATAAGGTAATGATCTAGAAAACAGATAACTGAACCTGGAAAAAGATATAGAAGACAGATTACTTGCTTATAAATTTGAAACAAAAGAATGGTAAACAAGATTGGTAACCCGAATGTTATCTTCTTTAACTGTGTCATCAAAAACTCCACAGTTATAACATTGACTATTAAAGCCTAAAATAATGGAAAGGAAATGAAATAATGTTCAATCTTTGAGGAAAAATGAATATACCTCTTTGGATTTTGGCGGGGCAACTATAATCTCAAAGAAAGAGAATAACAATTTGCATTTATAATCTTTTCTTCTAAGTAGCTTAAAGTTTTGTAAGTATATTTTCATTAATCCTTTGGACTATGTTTGAATTTTGTTCAAAATATTAAGAAGGAAATAATCTGTACTTCTTGTAGATGGCTGAAAAAATGACATACTGAAAGTCACAGATTTTTTTTTCACTTAAATGGCTTCATTGTTTTATGTTTCCAGTGTGGGTTTTTTTTTTTTTTTTTTTTTTTTTGTGAAAGAAAGTTTATTAGGAAAGTAAAGGAATAAAGAATGGCTACTTTATAGGCTGAGCAGCCTCCACTGTTATTTTTTAGCACTTTGCCTAAGGAATTTATTTATCCTTCAAATACATATCATTTGCATATTGAGGGTTAGGCCTGAGGCGGTACACAGTGGCACACCCACATGGGGTGAAGAGCAGGGAGAAAAAGAGAATTTGAAACTGTGTATTTTCTCCTTCAATTTCATGTGGCATTAAATCGTTCTTTTGAGGTCAAGAGCCTCTGAACTGATTAGTTAAAGAACTGGCTTGCTGGGTGATGATGGTGGTGGTAGTGGTGGTGAAGGCAGGTTTCTAATTTTTTAATAAGCACATACTGTGTACAAGACACAATTAGATGTGTTATATGTGTTCTCAATTTAACCCTGTTGGCAATGTTATGAGATGGTTATTTGCATGAATTTTGCAGAGAGGGAAACTTGGGAAGGTTGGGTAACTTATCCAAGGTCACAGAATTCTAAGCCAGTGTACCTGTATCTGTAATTTTTATGCTCGTGATCTTTAATGATGTTACTCACCCCCTTTGTGGGAAGCAGGCACAAATATTCCTTTTTTTCCCCCACTTTGGATACGTGTTGGTGAGCATAAATGTGCCAATCATTGTGATATGGCTTCGATGAGTGGAAGAACACCAGGGCTCTTGTCTCATGCCCAATTAGATAAGATGACATGGGTGCATGTGGAGTGGTTTTAAGGAGCGGAGAGTTTAATAGGCAAGACAGAAGGGAGAAGAAAGAAGGAAGAAGCGCCCCTTTACAGAGCCAGAGGGAGAGGGGGCTCCAAAGCTGAGAGAAGAGACCCCCAGTGTGGTGGAAACCTGCCAGGTATATGAAGAGGCTGGAGGAGACAGTGTCTGATTTGCATATGGCTCAGGTGATTGGTTTGACCAGGCATGTCATTCACATAGCCACCCACATAATAAATGCTATGAGAAAGTAGATTTGCGGGGGGAGTAAATTGACAAATCAGAAGATTTTATTGTGCTTTTGTACAATAAATAGCCTTTAGCATTTAATTTCCTCCCTCCACCCCTGGCCCTGGGCAAACACTCATCTGTTTCTGTCATGATAATTTTGTTTGTTTTAGAATTCCGTGTAAATTGAATCATACACTATGTATTCTTCTGCATTTGGCTTTTGTTGATCTGCATTGTGCTTTCAACATTCATCTATGTTGTTGTTGTTTTTAGAGGTAGGGTCTTACTCTGTCACCCAAACTGGAATGCTGTGGTGAAATCATAGCTCATTGCAACCTTGATCTCCTGGCTCATGGGACCTTCCTGCCTCAACCTCCCAAGTAGCTAGGATTATAGGTGCATACCAGTACACCTGGCTAATTTGTAAAATTTTTTGTAGAGACAGGGTCTTGCTGTGTTTCCCAGACTGGTCTCAAACTCCTCCCATCTCAGCCTCATCTATATTGTTTCATGTATTGGTAATTCATTCTTCTATTCTTTTATTTTTTTAATTTAAAACATTTTTTTCCATTCTTTTTAATTGTTAGGTAGTATTCCATTGTATGAATATACCACAATTTGTTTATCTAGTCCCCAATTCAAATGTCCACTTGATGGACATTTAGATTGTTTCCAGTTCTTGGCTATTATGAATAAAACTGCTGTGAATATTTGGATAAATACTTTTTTTTTTTTTTTCGAGACAGAGTCTCGCTCTGTCGCCCAGGCTGGAGTGCACTAGCACGATCTTGGCTCACTGCAAGCTCCGCCTCTCGGGTTCACGCCATTCTTCTGCCTCGGCCTCCCAAGTAGCTGGGACTACAGGTGCCCACCACCACACCGGCTAATTTTTTTGTATTTTTAGTAGAGACAGGGTTTCACCGTGTTAGCCAGGATGGTCTCGATCTCCTGACCTTGTGATCGCCCTCCTTGGCCTCCCAAAGTGCTGGGATTACAGGTGTGAGCCACTGCTCCTGGCCTGGATAAATACTTTTAAGGAGGATTGCTGGGCTGACCAATAAATATGTTTAAAGTATGTTTAACTTTATGAGAAATTGCCAAACTATTTCCAAAGTGGATAGATATGTTCATCTCCAGTAGTGTATGTGTTCCAGTTATTCTACCACCTTGCCAAAAGTTGATATTGTCAGTTTTAAATTTTAATCATTCTAGTGGATGTATGATGATATCTCATTGTGCTTTTAATTTCCATATCTTGAATATGTGTGTGTGTTGCAAATATTTTGTCCTAGTCTGTGGTTTGCCTTTTGTCTTAACAATGTCTTTTGAATAGCAAAAGTTTTACAATTTGATTCAGTCTATTTTATCAGTTTCTTTCTTTTATGGCTTACTTTTATTAAGAAGTATTCAACTGACCCAAGAGCATGAAGAATTTTTCCTGTATTATCTTTTTGAAATTTTATAGTTTTAGCTCTTGCATTTAACTCTATGACCCATGTTTTGGTTAGGTTTTAGACATGTTGATTTTTTTTTCCTTGTTGGTTTCCTTGTTGGTTTTGGCACTATTAGTAGAAAAGACTGGGCCGGGCCTGTGGCTCACGCCTGTAATCCCAGCACTTTGGGAGCCCCAGGTGGGCAGATCACATGAGGTCAGTAGTTTGAGACCAGCCTGGTCAACATGGTGAAACCCTGTCTAAAATACTAAAAAATACAAAAAAATTAACTGGCTGTGGTGGTGGGTACCTGTAATCCCAGCTACTCAGGAGGCTGAGGCAGGAGAATTGCTTGAATCTGGGAGGCAGAGGTTGCAGTGAGCTGAGATTGCACCACTGCACTTCAGCACTCCAGCCTGGGTGACAGAGTGAAACTCCATCTCAAAAAAGAAAAAAAGAAAGAAAGAAAGAAAAGAAAAGACTTTTCTTTTTCATTGGATTCCCCATTTTTCACCTTGTAAAGAATAATTTGATCATGGGTATGTTTCTGTACTTTTTTCTGTTCCATTGATATAAATGTCTGTCCTTGTAATAGTATCACTCTGTCTTGATTATTGTAGTTTTATAATAAGTTTTGAAATTAGGTAGAGTCAGTGTTTCAATTTTGATCTTTTTCCAAAAATTGTTTTGGCTCTTCTAGGTCTTGTAACTATGCTAAACTTATTAATTTTAGTAGCCTCTTGGTAGATTATTTGGTATATTCTACATAGATGTCTATGTTGTCTGTGAATATAGTTTTATTTTTTTTCTTTCCAACTGTATGCCTTTTATTTATTTTTCTTGCCAATTACCCTGGCTAGGACCTCTGCTACGGTGTTTAATAGAAGTGATGAGAGTGTGCATTCTTGTCTTGTTCCTGAACTTAAGGATAGATACATTTGGTCTGTCACTATTAAGTGTGATATTACCTATTGGTTTTTCATAGATGGCCTTTTATCAGGTTAAGGAAGCTTCTTTCTGTTTCTCGTTTGCTTTTTTTTTTTGGTTATCAATGTGATATATCTTGGATATTTGTCCCTGTCCAAATCTCATGTTGAAATATAATCCCCAAAGCTGGAGATGGGGTCTGGTGGGAGGTGTTTGGATCATGCGGGCAGATCTCTCATGGTTGGTGATGTCTTCATGGTAATGAGTTCTCCTGAGATCTGGTCATTTAAAAGTGTGTGGCACCTATCCCCCCAACTCTCTCTCTCTTGCTCCTGCTCTCACCATGTGAAGTACCTGCTCCTGCTTGACCTTCCTCCATCGGTAAAAGCTCCCTGAGGCCTCCCTAGATGCAGATGTCGCTATGCTTCTTGTATAGCCTGCAGAACTGTAATCCAATTAAACCTCTTTTCTTATAAATTACCCAGTCTTGCCTAGGCCTAGTAGCTTATGCCTATAATCCTTGCACTTTGGGAGGCTGAGGTAGGTGGATTGCTTGAGCCCAGGAGTTTGAGACTAGTCTGGGCAACATGGTGAAACCTTGTCTCTATAAAAAGTATGATTAATGAATGTGGTGGTGCAGGCCAGTAGGCACAGCTACTTGGGAGGATCACCTGAGCCTGGAGACGTCGAGGTTGCAGTGAGCTGTGATTGCACCACTGCACTGCAGCCTGGGCCACAGAGTGAGGCCTTGACCATTTATTCATCTACTGGGTTGACAATATTGTTTAAATTTTTTAAAATCTGTGAATGTGTACTTGATTACATTGATTAAAACAATATTAAGTCAATTTTGCATTCCTGGGATAAACCTACTATGTCAAGGTATATTATCTTTTTTTATATATTACTGAATTTTTGCTTTACTGCCCATGAGGGATGTTGATCTAGACTTTTCCTTTCATGTAAGGGCTATCTGATTTTGGTATCAGGTAATGCTGACCTTGTTAATGAGTTGGGAAGTATATTCCTTCTTAAGTATGCAATTTATATAGCAGCATAGTATAAATAATACAATTTAATAATGTAATATATAGAGTTGTATAAATTGCCAACATTTTTCTCTATTTTAAAGTTTTGTCTAAAATAGATCTTAACTAGGTTTGTCTTATAAGCTGGTTTAATATTTTATAATTAAAATATTTTTAATATTAAGATTTTTTGAGAACATAGGGAAAAAGCTCTGTGGTTTTAACAAATATATAAGTATGCTAATTTTAAAACACTAAGCCTTTTTGTAGAAAATTTGGAGAGTACAAGACTGCATGAAGACAAAATCATTATGTAGATTTTATTGTTGAGATAATATGGAATTTAACATTTGGAACTCATTTTCTTAACATTCACAAGCATTTTCTCAATATTTTAATTTTTATTAACAGCATGCTTACGACTGTGTAATCTATCACATGGATTTAGAATATTTGTCTATAATATAAGTATATTTGTTTTATTTATCTAATTATTGATATTAGACTTTTACCCTGTTAGTAATTTTCTACAATCACATATAATGCTGTGATGAGCACTTCCTATGTAAGCCTCTGTTTTTATTTATGATTTGTTTCTTTAGGTAGATTTATAAATTAAATTATTGGGTCAGAGGGTCTAAATGTCTTGAAGCTCTTGATACATTTATGGAACGGCTTTTATCTATACTACTTCAGTTTGTACTTCTCCAAATGATATACGAGAAGAGCTGGTTCAACTCTTCAATTATTCAGGATTTTACAGTTAAATATCTTGGCTAACATGATGGGTAAAAGTAGCAACTTATTGCATTAATTTTCATTTCTTTAGTTACTTGGGAAAGAATTTTTTAATTTTCTTGAAAAGTTTTAGACAAGTCACTCAGAAGAGTTATGCAACAGAAATATTAAGAGGAAATAAATATATGGGAAAACAAGTTCCTGTAATAAAAGAAACAGAAATGGAAAAACAAAGGCATAAGGCTATATAAAATCTGTATGCCATGAAGAAAGATAAAGTAGTTTTAGTTTGTATTAAATAATTTCATTACCTTACTGGGAAATGGATAGAGTGATATAGAGTATAAGAACCATAGTCTTATCTTCTCCTTTCTTCGAAATGTACTAACACTTCATAAGCTTAATAAAAGAACCTCAATACTTGTAAGTTAGTTTTTTGTGGCTTCTATCATTGTTGAAAGTTTCTGGGGAGTAGCTACCTGTTAACTAAAAATAGGTATCTGGAGCATGGCAAAAGAGACCACTTCAGCCTTGCAACTATGATATTGATCCACTCAAAAGCAGTAATTTGAAAGAAGTGAAAGAAAATAGCGGTGAAGCTCAAACTATGTGAAGGTAGAAAATTTGGTCTTTACAGTAAATTTGATAGTTGTCTAACAGAAACTTAGGGGAGAAGGAAAAAATGGAGGGGAATAAATTTGAATCGAAGTGTATTTTGATGGATAAAAGAAAATGTGAATTTTTAAATATAAACTTGGTATATAACTTTTCCATAGTAGGTAAGTTTATTTATAACCTATTTGTTTCCCTAAAACATCAAGGCAGCTTATAATAAAATCCATTGACCGAAATATGTATTCCAATATCAAATGGCAAATTCCAACAATACAAAAACTGCAATTATGTTTGCACCAACCTGATAGTAAAAGAAATAGAAAATTAGAACTAATGGACAACTCATAACTCTTGAATGTCAGCATGGATGTTGTGCTTGGGCTTCACATTTGGTCATAAACATCCAGGGAGTAAAGATGAAAAGGAAGCTACTCATTTACATAGAAAGGAGGGGCTGTAGCAAATTCTGAAATATGAGACTTAAGAACTTAAGTAACTTGCTGTATTAGTTAAAATTTTACCGGAGGATATATGAATTAACATTAAAAAATCATCAAAGTGTCAAATATTCCAATATATTAATACTGTTGTAAAACATTATAGTAGACATGTGATTTGACCTCTCAACTGTGTATCCTGGGATTTATGTATTTGTCTCATCTGTGCAGTATTCAGTGAGAAGCTACTATACACTTAGCATTCTTACCAGGGCTTTGAAGAGTACAGATGCTTTAAATAGTCCCACATTAAAATTTAAGTGTTAGACAAGAAGGCAAATGAACAGCAGGAAATGCTTAAAGGTAAAGTTAGGGGTACTTGCTATGACTACATTGATGTGGACTAGGCAGAATACTTCATTTAGTTAAGTGGGAAATAAGCATTTGGTTAAGTGGGGAATAAGTCATGGTATAGGAAGAAGTTCTGTTGAGATCTGCTGTGGGAAGGATTGAGGTGCACCTGAGCTTTTTCTTTTGAATTCAGTTCAGAGCCCAAATAATATCATAATATAGAATGTTAAGAGATCCCTTTTGATATCTTCTTCAAAGGATGCACAAATGATACTTATCTGAAGAACATGAATATTTCTATGACAGTTGAGAAACATAGATCCATCTTGGTATCCCTGATGCTTACCATACTGCTTTGCATATTATACTGGTTCTATAAGTGTTTATTGAATGAACTACTTAAAAGAGAAAATGGGAGAGAGGTGTTCTCAATTTGTAAGGATAAATATTAAGTATAAAATAGAAACCTTTAAACCTGTAAAGAAAGGATTTAGTGATGAGAGTTGTTTATTTTTCTGATGTAATTATGGTGACAACTTGTTAGTATTGTTTTCACTGGAATCTTATTAATCTTAGGAAGGAAGTTTTTGTACTTACAAAATAATTCCATATATGAATCTTTTGTTACTAACCTGGTAAAGAAACACAGATTTTGAATAGCTAGATGGTAGTAGCGGATGAAACATTGCTTCTTAATTATCAGAGTTCTCTGATTGCCTTGTTTATTGCCTATCGGCCTGCTGGACTGTTATTTATTGGATATTTCTGACACAGCTAAAATTACTTTGCCTTTCTTTATGATATATATAAATTTTATAGCCTTTATGCCTTTGTTCTTTTATTTCTGTTTCTTTTACCTCAGGAACTTATTTTCCCATATATTTATTTCCGCTTAATACTTGTGTTGCATAACTTGTCTAAAAGTCTTGAAGAGACTGAAGAAGTATTTTTCAAGTAATTAAAGAAATGGAAATTAAAAGCAACTTGTTATTTGTAGAATATGTAAAAAAATGTTTCTGAAGTGCTTTCTACATATGAGGTATAGACTAGAAGTGGTTTAAGGCAGGATTTTTGATGTAAGTGACTTATATACTCTTCTACTTGACATGAACAAATAAACAGATAATTCGTATAGCATTAAAAAAATCACTCACTATCCAAGAGCTATGTCAGTTCAGAGAAGGATGGACTAGCTATAATTTGTTAAACACTAAAAGCAACACTAATTAATCTTTAAAACAAAGATAGATGTTTTATTTACTTATTCAGTCACCTTTTACTTGTTAAAGTAAGAAAAGGAATTACAGGCCTACATCGAAGATATTGCAGGTTCTGTTTGAGACTAATAGAGTGAATACTGCAATAAGGCATGCCATATAAATTTTTGTTTCCCAATGCATATAAAACTTATGTTTACAATATACTGTAGTCTATTAAGAATGCAATAGCATCTTTTAAAAAACAATGTACATACCTTAATTTAAAAGTGCTTTATTGCTAAAAAATGCTAATGATCATCTATCTGAGTCTTCAGTGAGTTGTAATCTTTTTGCTGGTGGAGGGTCTTGCCTCAATGTTGATGTCTGCTGACTAATCAGAGTGGTGATTGCTGAAGGTTGGAGTGTCTGTGGCAATATCTTAAAATAAGACAACCATTCAGTGTGCTGCATTATTTCAAAAGAATGAGAGTCTGTCCTCTCAAAGCATTCTACTATTTGATAAACTAAGTTTATATAATAATCTAACTTCTTTGTTGCCATTTCAACAATGTTCATAGCATCTTCACCAGGAGTAGAATCTATCTCAAGAAACCACTTTCTTTGCTCATCCATGGGAAGCAACTCCACATCCTTTAAAGTTTCATCACCAGATTGCAGCTGTTTAGTCCCATCTTCAGGCTCCACTTCTAATTCGAGTTCTCTTGTGATTTCCACCACATTTGCAGTGAACTTCCTCCATTGAAGACTTGAACCCCTCAAAGTCAACCATGAGAGTTGGAATCAACTTCTATATCCCGGTTAATGTTGGTATTTCCTCTCCCATGAATCACAAATGTTCTTAATGGCATCTAGATTGGTGAATCGTTTCAGAAAGTTTTCCACTTACTTTGCTCAGATCCATCAGAGGAATCACTATCTATAGTAGCTCTAGTCTTACAAAATGTATTTCTTAAATAATAAGATGTGAAAGTTAAAATATTCCTGATCCATGGGCAGCAGAATGGATATTGTGTTAGCAGATATGAAGACATTAATCTCCTTGTACATCTCTATCAGAGCTCTTCAGTGACCAGGTGCATTGCCAACAAGCAGTAATATTTTGAAAGGAAACTTGTTCTGAGCAGTGGGTCTCAACAGCGGGCTTAAAATATTCAGTAAACTATGCTGTAAACGTATGTGCTATTATTTAGACATTATTGTTCCATTTCTAGAGCACAAGCAGAGTGCATTTGGCCTAATTCTTAAGGGCCCTAGGATTTTCAGAATGGTAAATGAGCTTTGGCTTCCACTTAAAGTCACCAGCTGCATTAGCCCCTAACAAGGGAGTGAGCCTGTGCTTTGAAGCTTTGAAGCCAGGCTTTGACTTCTCTCTAGCTATGAAAGTCCTATATGGCATCTTCTTCCAGTATTAGGCGGTTTCATCTACATTAAAAAGCTGTTGTTTAGTGTAGCCACCTAAACAACAGCTTTTTCATGATCTTAGCTAGATATTCTGGATAACTTGCTGCAGCTTCTGAAGCTCTTGCTGCTTCACCTTGCACTTTTATGTTATAGAGATGGCTGCTCTCCTTAAACCTCATGGACCCACCTCTGCTAGACTCCAACTTTTCTTCCGCAGCTTCCCCACCTTTCTCAGCCTTTATAGAATTGAAGAGAGTTAGGGGCTTGCTCTGGATTAGGCTTAAGTTTAACGGAATGTTGTGGTACATCCAGACCATTAAAACTTTCTTTATATTGGTAATAAGGCTGCTTCACTTCACTTTCTTCTTTTTTTCTTTTCTTTTTTTTTGAGACAGAGTCTTGCTCTGTCACTCAGGCTGGAGTGCAATGGCGCATTTTCAGCTCATTGCAGTCTCCGCCTCCTGGGTTCAAGCAATTCTCCTGCTTCAGCCTCCTGAGTAGCTGGGATTACAGGCATGCACCACCATACCCGGCTAATTTTTGTATTTTTAGCAGAGACGGGGTTTCACCATGTTGGTCGGGCTAGCCTCGAACTCCTGACCTCAGGTGATCCACCTGCCTCAGCCTCCCAAAGTGCTGGGATTACAGGCGTGAGCCAGCATGCCTGGCCTTCACTTTCATATCATTTATGTGTTAACTGGATTAGCACTTTGAATTTCCTTCAGGAACTTTTCCTTTGCATTTACGACTTTGCTCACTGTATGGCACATGAGGCCTAGCTTTCAACCTATCTCCATTTTTGATATACCTTTCTCACTAAGCTTAGTCACTTCTAGCATTTGATTTAAAGTGAGAGAGGTGAGAAACTTCCTTTCACGTCAATACTTAAAGGCCATTGTGAGTTACTAATTTCGATATTATTGTTTCTCAGAGAATAGGGAAGCTCTAAGGACAGGAGAGAGACAAGGGAATGGCTGGTTGGTGAAATAGCCACAAGACACACAATATTTCCTGATGAAGCCCATCTTATAGGGGCATAGTTGATGGTGCCCCAAAACAATTACATTAGTAACATCAGAGATCACTGATCATAGATCACCATAACAGATATGATAATAATGAAAAAGTTTGAGTTATTGCAAGAATTACCAAAATGTGACACAGAAACATGAAGTGAGCACATGCTATTGGAAAAATGCAGCCCATTGTCTATCTCAATGCAGGGTTGCCACAGACCTTCAAATTGTGTTCAGTTTTAACACAATTTGAAGTGCAGTAAAGTGAAACATGGTGAAATGAGGTATGCTTGCATGCTTTTCTCTTCTTTTGGCAAGTATGTGTGCAGCCATCTAGATCCTTGCTAATCAATTAGAGCACAAAGATTAAAATCATTTAACAGGAATATATCCTAATTGCAAATATGTGAATACTTATAGCCAGAAAGTTTCTTTAACGCAGCTCTGAGGAAAATTGTATTGTAAAATAAATGCTTTAAAAAATGCCTCAACAAACAAGAGAGAATAGGAGGTACTTATAAATAAGAAGGCTTAAAAATGGCCATGTAAAAATGCTATGACAGTAAGAGTAAATGGAGAAAATAAGCAGAGGACCACAAAATGTAGGGGAGATTTTAGGGAGGAAACGCAAATAGAACAAAGTTTATTTTGGTCAAAAGGAGGTTTTAAAAAAAGAATCCTAGAGCCGAATTAAAAAGATATAGGATGAATAAAGATTAAGCTTAGAAGTAGTGATGGGATAATGTAATGTTTCCTATGTGTGTGTGTGTGTGTGTGTTTTTTTTTGTTTTTTTTTTTTAACGGATTCTCACTCTGTTGCCAGGCTGGAGTGCAGTGGCATAATCTCGGCTCACTGCAACCTCTGCCTCCCAGGTTCAAGCGATTCTCCTGCCTCAGCCTTCCGAGTAGCTGGGACTATAGGCGCGTGCCACCACGCCCAGCTAATTTTTTTTTGATATTTTTAGTAGAGATGGGGTTTCACCATGTTGGCCAGGATGGTCTTGATCTCTTGACCTCGTGATCCACCCTCCTCAGCCTCCCAAAGTGCTGGGATTACAAGCATGAACCACTGTGCCCGGCCTGTTTCCTATATTTTTATATTCTTATTAATTCATTAAATATTTCGTGATCGCCTCCTCAGTCCACAGTCTGTATAGAGGGACTTAGGAAATAGTTTTCATGTTTTACTTTTGTCATGCCAGTCAGAAACTAGATTAATTATTTGCTTGCCAAACCTGATTATCTTTTGTATTGCTACTCACATTTCATTGTGTAAAAGGGGTGAGGCTGATGGACAAATTGTAGGTCTCCTTTCTTCTAGGAATGTACTTTAGAATACTGAGATTTAATTATTTTGGGGTACATTTTCCATAGTGCTTTCTGTATTTACTTTTACTTTATTGAGTTGTTCAGAGAATTAAGTATTTAATGTGAATTTTATATGCATGTGTGATTGTAGTGGTGATGGTACAAGGGGAACTTTGGTGTAGAAGAATTTGTTAGGATGCTCTTGCAATATTCATGTAAGAAGTTATGAAGACCCAGACTGGAATGGTGACAGTGAGGATAGGAGGGAGGGATGAGTGTGAGAGATGTGCCCTAGGATCTTGGTGGCCATTGATGGGGAATGACTGGTTCTGCAGAATGGGGTGGTTAGACTTTGGGGAGTTGCCATCCATATCCTAGAATTCAAAGGGTATGTTGAACTTAGGCTTATTCTAGGTTGGTTTTGGTGTCCAATAGGGTTCACTTTGGTGTATGGGATACAGTGACAAAAGTTTCTTGTTATTTCCAATTTATAAAGCCTGTAATGGCATTGAGGAGGTTTTTGGTGGTCTGTACTGTGTGGAGGAGGAACCAGCTATGACAAAGGGTGGGAGTATTTACTGGTCTTAGGAACAAGGTGCGGTTTCCTAGGGCATAGTGGCTGGCATCATGCAGGCAGGGAATTTGGACTCCAGCCAAATACTCTGAGCTAGAGACTGGGTCCAGTTCCAGCAATTCTGTTAATATATATTTACCAAACTCTGGTATGATTTTGTATGAATTTATTATAGGATTGGAGATGAGAGCAGGAGGGAGGGGTAGTATGTAGTAGTGGTTGCATTCATATTTAACCCTCGGTTTTTGAATAAAGTCTTACATTTGGGAATTTTTTTTTAATAAATAAAATGTCTTGCTAATGTAAGTGTTACTCCCACCAATATAGAAGACAGCACTCAAATTCTCATTCTCTTTTGTAACCAGATCATAAGCATATGACTTATACTTCGTTGATTACACTCACCTCTCACAGGACTTTGATTTGGAACTGAGGAAACCGAACAGGACTTTGATTTGGAACTGAGGAAACAGAATCTTCATCGAGCTTTTTGTGTTTGGTGGTGGCAGTGGTGGATGTGAGCAGAGACTTTCTGCCTTTGGCAGTGGTGGATGTGAGCAGAGACTTTCTGCCTTTGGTGGCAGCGGTGTCTTTTTGGTAGTTGCTAGATTGATTTCCCACAGTGGGAGTGGTTTTCTTTAGTACTCTGTTTACAGCTTCGTAAAAAGACTTTATCAAATTTGGGAAACTCTTATATTAAGGAGATTACCATTAAATCAAAGCAATGCCTTAAAAACACAATACTGGTCTGTAATTTAAGGAGGATCATATTTATATAAGAAGAATACATTAAAAAGACATTGAGTTGGATAATTTAAATGGAAGAGATTAGAATGTGCATTTTTGACATCAGTTATTCCACCTGAAGCTAGAAATATTTTTTGATCAGCAAAGTCATTACAAATAAGTTATATTGGTCTTAATGTAATTTGCATAATTTGAGACAACTAAAATATATTAATTATTAAATGAACCAATAACTGTCACTTTAGAGCTTTTATATATATGCAAATAAATACTGCTCAACTAAAATAACTCAAGAAAAACCTTGCTAGTGTTCCCTTAAGTGTAGGATAGAGGAATACCAAATGAATGAATAAATGAATAAATAAACATGTGTACACATATATTTTATCTTGGTTAAATAGATAACTGTGAAATATTATACTTAAGAATAGCTTTGACTTTTCAAGTTTTTCTCGCTTAAAATACGTTCTGTGTCTATCTAGTTTTTATTATGCAACATGTATTTAAATTATATTTTCATTTCTTTTCCTTTTTGAACAAATAATTAGGATTTATTTGATTTAGATTCTAAACACATTTTTTAGTGGAATTATTATTATTATTATTATTATTATTTTTGAGACGGAGTCTCGCTCTGTCGCCCAGGCTGGAGTGCAGTGGCGCAATCTCGGCTCACTGCAACCTCCACCTCCTGTGTTCAGCCTCCCAAGTAACTGGGACTACAGGCACACATCACGCCCAGCTAATTTTTGTATTTTTAGTAGAGATGGGGTTTCACCATGTTGGCCAGGATGGTCTCGATCTCTTGACCTTGTGATCTGCCCACCTTGGCCTCCTAAAGTGCTAGGATTACAGGCATGAGCCACCACACCCTGCCAATGGAATTATTTTAAATTATTCATAGTATGGTCTAATTTATAACAACATTAGATATTTGAAATGTTACTCAAAGATTAGAAATCTCCACCAAGCATAGGAAACATTTGGTCAACATAATTTTAATGGCCTTTTTAGAGACTGTAGTAATAATCCTCAGAAGCCAGAAATGACTAATAGTCTGAGTAATGATGAGAGTCATTCTAGGAATAGAATTAGAAGGTACTTACAGGAGGCCAGAGATCTGAGGGACAGAGGTTGGTGGAGACAACGGTAATCACACCTCTCAGATATAGTGTACCTTTTTATTAATTCATTTTTTTCTTAGTGGTCAGTTGAAGTATGGTAAAAATAGATGGAAACTCAGAATTTCAGGGTCTTTTACTCAAATATAGGCCTGTGTATGCACGGAAGAGACCCTGAACGTAGACTTCAGAAGCATTATCAATTTCTATTTTAAAAGTTAAGTATATGTGGACAGCTAATAACTCAGCATTTCTTTTCACATAAAGAAATATTTTAATTCAAATATGACAATTGAAGATGGAAAGTAACTCATGTAGTGTCTACTCATATATACTTTACATATAATAATCTGCACAGATTTTAAATACACAAGTCTCTAATATTTGGCTAAAGTATACACTCATCATGTAAGTATTATGCCAAATGAGATAAGGAACATTCCCACCTTCCCAAATATAACCTTGTGCTTTTTGTAACCATTCATCTCAAACTCTCCGTCCCAAGCAACCACTGAGTGATTTTGAATATTATAGATTAGTTTTGCCTATTTTAGAGTTTTATCTAAGTAGACTCACATAGTATGTACTTTTTTGTGTCTGGTTTCTTTTTCTCAGCCAGATTTCTGTTTGTGTCATTATTTGTTCTGTTTTATTTCTTTTTATTTAGGATCAGTATTCAAGTGTTCAAGAATCCCAAAGTGAGGAAAAGATTTGAACAGACATTTTACAAAGGCAGATATACTAATGCCCTTAAGTGTGTGAAAAAGGATGATCAGTATTGCTAGTCATCGAGGAAATGCAAATTAAAGCCACAGTGAGATACAGCAGTACACCCACTTGAATGGCTAAAATTTAAAAACTGGTAAAACCAGGTGTTGGGGACCAAGTTGTATTCTCATGCATTGCCATTGAGGGGTGTACATAAGACTTGTTCATGATTATTCATAGCAGCTTTATTCATAATAGCCACAAATTAGAATCACATGAAATGTTTCTCAACAGGTGATTAGATAAATACATTTTGATATAGTTTTGATTTTGTTCTTCTACCTGAGGTTTATCTTTGGCTAAAGTCGAAATGTGTAAAATTTTCCAAAATTTTGATAGGGAAAGATTATTGAAATAAATAGCCAGGTCTTTGTTAAGCCAAAGCTATGATAGAATCCTATTTCATATAATTAATACATTAAAAAGCAGGAAATTTCTGCGTTGTGTTTGTGATCTAGAGTAAGCTAGTAGAATGTGATTGAAAATGTTGTCCAGCTATATTTTCGGCTTGTGTGAAAATGGCTGCCAAGTGAAATTTCTCCTCTTCTTTTTTATAACTGAATTATCTAGAAAATGGAATGAACTTCTTTATCATCCTGGCAGAAATTGGCGAAAACTATAAAGCAGTTTGTTTTAATTCATCCTGTATTTTTTCAGTCTTAGTTTTTGTGTTGCAGGTTTTCATATTTTCCAGATTTCATAAGTATTTAATGAGATTTTGGGAACGGATTTGTTAAAAACTATTAGTCAAATTGTAATTTAAACCAAAAAACTTCTTTGGAATTGTATTTTAACTGGGTTATTCAATTCTTTTTTCTTTGAGACTTGTTGTTGCTCTGTTGCTCAGGCTGGAGTGCAGTGGCCCGATCTCAGCTCACTTCAACCTCCGTCTCCTGGGTTCAAGCTATTCTTTTGCCTCAGCCTCCCTAGTAGCTGGGATTCCAGGTCGTGCGCCACCAAGCCCAGCAAATTTTTGTATTTTAGTGAGGACGGAGTTTCACCATGTTGGCCAGGCTGGTCTCCAACTCCTGACCTCAAGCAATCCAGGTACCTCAGCCTCCCAAAGTGCTGGGATTACAGGTGTGAGCCACCATGCCCAGGCTGGTTATTCAATTATTAACAGCATCACATAGCAAATTTTTATCAGTGTCATTTGTATTATAGTGATAATTTTTTGGGGGGGAGATTGTTGTTTATTTATAAATGAGATTAAACTCTATGAATATGTTAAGGATGATGAATTAAGGGACCTGTCAGGAATACTTTCTGAGATGGCAGAAAATTGGTGAGATCAGAAGTCAGAATTCTTGAATCCTTTATGTATAGTTTGTATATTGTAATGCTGCTTTTCCTTGAAATAAGAATACTGTAAATTTGAACCTTATTCTTATAAATGCAACTTGGAGGATTAACTGCAAGTTTCAAGCTGTTTCAAATTAATTTAAATTTGCATGGAAAACTCACATGGTGATTATTTCCTAAGGGGACTCTAGGAATCCTGTGGCTACATTTAGACAGGAGAGAAGCTAGGTTAAAAACTGACTTAAAAAAAAAATTGCAGTAGAATTATGGCAGGCTTAATTTTAAACATTTAGAATTGACATTTTTTAATTTAAATACCCAAGGTTTATTTTTACCCTGGAAAGTGTTTTTTTTTTTTTGGTTTTTTAAATTTATACATACAAGAAATGTGTTAAACCTGTCATTGTCTTATTGCGGCAGTGTAATCATTTTTGAGGTAACTCTGCAGTAAATTGATTATGAATCAATATCAAGTTGTAAAGTTGTTTGCTTTTCCCCTCACCATCTTACATCCTTGTTTCCAAAAGTAAATCAAGGGAGATTAAAACTAACAAACAGACATTAGTGTGAAATTGCTGTTAAGATCCAAGACTATATATTCAACGTAGATTATTCAAATCCTCATGTAAATATACTTGAAGAAAGAAGTAATAAAACTATTGATAATCTTTGCCTAAAACCCTGTTTCACAAATATTTTTCAGTAGGGCTCCCTATTCAAGTTTTCTCAAACCATTGACAGCATACCTACAAGTACTGTGGTGTGGGACATGAGTGTTTGGGTTAGGGGACAACCTGATAATATAATTGTTTCTTTTGATGGGGAGTTATGAAGGGAGGGCATTGTGCTTGTTGCATAACCTCTAAATATGGTTCTCTAGGCTTCCCTAGAGATTCTATGAGCTATAAAGAGATATTTAAAAACTTTTTATTTGGAAATGATTTTAGACTCACATTTACAAAAATAGTAGAGAGTTTCATTTGTACCTCCCATTCAGCTTTCCTTAATAATATCTTATATAACCATGGTATTAGTGTTAACTAAACTACAGACCTTATTCATATTTCACCAGTTTTAACATGCATTATTTGTATGTGTGTATGTATTCTATGAACCTTTACCACATGTATGGATACTTGTAATCACCACCACAATCAGGGTATAGAACTTTCTCATCATCCAAGAGAAACTTTTTCATGCTACTCCTTTATACCATCTCTGCAACCTTGGCAACCATAATCTGTTCTTCATCACTATAATTTTGCCATATTGAGAATGTTATATAAATGGAATCATACTGTTGTTAAAGAAAAAACTTATTTAAACTCTTGTTAAAGACAGTAAGACCAGACTTAATTCACTACTCCATTGAGGTTTTGCCCTACGGGAGGGAGATTGGGCTCAACTCAGAATATAACAAGGACAAGTGGATATTTATAGCCAAGGAGCAGGGTGGGAGTCAGTGGATGGAAAATTACTAAGATAAAACATCAAGGCTGGAGGGACTCTTGCTAGACCAACTCAACAGGATTCTTGCTGAAGACAGGCCAGGGTGATAAATTATTGAGAATGGAGGATTTCCAGTAAACTGACTTATTAGCAGGATTCTTGCTGACATTGGACTAAGTGGACCAAGGACAGAACCCAAGGTCAAGGCCCAGTCAGAAAGAGGACCCAGAGGAGCCTGACTCAAGTTTGATAAAGGAGTCTTTATCAGTCTTATGGGCTGAATTGTGACCCTCCAACATTTATATGTTGAAGCCCTAACTTCCTGTACTTCAGAATGTGACCACATTTGGAGATAGGGCCTTTAAAGAGACAATTAAGTTAAAACGAGGCTTTTAGGGTGGGCCCTAATACAATCTGATTGGCCCTAATACAGTCTGATTGTTGTCCCATAAAGGAAATTGGGAGACAGAGACAGGAGGGCTGTGAGAACAGAGGAAAGACCCTGTGAGGTTGTAGTGAGAAGGCAGCTGTCTTATTCTGGTTGGGCTGCTATAACAAAAATTTCATAAACTTGAGTGGCTTAATCCTGGCCATTTTAATAGGCATATCTAATAATGTTGGTATCTCATCACGGCTTTAATTTGCAATTCCCCAATGGCTAGTGCTGTTGAACATCTTTTCATTTGCTTATTTTCCAATCCCTATATTCTCACTAGTTGAGTAATTGTCTCTTATTTTAGTTCAGATGTAGAACATTGCCAGCCTGGAGTCAAGTCTAGGAAGTTGAAATTGGGGATGGGGGATAAAGGGCATTTGGTATTAGCAGAGAGGTGGGATACTTTAGGGACTGTGAATTGTTAGTTCAGTCACAATCAAATAGCCCTTTGAATTTAGTTCTGAAATTGGGGTCTGTCCTTGGGGTTATGCGTTTTGTGCCATGTTAAGAAAAATCAGTGCTTGAGTGAGATATGTATTTTGCTAGAGACTGTTAAAATATATGAATGTTATTCTGAAGGGAATAGGTGAACTAATTGCTACCCCTTTACATACTTGCTCATAGCATTAAGTAGCTAGTAAAAAACCAGAATCCAGAAGACATTGGATTAAAGGCTGCCTATAAATAAGATATGGAAAACTAAAGTAATTTTGTATGAAATGTTAGCTTTGTATAGGAGTTTCTTTCTTTGTGTTTTTTTTTTTTTTTTTTTTTTTTTTTTGAGTTGGAGTCTCACTCTGTTGCCCAGGCTGGAGTGCAGTGGCGCAATCTCAGCTCACTGCAACCTCTACCTCCCAGGTTCAAGTGATTCTCCTGCCTCAGCCTCCCGAGTAGCTGGGACTACAGGTGCCCACCACCACGCCCAGCTCTTTTTATATTTTTGTGTTTTTAATAGAGATGAGGTTTCACTATGTTGGCCAGGCTGGTCTCGAACTACTGACCTCAGGCAATCTGCCCACCTTGGCCTCCCAAAGTGCTGGGATTACAGGTGTCAGTCACTGTGCCTGGGCAGGAGTTTCTTAAATCTTGAAAAGCTACTGTTGATAGAAGCAAATGAGGCTAAAAGACCAAGAAAATAAATCTCTTAATATAAGTTTTGTAGATTCTTTGGATAATTTTTAAGTGTATCCTCTGTTGACTTCAGGCATTTACTTCAAATAATCTTATCTTAGTTTTAATGGGACTGATTGTAGAACATCAAAACAGAAAAGCTTTTGCATGTTTTTGAAGATCTATTATCCTTTCATATCAGATTGCTTTTTCATATAGCATTCATAACTGGATTTTAGGTTATATAATTTTAGGGAGAGTTTAAGAGTGAACGTGTACACACACACACACACACACACACACAATCTTTGTTGTGTCCCTTTTCATTTTTCTTTGGGTTTGACATTTCTTCTCATCTGTTTTATTGCCTCTTTTTTTTAATGTGTACAAATAGAGATTTGTACAATTCTTAGGTTTCTGATATATGTAGCACAATGGAAAGCACACTCAGAGAAGCATTGCCATTTCTCAGGTGGTCACATAGCCTAACTATCTGTCCCCAATTTAGATAACAACTGTGAACTACCTCAGTTCTGATTTCAGTGTCCTGACGTGCTTTTAAAGAAAATTTGGAGTCTGGGCACAGTGGCTCACACCTGTAATCCCAACACTTCAGGAGGCAAAGGTGGGAGGATCACTTGATCCCAGGAGTTTGAGACCAGCCTGGGCAATAAAGTGAGACCTCCATCTCTCCTACAAAAAAATTAAACAATTAGCCAGGCCTGGAGGTGCACCCGGCTACTTGGGGGGCTGAGGTAAGAGGATTGCCTTAGCCCAGGATTCGAGGCTACAGTGAGCAATGATAGTGTCACTGCATGCCAGCCTGGTCGACAGAGAAAGACCCTGCCTTTAAAAAAAAAAAAAGTGATTTGTTTTGTTTGAGCAGTTCATTTTTGAGAGATAAACCTAGGGATTGTAAGTCATCATGCACCTAATGATACTTTCATAGAAAAGCTGTTAAATGTATGCTGATATTGTGGCTTAGGTCTAGTTTTGATAACTTCACTTTGTTTACCTTATCTCTCTTCCTTCACTAATGAAGATAACATTGTTTCATTCTTATGAGATTCCTGTGTATGTGTGTGTATGTTTTATTTCTGTATATATTTTGGACTTAATAAAATTGCATGGGTAGTTGTGGCTGAAAGGGAGTGAGACTGAAGCACTCTTCTTAGATCACTGCAGCATTTGGGTCTAACGTAGGTATTTTAGGATATTAAAAACATTAATTTTCTTCCTCAATATGAATGTATTCTAAGCCAAGTAATATGTTATCACCAATTTAGCCTTTTTGCAAATAAGATGAATGAAATACTGGCATTTGAGGTTTCTTTTTGTTTGTGACAGAGGAGGAAGTAAGATTATAAATTTGCCAACAATTGGACTAAATGAAGTTGGAAGTAAAGTGAGAAAACCTTCCATTTTTTGGGGGAGGTGGGTAAGTTATATAATTGCTTTCATGAAAGGAATTTGTTTAGATTCTACTGAAAATGGCAAAGGAGGAAATTTCAAAACTTAGGATATGTATGTGGAAATACTAAGAATTGTATTCATATTTTTCTGCGGAGTCAGAAGACTGAAGGGCATTGAATGAGAAATATGTGATTTTCAACTATTTTAGAGTCACAAACCTTATAAGCAATAATGAATTGGACTCCCATTGGTAGTCCTGAACACTGGGGA
This sequence comes from Homo sapiens, assembly GCF_000001405.40. Taxonomy (NCBI): domain Eukaryota; kingdom Metazoa; phylum Chordata; class Mammalia; order Primates; family Hominidae; genus Homo; species Homo sapiens. The sequence goes on from NC_000006.12 coordinate 60,329,630, forward strand.
GTGTTCATGAGTGTTGTTATGATAAACAGATTTATTTTCCCGAAAATGGACATTTTCTCTATAGATTATTTTCTTTTATTTAATTAAATTGCATATGCCCCGGGAGTCTCATGGGTATGTACACACTTAATAAATATTATTTTTTGGTTTGGTTTTGAAATTGGAACAAAGTGCTTGCTACTTAAGATTCTCTCTTTCTTGTCACTGCAGTGTTAATAGAACATAATTACACACCTTATATAAAAACTTGGTGTATTAGTCCATTCTTGCATTGCTATAAGGAAATACTCGAGACTGGGTAATTTATAAAGAAAAGAGGTTTAATTGGCTCATGGTTCCACAGGCTGTACAGGAAGCGTGGCAACATCTGCTTCTGGAGAGGCATCAGGGAGCTTTTACTCATGGCAGAAGGCAAAACAGGAGTAGGTGTCTTACATGGCAGGAGCAGGAGCAAGGAGAGCGGCAGGCACTGGACAACTAGATCTCAAGAAAACTCAGTCACTGTTACAAGAGCAGCGCCAAGGGCATTGTGGTAAACCATTCATGAGAAATCCACTCGCATGACCCAGTGACCTCTCACCAGGTCTCACCTCCAACAATGGGGACTACAGTTTGGCATGAGAGTTGATAGGGACGCAGATCCAAATCATATCCCTAGGTATTCTATTTTGCTTAGAGACTATCATTATTTCTCCCTACCTTTATTCACTCATTCTTTGTCATCTTCCATTACTCTGTTTTCACCTGGTGGGCTCTCTATGTGCTCCTGCTCAAACTTTCTCTCCTACTTTTTACTTAGCACAGAGCTGAGGTGACAGAGGTAAAATCATAGAGTGACACAGGAACAAAAAGTTTTTTTGAGGAGGGAGTAAGACCTAGATTTCATTTTCAGTATAGAATTTTACGAGATAAAGTGATTGAGAGATTATCTGTACATTAACAACTAACAAAGATCCTTGGGAAGGCTTTTTTTTTTTTTTTTTTTTTTTTTTTTTTTTTTTAGACAGGGCCTTACTCTGTCATTCAGGCTGGAGTGCAAAGGTGCGATCTTGGCTCACTGCATCCTTGAACTCCTGGGCTCAAGCGTTCCTCCTACCTAGCCTCTCGAGTAGCTAGGACGAAAGGCAGGTAGCACCATGCCTGGCTAATTTTTGTATATTTGGTAGGGATGGGGTTTCACCATGTTGCCCAGGCTAGTTTTGAACTCAAGTGATCTGCCTGCCTTAGCTTCCCCAAATGCTGGAATTACAGGCATGAGCCACTCTGCCTGGACAGGAAAGATTTTAAAGTACATTCTTTCCCTGAATCCTACTCCATAGTTACATGGTTATTGGTCACTGAAAGAGGAAGTTAAATTTTTCCCAACAACATTTTAAAATTATGGTTTAAAAAATCAGTTTTCAACTTTGAAACATTTTCTGTGTAGTCTTTTGTTTAAAAGAATCAACTAAAAATCCATTAGATATTTTTCTCAAATATATAATTTGTTCTTTTAGATTTTTTTTAAAACCTCATGAATGTAAAATTCACTTTTTAATATTGTATCTGTGATGAGTTTTCTCTGCAACAATGTTCAGCTTTACAAATTCTGCTACTTTAAAACAAAACATACTTCAAGGAGTTGTTACTGTTTGTGGCTGGGTTTACATACTCTTGAATCTGAGGGACTGTTATGAAAGGAAATGAAAAGATGGAAAATTGTTGCTAAAAATAATATATAGGAAGCGCTTTACTGGCTCTTACATCTTCGATAAAGAGGTGATGACTTCTGAAATGGCCAGCTTTGATGAATGTGATTATACTTTAAAATTAAGGTATTTTAGAAATCATCTCAAATCTGAATATTGGTACATAAGAAGTTATATTACCTAAGCATTAAGGGAAATGGAATACATTTAAACACTCTTGGAAAGACTTAGTTTAAAAAGATCAATTTCTGAAACTTGGAGAATTTTATGGAGTCTGTTTAAAGACAATGTTCATTTACGTGGGCAGAAAACCATACTATCTCCAGGGGGAGGGTGTTCCCTGTTTCTCTAGGTTTATTCCCCAAGTTTATGAATTGTGCATCTAGTTTTCGGCTTTTATTTTATTTATTTATTTATTTTTTTGTTTGGGGAAATGGAGTCTCTCTCTTGTGCCCAGGCTGGAGTGCAGTAGTGTGATCTCGGCTCACTGCAACCTCCGCCTCCGGGGTTCAAGCGATTCTCCTGCCTCAGCCTCCTGAGTAGCTGCCATGTTGGCCAGGCTGGTCTAGAACTCCTAACCTCAAGTGATCCGCCCACCTCGGCCTCCCAAAGTGTTGGGATTACAGAGTGGGCCACCGTGCCTGTCCTAGTGTTTGAGCTTTTTAAGGAAATGTTGCATCTTAGGATAGAAATCATTTAGTCACTATTGGGTTTTTGAGGAGTTCAGCAGTCATAACTTGGATTTATTACATTGTTTAGATGAAACTCTTTATTATTTAAAAACATTTTTAGTCATGGTCACTTTGGCTTTGGGTTTGTGGTTGAAGACTTTAGATATTTTGTCTTTTTAGTGGAATTGGCAGTATTGTATAGGAAAACTTAAATATGCATTTTACCTTTTTTATTTAATTGAATCTAACCTTGGAAAACCTTTCTGTTTCTGAGAGTTCTCTGTATTCTGGCCAGTAGTTTGAATTATTTTACTACCTTTGCTCTGTGTTGAGAGGGTTGGACTGTCATGAGCTTTGAGTAGAGGTACTCTGTTTTTTTTTTTTTTTTTTTTGAGACAGAGTCTTGCTCTGTCACCCAGGCTGGAGTGTAGTGCCACCATGACGGCTCACTGCAACCTTTGCCTTCTGGGTTCTAGCAATTCTCCTGCCTCAGCCTCCCGAGTAGCTGAGATTACAGGCACCTGCCACCACGCCCAGCTACTTTTTGTATTTTAGTAGAGATGGGGTTTTGCCATGTTGGTCAGGCTGGTCTCAAACTTCTGACCTCAAGCAATCCACCCTCCTTGGCCTCCAGAAGTGCTGGTATTACAGGCCTGAGCCACCGTGCCTGGCCGAGGTGTTCTTTTTTAATGTTAAACTTAGGTAAAATATGTTATTTCAGATTATGTAAAATATGTTTAAAGCACATGCCCAAATTTTAATTTTCATGCATCAAAAACACTGAAATTGACATCCTGAATTTTTTGAAGCATTTCAATAAGGCTAATAATTAGATTATTAATTCAAAATTCAGGCTTACTTCCTGAATTAATTTAAAGTGTAAGACTTTGGAGTGGTTACTGCTCATTTAAAAATATTTTAAATTACATGTATATGCATATAAATAAATATTTGTTTGCGTTTTTCTGTTGACTAGAGTAATATATGTTCTTTTTGGAAATTTCAGAAGATACAGAAAAGTACCAATAAGAAAATTAAAACTATTGAGAATCCCATCATGTAGAAGTAACCACCATTTACATTCTGGCAAATAAGCTGTTCATTACCTTTTCTAGCTCAAATTGTATTATATTTTATTTTTAGGAGGACCTTTTATTTTTTTCTTTTCCTTTTTTCCCCCAGACACCAGTGTTACTTGCCAACAGGAAGACATTTTAAATCCACATTTTCTTTCTGTTTATTTATTTTTATTTTTTATTTCTTTTCAAGACAGAGTCTTGCTCTGTCGCTTAGGCTGCAGTGTTATAGTGTGATCATAGCTCCTTGTAACCTTGAGTTCCTGGGCTCAAGCATACATCCACATTTTCAACCAAGAATCCTGTAAACAGTCTTGATTATTTGTTGAGAGCAAGAGAGAAATATATTAAAAAGAATTAGAAGTTAATACGTGGTTTAGGATCATATTCCTCTCTAATTTCCTCTTTTGAGAAAGTAATTGTAGTTGTTTGTAGATAGCTGATTAACTTTGAAGCATATACATATATTCCTCTGTGCCCATGACTCAAGAGTTTTCTTTGGGTTTCAAGCTCTGCAGTATTCTGACTAACCCAGTCTTCATGAAATCTTTTGACTTTGAGGGAATACCTTTGACTTTTGACTGGCAGCACTGTGAACCATTCCATCAGCTAACAAGGTTTTACAGTAACTGTCTGTTGACCAAATTAAATTGCTTCCCAGGAGTCTTGTTTGTTCTCTGTGAAGCTGTCTCTGTCTAAATCTTTTCCTTATAGAAATTCCTACAGACAAATCTTGAAGTAAGACCTTTACGTTTGCCATTTAAACAGCAAAATTCAAACAATGCCCTGGTGCAAAATAAGTATAGCAGAACAGAAATTATGCTGATTTGGCATAAACAGTATCAGATCCTCTCATTGAACCATCATGAATGTCTGCATCTCTGACTTAGCAACTGTGAAAGCTATTGAATTATAGGTTACTATTTATTGCTTGCTGAAGTCAAATGCATTGTTTGTCATTTAATAAGAGTAAGTGACGTTGTGCTGATTGTAGCTAGATAGGTCGCATTGCTCATCAATGTATGAATGTGTATAGGTTGTTCACAACTCTGCATTCTTTCATTCAAGCATAATTTAAAGAGAAGCCCAATCAAGAAGATAACCCCCTTTCTAGCTGCCAGAGCTGTAGCTCTCTTGTCTATGACTTGTTCATTCTGCCAGACTTAATGGTTCAGACCTTTTTTCCCCCCTAGCTTTTTCGAGCTTACCAGGGAAATTGTAATAAATTCAGTGGGAGGAAATGAGCCAGTACATTAAAATTTTTCTTTTTTTTCTTTTTATTTACTTTTTCATACTGAAAATAATGTTTTTTTTCCTAAGGGAGGCAATAGCATGTGATAGTATGTAAATGGTTTTGGTTTTCATCAACTTTTTTTTTGAACTAAGCAGTTAAGGAACAGTGGTCACATAAATACACCTACCATTCTGTACAGACATGGTTTCTGCTTTTACAAGTGTTATATGGTATTTTCAAAAAGGCAAAATCACTTAAGTCGGGAAATTAATGAAGATATCATTAAGATATTATGACTGCCTCAAAGAACATTTGAAAAGTTAGGCATACACAAGCAGTTTGTCAAATAAATGTTTCTGGATTAGAAGGAAAATTGGTTAATGCCCAACTCAGCCATCATTCTTTGTAGATATCTATTCTACCAGACAGAAATTATTTGCATCTCAATTAGTTGGAAATCTGCAAGTTAACAGGCAATTCAGTAAGTCTGAGACTTTAATCAAAGGTAAACTGTGTGGTGCATTGAGTACTTTTGCTTGGAGTGCCTTTTGCCTCCCCATATAATATTAAAAAGATGTACCCAGTTGTTTTTTATATTTCTAAAGTTTTGGAAATATTTTCTGATATAAGCAGGAAAAGAAAAAAAAAATAGGACATAATGTTTTCGTTTACTAACAAGAAACAAGAAAATGAAGAGGAACATATTAGGAAAAAGGATGGATTCGGCAAGAAAGTTTTACTTTGGTAATGTTTCATGTAAAAAACTAAATACATTTCATATTATTTCTATAATAAACAACTTCTTCCTTTTTCTCCTGGTCTGTAATTAGGTGCTTCTCCACCTAAGTGGAAAAGGTTAACTTGATTGAATTCATGTCTTAGGGCCTCTGTTTATCGCACAACGGAGTGGGATGAATTCTTAGTAGAACTGTGATCTAGTTAGTTAACATTGTAGCAGATGACTTACTGAGTCATTTTCTATTTTGGTTCATTTGTGAGACACAGCTCATGGCACAGGGAAGGATATACAAAGTATTCAATGAATAATTAATGGAAATATGTGCTATAGGAATTTACAAGAAGAAGGGGACTGAGATGAAGATGCTAAAAATGTAAATAATTATGCAAAACAGCAGATGGGTAAGGGCCCAAAGGACTAGAGAATCATGGTCAGGAAGCATTTTTTTTCTCCAGGGAGGCAAACTTGCTGCAGCACCAATCCTCCTTTTGTCACCTAATTTAATCCTGGTGGTATTTTTTTGGTTCTGTCATTGTTGTAGTAATTTTACTTGGTGGTGCCATTAAAAGTTAATTTAAATGGAATTTTTATTGTAAATTGGCAGTTTATAATTATACAAAGTTATGGGTCACAAAGTTATGTTATAATTTATGAATACATTGTGGAATAATGAAATCAAGCTAGTTAATATGTCTGTCACCTCATTGGAATTTACTCTTAGCAAGTTTTGAAATGTGCAATACCCTGTTATTAAATATATTCATCATGCTGTGCAAGAGGACTCAAAGAAAGAAAAAAAATTTCTCTTAACTGAGATTTTGTACCCTTTGACCATCATCTCCTTATAACTCCCACTCCCCCAGCCTCTGTAACTACCTTCTATTCTCTGCTTCTGAGTTGGATTATTTTAGATTCCCCATGTGAGAACAGATGACTTTTTTCACTTATCATAATGTTCTCTAATTCCATCCATATTGTTGCAGATGACAGAACATCCTTCTTTTTGTAAGGCTGAATAGTACTCTATTGTGTATACATACCATATTTTCTTTATCCTTTCATCTGTTGATAGTTACTTAGGTTGATTCCATAATTTAGCTATTGTGAATAGTGCTTCAGTGGACATGGGAGTGCAGATACCTCCTCAGCCTACTGATTTCAAATCTTTTGGGTCAGTACCCAGAAGTAGGATTGCTGGATTTTGTGGTAATTCTATTTTTAGTTTTTTGAGGAATCCTCGTAACGTTTTCCATATTTGCTGTATTAGTTTACATTCCTGCCAATGGTTTACAAGGGTTCCCTTTTACTCCATGTCCTTGCCACCACTTAATCTTTCATCTTTTTGATAAAAGCCATTCTGGCAGGTGTGAGATGGTATCTCATTGTGGTTTTGATTTTTCATTTTCCTAATAGTGAAGTTGAACATTTTTTAAAAAAATGTGTCTTTTGGCCATTTGTGTGTCTGCTCTTGACAAATAATGTCTATTCTGGTCCCTTGCCCATTTTTAAACTGGATTTTTTTTGGTTTGTTTTCTTGCTAGTGAGTTGTTTGAGCTTCTTACGCATTTTGGATGTTAAACCCTTATCAGGCGTAACACTTGGAAATATTTTCTCCCAATTCATAGGTTGTCTCTGCATATTGTTGTTTCCTTGGCTGTGTAGAAGCTTTTTAGTTTGATGTAATCCCAGTTGTGTGTTTTGCATTTGTTGCCTGTGCTTTTGGGGTCAAATTAAAAAAAAAAAGTGATTGCCTAGATCAATGTCATGTAGTTTTTCCCATATGTTGTCTTCTAGTAGTTTTAGAGTTTCTGGTCTTATGTTTAAGTCTTTAATTCATTTTGAGTTGATTTTTATATATGGTGTGAGATAAGGGTCCAAGTTCATTCTTCTGCATGTGGAAATCCAGTTTTCCCAGCACCATTTGTTGAATAGACCGTCCTTTTCCCATTGTTTATTTTTGGCACCTTTGTCTTAAATCAGTTGGCTGCAGTTGTGCAGGTTTATTTTTGGGCTCTGTATTTGGCCAGTTTTTATTGGCCAAAATTATTTATATATTTAAAAATTTGGGTGATTCAGACACCTCTCAAAGCATATATGTTGGTGGCTAGACATAATCCTGTGTAGTCTTATGGTAGGCAGCTACTTAAATATGTATTTCCTAAAAGAATCATTTGAGTAGAATAAAAATTATGGTATTATAGGCTGGGCGCGGTAGCTCATGCCTGTAATCCCAGCACTTTGGAAGGCCGAGGCGGGCGGATCAATAGGTCAAGAGTTCGAGACCAGCCTGACCAACATACTGAAACCCCGTCTCTACTAAAAATATAAAAATTAGCTGCGTGTAGTGGCACACACCTGTAATCCCAGCTACTTGGGAGGCTGGGGCAGAAGAATCGCTTGAACCTGGGAGGCAGAGGTTGCAGTGAGCTGAGATCGTACCACTGCATTCCAGCCTGGGTGACAGGGCGAGACTCCATCTCAAAAAAAAAAAAAAAAATTATGGTATTATAATGTCTATGTTAAATTTGTTTCGTTACTTGTAGGAATGACAAAGTTGTGAAAAAGCAGAAGAGTTCATAGATACATGTTTATTTTACAAGGGCATTTTATGTGTTTTAGCAGAAAGGTTAACATTTTGACTGATATATTTACCAAGGTTATAAGAAGGAAAAGCTAAAATTAATATTTCACAATTCTAATTGCTTTTGCTTGGCTCCTCTCTGCATAGTATGTATTCTGGTTTTTAAATATTTAAAATTTCATCTCCTCTGGTGTAAAGTGGAAATGAAATAATTTAGGGTGGCAGATTTTTGTTAATGATAGTCTCCTTGCTCCTTTTTTAAAGCAGAGTAATGCTCATGTTGTATCTTTCTAGCATTAAGAAAAATTATTTGCTGAAATGACAATTTCTTAAGCAGTAACAACGTCCAGAGAGTGAACATTTATAACATGCTGCTTTGTGTTGTGTGATAGATATAATTGATAATTCTGCTTTTTCCTGTTGACTAATTTCTAACTGTCATGATATAAGTCTTTCTGAAGTATTATTTTTGGTAGGTTCAGGCAGATTGCAGAAAGGCGGTATCTTTGTTTGCCAACATTCTCGTATAATCATGGTTTGTTAGAAGTGGAAGGGATTCAGAATGATTCTAGGGTATCTCTTCATTTTCATAGTTGAAGAAACTGAGACCCTATCAGGGGACAGGGTTAGGAGAGGGGTGTGTGTGTGTGTGTGTATATGAGTACGTAAGAAAATAATGGGTTCCTACTGATATCTTCAGTTCCAACCTTGTATCTTGGAGTTGTTTGTAAATACCTCCTTTGGCAGGAACATAGCACCCATTATCCTCAATATATTTTATTTACACAATCAAAAATAATTTTCTGTATGTAGACCTCCCAGTTACACTGCTATCTTCATTGTTTATCACCTCTAGGCCATCTGTGTTCCTCTGCCACTGCACCTGTTGCCCTGGGCCTGTGCACACCCCCAACCCTTTCTCACTGCCCTGTGTTCTTAGCTACCTCAGCCACTACGCTGATTCCCGCATACTGGAGACAAAAGGGAAGGCAAGATGAAAAGGGAAGGTTATACTTCTTTATTAATTCACATAGATTACCCTTGGCTCTGCCTGCCACATTTTCATGAGAATTTCTTTTATTTTTCAGATTCCTCTCTTTATAGTAGCCTGAGAATCTCTAGGTAGTTACTCATTCTTAGAATTGGTCCTGGTTACTATTTTCACAGAAGAGAAACATGAAAATCTGATTACCAAAGGGGTTGTGCTTCCTGCAGTTCAATGTAGTCTTTGTCCACTAGAGGGAAGAACATTGTTCTCCCAGCAGCCTGACACACCACAGTAATGTATGTATATGCTGCCATTGCTGGTTCAGCATTTATTTCTGTTGGTGGAGTGAGGCTCAGCCATGGTCTTTCTAGTTCTGTAGTTACAGATTCTTCAGAATACACAGACACACAAAGCCATTTCTTGGTAATTCACTCTGAGGAGTAAATAATTCCTCAGAGCCAGGGGATTGGTTGGGAGGAGTTTGCAGTTCTAGACAGCTAGATAGCATTGTTTCTGAAAAGACCTCTTGTAAAACTTTAGCATTCTGGCCCTTGAGCATAGAACAGTCCTTTCTGTTCTCAAATCTATTGTCTTAAGCCTTTTCCTACCTCAGGATGATGAGTAACTTTTTTTTTTTTTTTTTTTTTTTTTTAGAAGTAGTAGAAAACTTGCCTCAGAATAGCTTAAATAAGAAAGGAAATGAATGTGCTCAGATAACTGATAGCATGGGCATAGGCCTGGCACATGCCACTTCTATTTTTTTTTTTTTTTTGAGACAGAATCTTGCTCTGTCACCCAGGCTGGAGTGTAGTGGCACCATCACAGCTCACTGCAACCTCTGCCTTCTGGGTTCAAGCAGTTCTCTTGCCTCAGCCTCCCGAGTAGCTGAGATTACAGGCACCTGCCACCACGCCCGGGGCTGCTTTCCTAGATACACAGAAAACAAGGTGGATAGGTGAGAAGCACTAGAAATATCCATTCAGTTATTAGTGGGGATTAGGTTCAGGGCTGTTGTTTAAGGAGTCCTTAAACTTTAAATTTCAACACAGGAATGGAGGTCCCTGTGTAAGGATTGGGAATGGGACCTAGTAACTCCTCCCTCAAGGTGAGTTGCGAGTCAGCTGGCCATCTCCATCTCCCATGCATTACCTTGATGTATCTTCCAGTCCACCATCCACTTGTGCACCAGGCTGCACCTACCGTTCCATGATGGAAGGGAAGGTAGAAGTTGGGCTGGAAGGAGATTTTGGTCCAGATCTGGGTACATTTACCCTTTTGGTACCTCTTGGGAGCAAGAAAGTCCAGGCCCTGGAGCCTTCCACTGACAACTCTTGGAGGCCCACCTCAACTGAAGCCTCACTTATAGCACTTTCATGAGATGCTGGTCAGGGAAGAGCTTCTGACTTGGCCCAGGTTAGTGGCAGTGCCACCAGGCAATTGCTTAAAATCTTCTTTCTGCCAAATCTGTAATGTATTAAAATATGTGATACATGAAAATTGAGAGTGGCTTTGGTTTTGCTGTAGGTCTGGACCTATTTACCTTTATTAAGCTCTGGAGACTGACATATGATATTTTTAGATGTATGAGTGCAGATTTATGGAGATATTAGTTCTGGATTTAGTATGAAATGCTAAACCTGGTCCCCATTGTTCTCAAGGAGATGATTACAGAAGTGACACACATATGAAACAATTGAAGAACAAAGTAACACCTCTGTGGCAATTATTATTAAAGTTATTAGAGATTCAGAGATCAGATCCTTCTGGTGCAAAGCTAAGAGATGGGTATTAAGCTATTCCTGAAGACGAGCCAAAGGTGGGTAGTTGGAGAGGAAAAGGAAGGCAGGCATTCCTGAGAGAATGAGCATGGGTAGGAAGGTGTGATGAATGAAATAAACAGTGGGAGAAAATGATCACATTGGTTTAATTGAAGCAGAATCTATTAGGAGCATAGAAATAAACTTGACTAGGGTAAGATACCGTAATAGAAGGCTGTAGAAGTGAGGCAGAGTAAATTTGTATACTGGGAATATGGTATTTGTGGAACTATTAAAATCAAGCTTGTCAGCAATAGTTTATTTAAGTATAGAAAGAAGTTATCTTTCACATGATTCATTCCAAATTGAAGAAATGTTAGAGAATTAGGAAAACCTTCTACTTTCTCATTAAAATGACTAAAACCACAAAAACATGTATATATGCTTTGATAATTAATTGAAGGAAAAATCTTTATTTGGGATGCATAACCTTTTGTTTTTGGTATTATCCCAATAGAGAGAAAAATATTCCCAGGCTTCCAAGAGTAAATTTGAGGGTAGTTCATTTTGGAGTGTTTATGAGTATTTGCTTTATTTACTTCTGGAAAGTGAAATAACCAAATCATCACTCAGTTTTTGAAAGTAAATTTGAAAGAATATAAAAATATTGCCTTCAAATGTGTAGCATGCACTTTCTCCAGTGCCGATTTCTATTTATTAAGACAATGTTATATAGAACATTTTCCAGAGAAATGTTATTAAGGCATGTTCCTGACAAGTGATTTTAATCAAAATGGATTAATTTAAAATGCAACCATTTTTATAAGATATTTTAATTTTCAAATCAGCAAGGATTTCACAGTAATGTAATGAAAATGGAATATTCCTTTAAAGTTTGTAGGTTTTTTGAGGCATCAACATAGTTTTTGAGGGTGAGAGTAGGATTGGCAGGGGGAGGCAGTTCAAAGGAATGCATTGTTAATGGAATAACCAAACTCTGTAGTACATTTTAAAGAGCTTTATTCGGAGCCAATATGAGTGACCATGGCCCAGGGAAGCACAGTCTCAAGAGGTCCTAAGAAAGTGCACGCAGGGCAGTCAGATTATAGTTTGAGTTTTTACATTTTAGGGAGACAGGAGTTAATAAGCAAATTCATAAATTGATACATGGAGGTTATACATTGGTTTGGCCCAAAAGGTGGGATATCTTGAAGCAGGGACTTACAGGTCATAGGTGGGTTCAGAGATTTTTAAATTTGCAATCAGTTAAAGAGTAAAGCTTTGTCTAAAAATTTGGAGTTGGCAGAAAGGAATGTTTAAGATAAAGAAGTTGTTAACCATTACACTCAGTCAGCATCACTTATAGGGGTGCATAACTTAGCCCTTGTCTGGTGTGACATTAGGTCCTATTTATAATTTGGTATCTTATTGCCACAAAGAGTCTGTTTTGTCAGTCTTATGATCTCTGTTTTAACATTAATGCTGGTCAGTTGTGCCTAAACCTCAAAAGAAGGGGATGTAAGGAGGTGTGTCTGACCTCCCTTCTCATCATGGCCAAGAACTCAGTTTTTTAGGTTTCTCTGGGGTCCTCTTGGCCAAGGGGGAGTCTATTCAGACAGATGGGGAGCTTAGGATTTTTGGCTTACAGCACTTTGCCTAACAACATTTGTGAGAATATAAGTTTGGGATTGTATGAAATTTTTTTTAAAACAATCTTTAAATCAAATTGAGGTTTATGTTTCATTTTGATCAGGGATTAATTTGGAAAGTAAAAATAAAGGGTTGCTATACATGTAAATTTCTATCTAAGAGATGACTATTTAGCCCTAGGTGCAGAATTTGAATCAAAGAATTATGATCAAATAATTTCTCATTAAATTGGCAAACATTTGCTAGGAAAAGTCTTTAAACAGTTCTCTTGAACAATTAAAATTACTTTATTGTTCTTAGGCCCGACTCTAAACATGAGAAACTAAATCTTCTCCTTGTAAGGAGAATAAAATGGCAAAATGTGTCAGGATTATTCAATTATTTTATGTAAATACATCCCATTTACTTTGAGGAGACTCATCATACCTTTTAAAATGAGATCAATCAACACCCTTCTTAGAGTTGATTTCATTGAGCTAATGAACAGGTATTTTTATTCTTGAAATATTGCATTTTTATTCTTCTTATTAATGGCTTTCCCTGTGTATGAATAAATAAATCATTTCACTGCTAGTAGCTCTAAGTGCTTTCAAGCATTTAAGTGCTTGTAATTACTAAGCAAAGGAGTACTATAGATTAAATGTGTTGTAAACTACACATGAAAGCAATGTCTTTTTTATTATCTGTAACTTTAATGGAAAGAAAATGTTAATTTAGGGTAATGAAATAGACCTCCAAGTATGATCAGTGAATAGACCATTAGGTTAATTAAAATGAGGATATGTGTCACTGTTGTGGTGGAACTACCATGGTGGAGAAGACAGATTCATTTAGTGCTTGAATAGTAAAATTCAGACTGTGTCACTCTCAACCTAGACTGACTACACAAAGGAACAAGATTAATGACAAAGGTAACTCAGTTTTGTTTCATTTACTTTTGCCTGTCACATTACTTGTTATTCTAGAGAGCCTGTCCCTTAAAGGTGAAAATTTATACAATCTTTAAGAAAACCAACTAAATATAAATTTTGTTACTTTATTATCTGTCATCCCAGGTGAATCAAACACCAAAACAAGATTTAAGTAACAGTAAGTTAATAGTAACGTATACAGATTTTATAACATAACACTCATAAAGCTAGCAACTTTATAGATTTGTAAAAAGGCAGTTGAAATGACCACTGCAGCTTAATAGTTAATAGTTCTTTTTGGTGTCTAGTACTCAGAAACCTGTTGGAAACTAATTTTGTGTAGTTTGATATCCATTGGCCAAATTACCATTTGAATTTACTAAAGAATTCCTTGCTTCACTACTGTGCCATAGTTTATAAAGGACTTTTTGAGTGCTCTTTGATTCTTGTCTCTGAAGAATCTTAGCATAATGCCAACATAGTGCCAACCATAATAGTTTTCCAGTTAAGTACTTCCTATTTCTATCTAAAAGGCTTGGCATGTGTTTAAACAAATATTAAGTTCAGTATGCTCTTGAGATTCTCAGTTTCCCCTGTCATATGGCTAATTTAACGTGTTAGTATCTATTTGGGTTTTAGATTTAGAATTACTACATCTGGCCCGTTAGCCAAGCTAGCCATCATTGGTAGCTTTTTGTTTGCGATATGAAGCATGAATGCATGCAGTAAGTGATTTATAAAGCACGTGCTTTCCCTAATGATTTATATGATCAATCAGTCAAATATTTATTGAATTCTAGTTCTGAGTCCAGTATTGTAGTAGGTACTTAAGGCTTGCATATACTATAGTATACTGTACTTTATACTTCATTCAGTTCATTACAGAATCTGCATATGTTTATAAAAGAATTGTTTCTTTCCTTAGCTTTACAAGTAAGAAAACTTTTTAGGAAGGTAAGATTCTCTTCCTCTTTTGTTTTAGCCTCTTGATTCTGGGAAATGTTTTCTTATCCTTGCCTTATTTCTCTATTTTCCTGAAATTTACCCTGATGATATTTAGTAGGAGCTATTTAATGAGTTTATGTGTATTTAATGTTTTTGATGATGCATGAATGTTACCTTATAACTAAGATTGATATAGTAAAATTTGTTTATTTTTTTTAATTTTTTTTTTTTGAGACAAAGTCTCACTCTGTTGACCAGGCTAGAATGCAGTGGTGTGACCTGGGCTCAATGCAGCCTCCTCCTCCTGGGTTCAAGCAATTCTTCTGCCTCAGCCTCCTGAGTAGCTGGGATTACAGGTGCCCACCACCATGCTTGGCTAATTTTTGTACTTTTAGTAGAGATGAGATTTCACTGTGTCGGCCAGGCTGGTCTCGAAACCCTGACCTCAAGTGATCTACCACCTCAGCCTCTCAAAGTGCTAGGATTACAGATGTGAGCCACCGCATCTAGCCTGATACAGTAACATTGTAATACTTATGTTAGGAAGTGAATCTTTATTCGATAATTGATTCACCATAAAATTTTTCTGAAGAATTGACTTAGAACATTTCACAGGTCTCATTTTGTCCCACTTTTTTCATTTAAGGCTCATTCCAGCATTTAAAGAAAAGGAAAGAATTGTAAAGATTCTTAATAGGTCCAGAAAGCTGTAGCAGTGAAGGCAATGCTAGAGTATGAAAACTCTCATGAATTTATCCATAGGCCACGTGATATCCTTTGATGTATCTGTTCTGTGTGTGTGTGTGTCTGCTTTTTTCTAACTACATACTGGCTTGTTCATTTCCTTTCTTTTTTTTTTCATTATACTTTAGTTTTAGGGTACATGTGCACTACGTGCAGGTTAATTACATATGTATACATGTGCCATGTTGGTGTGCTGAACCCAGTAACTCGTCATTTAACATTAGGTATATCTCCAAATGCTATCCCTCCCCACTTCCCTCACCCCACAACAGGCCCTGGTGTGTGATGTTCCCATTCCTGTGTCTATGTGTTCTCATTGTTCAATTCCCACCTATGAGTGAGGACATGTGGTGTTTGGTTTTTTGTCCTTGCAATAGTTTGCTGAGAATGATGGTTTCCAGCTTCATCCATGTCCCTACAAAGGACATGAACTCATCATTTTTTATGGCTGCATAGTATTCCCTGGTATATATGTGCCACATTTTCTTAATCCAGTCTATCATTGTTGGACATTTGGGTTGGTTCCAAGTCTTTGCTATTGTGAATAGTGCTGCAATAAACATACGTGTGCATGTGTCTTTATAGCAGCATGATTTATAATCCTTTGGGTATATACCCAGTAATGGGATGGCTGGGTCAAATGGTATTTCTAGTTCTAACTGGGTCAAATGGTATTTCTAGTTCTAGATCCCTGAGGAATCACCACACTGACATCCACAATGGTTGAACTAGTTTACATTCCCACCAACAGTGTAAAAGTGTTCCTATTTCTCCACATCCTCTCCAGCGTCTGTTGTTTCCTGACTTTTTAATGATCGCCATTCTAACTGGTGTGAGATGGTATCTCATTGTGGTTTTGATTTGCATTTCTCTGATGGCCAGTGATGATGAGCATTTTTTCATGTGTTTTTTGGCTGCATAAATGTCTTCTTTTGAGAAGTGTCTGTTCATATCCGTTGCCCACTTTTTGATGGGATTGTTTGTTTTTTTCTTGTAAATTTGTTTGAGTTCATTGTAGATTCTGGATATTAGTCCTTTGTCAGATGAATAGATTGCAAAAATTTTCTCCCATTCTGTAGGTTGCCTGTTCACTCTGATGGTAGTTTCTTTTGCTGTGCAGAAGCTCTTTAGTTTAATTAGATCCCATTTGTCAATTTTGGCTTTTGTTGCCATTGCTTTTGGTGTTTTAGACATGAAGTCCTTGCCCTTGCCTATGTCCTGAATGGTATTGCCTAGGTTTTCTTCTAGGGTTTGTATGGTTTTAGATCTAACATTTAAGTCTTTAATCCATCTTGAATTAATTTTAGTATAAGGTGTAAGGAAGGGATCCAGTTTCAGCTTTCTACATACGGGTAGCCAGTTTTCCCAGCACCATTTATTAAATAGGGAATCCTTTCCCCATTTCTTGTTTTTATCAGGTTTGTCAAAGATCAGATGGTTGTAGATATGCGGCATTATTTCTGAGGGCTCTGTTCTGTTCCATTGGTCTATATCTCTCTTTTGATACCAATACCATGCTGTTTTGGTTACTGTAGCCTTGTAGTATAGTTTGAAGTCAGGCAGCGTGATGCCTCCAGCTTTGTTCTTTTGGCTTAGGATTGACTTTGCAATGCGGGCTCTCTTTTGGTTCCATATGAACTTTAAGGTAGTTTTTTCCAATTCTGTGAAGAAAGTCATTGGTAGCTTGATGGGGATGGCATTGAATCTATAAATTACCTTGCGCAGTAAGGCCATTTTCACAATATTGATTCTTCCTACCCATGAGCATGGAATGTTCTTCCATTTGTTTGTATCCTCTTTTATTTCATTGAGTAGTGGTTTGTAGTTCTCCTCGAAGAGGTCCTTCACATCCCTTGTAAGTTGGATTCCTAGGTATTTTATTCTCTTTGAAGCAATTGTGAATGGGAGTTCACTCATGATTTCGCTCTCTGTTTGTCTGTTATTGGTGTATAAGAATGCTTGTGATTTTTGCACATTGATTTTGTACCCTGAGACTTTGCTGAAGTTGCCTATCAGCTTAAGGAGATTTGGGGCTGAGACAATGGGGTTTTCTAGATATATAATCATGTTATCTGCAAACAGGGACAATTTGACTTCCTCTTTTCCTAATTGAATACCCTTTATTTCCTTCTCCTGCCTAATTGCCCTGGCCAGAACATCCAACACTATGTTGAATAGGAGTGGTGAGAGAGGGCATCCCTGTCTTCTGCCAGTTTTCAAAGGGAATGCTTCCAGTTTTTGCCCATTCAGTATGATATTGGCTGTGGGTTTGTCATAGATAGCTCTTATTTTGAGATACGTCCCATCAATACCTAATTTATTGAGAGTTTTTAGCATGAAGTGTTGTTGAATTTTGTCAAAGGCCTTTTCTGCATTTATTGAAATAATCATGTGGTTTTTGTCGTTGGTTCTGTTTATATGCTGGATTACGTTTATTGATTTTCGTGTGTTGAACCAGCCTTGCATCCCAGGGATGAAACCCACTTGATCATGGTGGATAAGCTTTTTGATGTACTGCTGGATTTGGTTTGCCAGTATTTTATTGAGGATTTTTGCATTGATGTTCATCAGGGATATGGGTCTAAAATTCTCTTTGTTTGTTGTGTCCCTGCTAGGCTTTTGTATCAGGATGATGCTGATCTCATAAAATGAGTTAGGGAGGATTCCCTCTTTTTCTATTGATTGGACTAGTTTCAGAAGGAATGGTACCAGCTCCTCCTTTTACCTCTGGTAGAACTCGGCTGTGAATCCATCTGGTCCTGGACTTTTTTTGGTTGGTAAGCTATTAATTATTGCCTCAATTTCAGAGCCTGTTATTGGTCTATTCAGAGATTCAACTTCTTCCTTGTTTAGTCTTGGGAGAGTGTATGTGTCCAGGAATTTATCCATTTCTTCTAGATTTTCTAGTTTATTTGTGTAGAGGTGTTTATAGTATTCTCTGATGGTAGTTTGTATTTCTGTGGAATTGGCGGTGATATCCCCTTTATCATTTTTTATTGCGTCGATTTGATTCTTCTCTCTTTTCTTCTTTATTAGTCTTGCTAGTGGTCTATCAATTTTGTTGACCTTTTCAAAAAACCAGGTCCTGGATTCACTGATTTTTTGAAGGGTTTTTTGTGTCTCTGTTTCCTTCAGTTCTGCTCTGATCTTAGTTATTTCTTGCCTTCTGCTAGCTTTTGAATGTGTTTGCTCTTGCTTCTCTAGTTCTTTTAATTGTGATGTTAGGGTGTCCATTTTAGATCTTTCCTGCTTTCTCTTGTGGGCATTTAGTGCTATAAATTTCCCTCTACACACTGCTTTGAATGTGTCCCAGAGATTCTGGTATGTTGTGTCTTTGTTCTCGTTGGTTTCAAAGAACATCTTTATTTCTGCCTTCATTTTGTTATGTACCCAGTAGTCATTCAGGAGCAGGTTGTTCAGTTTCCATGTAGTTGAGCAGTTTTGAGTGAGTTTCTTAATCCTGTGTTCTAGTTTGATTGCACTGTGGTCTGAGAGACAGTTTGTTACAATTTCTGTTCTTTTACATTTGCTGAGGAGTGCTTTACTTCCAACTATGTGGTCCATTTTGGAATAAGTGAGGTGTGGTGCTGAGAAGAATGTATATTCTGTTGATGTGGGGTGGAGAGTTCTGTAGTTGGCTATTAGGTCCACTTGGTGCAGAGCTGAGTTCAATTCCTGGATATCCTTGTTAACTTTCTGTCTCGTTGATCTGTCTAATGTTGACAGTGGGGTGTTAAAGTCTCCCAGTATTATTGTGTGGTAGTCTAAGTCTCTTTGTAGGTCACTCAGGACTTGCTTTACGAATCTGGGTGCTCCTGTATTGGGTGCATATATATTTAGGATAGTTAGCTCTTCTTGTTGAATTGATCCCTTTACCATTATGTAATGGCCTTCTTTGTCTCTTTTGATCTTTGTTGGTGTAAAGTCTGTTTTATCAGAGACTAGGATTGCAACCCCTGCCTTTTTTTCTTTTCCATTTGCTCGGTAGATCTTCCTCCATCCTTTTATTTTGAGCCTATGTGTGTCTCTGCACGTGAGATGGGTTTCCTGAATACAGCACACTGATGGGTCTTGACTCTTTATCCAATTTGCCAGTCTGTGTCTTTTAATTGGAGCATTTAGTCCATTTACATTTAAAGTTAATATTGTTATGTGTGAATTTGATCCTGTCATTATGATGTTAGCTGGTTATTGTGCTCGTTAGTTGATGCAGTTTCTTCCTAGTCTCGATGGTCTTTACATTTTGGCATGATTTTGCAGCGGCTGGTACCGGTTGTTTCTTTCCATGTTTAGCACTTCCTTCAGGAGCTCTTTTAGGGCAGGCCTGGTGGTGACAAAATCTCTCAGCATTTGCTTGTCTGTAAAGTATTTTATTTCTCCTTCACTTATGAAGCTTAGTTTGGCTGGATATGAAATTCTGGGTTGAAAATTCTTTTCTTTAAGAATGTTGAATATCGGCCCCCACTCTCTTCTGGCTTGTAGAGTTTCTGCCGAGAGATCTGCTGTTAAGTCTGATGGGCTTCCCTTTGTGGGTAACCCGACCTTTCTCTCTGGCTGCACTTAACATTTTTTCCTTCATTTCAACTTTGGTGAATCTGACAATTATGTGTCTTAGAGTTGCTCTTCTCGAGGAGTATCTTTGTGGCATTCTCTGTGTTTCCTGAATTTGAATGTTGGCCTTCCTTGCTAGATTGGGGAAGTTCTCCTGGGTAATATCCTGCAGAGTGTTTTCCAGCTTGGTTCCATTCTCTCCATCACTTTCAGTTACACCAATCAGACATAGATTTGGTCTTTTCACATAGTCCCATATTTCTTGGAGGCTTTGTTCGTTTCTTTTTATTCTTTTTTCTCTAAACTTCTCTTCTTGCTTCATTTTATTCATTTGATTTTCCATCACTGATACCCTTTCTTCCAGTTGATTGAATGGGCTACTGAGGCTTGTGCATTCGTCACGTAGTTCTCGTGCATTGGTTTTCACCACCATCAGGTCCTTTAAGGACTTCTCTGCATTGGTTATTCTAGTTAGCCATTCGTCTAGTTTTTTTTCAAGGTTTTTAACTTCTTTGCCATGGGTTAGAACTTCCTCCTTCAGCTCAGAGTAGTTTGATCATCTGAAGACTTCTTCTCTCAACTCATCAAAGTCATTCTCCATCCAGCTTTGTTCCGTTGCTGGTGAGGAGCTGCGTTCCTTTGGAGGAGGAGAGGCACTCTGATTTTTAGAGTTTCCAGTTTTTCTGCTCTGTTTTTTCCCCATCTTTGTGGTTTTATCTACCTTTGGCCTTTGATGATGGTGACGTACAGATGGGGTTTTGGTGTGGATATTCTTTCTGTTTGTTAGTTTTCCTTCTAACGGTCAGGACCCTCAGCTGCAGGTCTGTTGGAGTTTGCTGGAGGTCCACTCCAGACCCTGTTTGCCTGGGTATCAGCAGCGGAAGCTGCAGAACAGCAGATATTGGTGAGCAGCAAATGTTCCTGCCTGATTGTTCCTCTGGAAGTTTTGTCTCAGAGGAGTAGTCGGCTGTGTGAGGTGTCAGTCTGCCCCTACTGGGAGGTGCCTCCCAGTTAGGCTACTTGGGGGTCAGGGACCCACTTGAGGAGGCAGTCTGTCTGTTCTCAGATCTCCAGCTGCGTGCTGGGAGAACCACTACTCTCTTCAAAGCTGTCAGACAGGGACATTTAAGTCTGCAGAGGATTCTGCTGCCTTCTGTTTGGCAATGCGCTGCCTCCAGAGGTGGAGTCTGCAGAGGCAGGCAGGCCTCCTTGAGCTGTGGTGGGCTCCACCCAGTTGGAGCTTCCTGGCCCCTTTGTTTACCTACTCAAGCCTTGGCAATGGCGGTCACCCCTTCCCCAGGCTCGCTGCTCCTTTGCTGTTTGATCTCAGACTGCTGTGCTAACAATGAGTGAGGCTCTGTGGGTGTAGGACCCCCGAGCCATGCGCAGCATATAGTCTCCTGGTGTGCCGTTTGCTATGACCATTGTAAAAGTGCAGTATTGGGGTGGGAGTGAACCAATTTTCCAGGTGCTGTCTGTCACCCCTTTCTTTGACTACGAAAGGGAATTCCCTGACCCCTTGCACTTCCCGGGTGAGGCAATGCCTGGCCCTGCCTCGGCTCACGCACGGTGTGCTGCACCCACTGTCCTGCACCCACTTTCCGACACTCACCAGTGAGATGAACCCGGTACCTCAGTTGGAAATGCAGAAATCACCCGTCTTCTGCTTTGCTCACGCTGGGAGCTATAGACTGGAGCTGTTCCTATTTGGCCATCTTCCTTGTTCATTTTCTTACTTTGCCTCTGTCTTTTTCTGTCTCGTAGCTTCTGCTTACTCATATTTAGGTTGTGGCATATCACAAAGTGTCTTAGATTCATTCAGCCTTGGCATTTATCTTCCTTTGCTCGTTACACAGTTCTTTCGTTTTCTTAGTTCACATTCCTGAGAGAATCTGTTTGACTTGTGTATCAGTCAAAATAAGCTAACTTATGTTGAAATAATAGAAATGTCCCACATTATTATTTCTTATTCATGCTACACGTGCATCGTGGGTTGATTGGGGGCTCTGTTCCATATTGTCTTCATTCAGGATTTAGATTGCAGTCATAATTTGAAGCATTGCAGGAAAAAAACATCATGCATGTGTACAGCTTTCAATCAAAAGTTACATATCACCTTGGCTTATATTTCATTGATCAAAGCAAGTTATCTGGCTACAGAGGACATTAATGAGATAAGGAAGTATAATTCTTCCATATGCCCTGGAAAAGAACTGTGATTATAGAGTGGGTGTGGTGACTCACGCCTGTAATCCCAGCACTTTGGGAGGTCAAGGTGGGCAGATCACCTGAGGTCAGGAGTTCGAGACCAGCCTGGCCAATGTGGTGAAACCCTGTCTCTACTAAAAATACAAAAAATTAGTCAGCCATGGTGGTGGGCACCTGTAATCCCAGCTACTCTGGAGGCTGAGGAAGGCGAATTCCTTGAACCCGGGAGGCGGAAGTTGCAGTGAGCCAAGGTTGCGCCATTGCACTCCAGCCTGGGCAACAAGAGTGAAACTCTGTCTCAAAAAAGACAAACAAACAAACAAACAGAAACAAAACTGCGATTATTTGATGAAAACACTAGTGACTCTTACAGTTAGCCCCCCTAGCTACTAGGCATTCACTTCATTTTTGTTTCCTACCCAGAATACACACTTTGTCTTCATAAAAAAATTGTATGGGAGAAATTATGTATTTATACTCTTAGCCAGGTGACGTCTGGTAACTTCCTCCTTTAGCTTGCATCCCAGAATGAGAAGACCTGTGAAGAAGACCTGCAGCGTTGAGCAGAGCTTTACTCAGCCCTTAACTTTTGTTTAGCATGAACAAAAAAATAACTATTTGGTGTGGTAAGTCACTGAGATTTTGGGATTGTTATTATCAGCAAGAGCTGACTTAACACAATGAGTTTTGGAGTAAGACCACCTGGGCTGAGTGTTAAGTCTGCTTGTTTTGTGATTTTGCATCAGTTTAAGTTCTCTGAGGCTGGGTTTCTTTATCTGTAAAATGATGTTAATAATGCCTATCTCACAGTTATGATGTGAGGATTAAAGTGGATGACTATTGTAAAATGCTTAGGGTAGCACTCAACACATGAGAAGAATTCAATAAATGTCATTTCCCTTTCCTTTACTTTCCACCTTGCTGTCCCTGTTGGTAGAGTTATTCAAGTGCATGATTACTTGTTAAAAATCTCATAGAAAGGAATCAGCTGTGAGATTAGGAATTGAATAAAACGATCTTCTTAGGTGGACATTTTTAGCCCAAATTTAATAATTTCTTTTTGAAGAGAATCTAAGATGCTCTTATAACTGATCTTTTTCACAAATGGTAGGTTCCTGTACAGTGATAAACTAGATTTTTAAACTGAGCTAACTAGACCACACTACAACATACCTGGCTTATGAAATGGGAGGGCTGAAGTCTGTAGGGCTGCCCGGAAACTCAGGTAAGAGTTGAAATTGTAATCTTGAGTCTGAAATTCATAGGGAAGGCCTCCATGCAGGAAACTTGGGCAGGATTTCTATATTACAATATTGAGGCAGAATTCCTTCTTCTTCAAAAACATGTTTTTGCTTTTAAGGCCTTCAGCTGATGGGATGAGAGCCAGCCATGTTATCCAGGGTACTTTCCCTTTACTTAAAGTCAGCTGATTGTAAATTGTTAATCATCTCTACAAAACCTTCACAGTGCCACCTCGATTAGTATTTGACCAACTAACTAAGCACCATCATGTAGCCAAGCTGACACATAAAAATTAAGCACCCCTAGGTGAAAAGGTACTGCCTGCAGCAGAAGAGGGTATGAGGGGCACAGAGCCCCCTCCTGGTCATGAAACATTGAGGTCATGCTTCACCTAGTCATGAAGCATTAAAGGTTGTGGCAGCCTTGTTCTCCATGCTTTTTCAGTACATGTGATGTTGTATGGTGGGGGCAGGAGCATATAAGCCAGTGTGAATGGTTTTTGTTGCAGTCTCCATACAGACCAGGGGTCTATTTTTTTTTTTTTTCAAACTTGAAAGAAAAGTAGAACATTTTACTTATACTTAGAGCTACAAGTGGCTTGTTAGATATCAGAGAGTGTACTGAATTAGAAAAAATGTTCTACTGTTGGCCAGTTGCCACCAACAGAAAAGTTAGGAAGATGTTTAACTTGATGGAGTGCTTAATTTAGTGATAGTTTTTGGTGAGCTTTTGGAAAGCTTTACTAGGATTTAGGAATATGCCTGAGTCTCAGTAAGCTTCTCCTTAGAGAATTGAAGAGTCTCTGCAATTCCACAGAAGGCAGTACACTCGAAAACCATCAAAAGGATATTATTCTGTAATGCTCGTAAGTTCTGTCTTTAGCCAGTTAAATATGATATCTACTGGATTTTAAATGACTATCATTTTAAAGAATGTCTTTTAAGAGTTTACTGATTTAAATCTTTTGATAGGCCTGTCTTATGGCTGTCATCCTGATTTAAAAAAAAAAAAAAGCTTTTCAATTGAACTTTCAGGTTGACCACTAGTTATAACTTCTAAAATCTCTATGGATTTGATTTACTGCAAAAGTAATATCATTAATTTTATAAGACTACTTCTAAGCTGTGTTTTCCTTGCTTTTGGATTTTCCCTATGACAAATGGAGAAGGACTGTTAACCAAGTTTTATTGGGGTAAGATCAATTTTATGAAGCCTAATGACTTCTTATTCTAAATTTTACCTGAGCAATGTTCCAGCTTAACTGAATGGCTCATAATATTGAGTGACTCTCTTGTCAGCTCTTTATTGATTAATGACACAGATAAAAAAGATGTACCTTGTCACAGGAGGATTAGAATCAAGGAAACTAGAAGTCTCTCATCTCATCTCAAGACAGATAAAGTCTATATTTAAGGATGATACGATCCATGAAAGAGAAGGAAAAGTCAGGGCTTAGTTAAGCAATGTGGAGATGAGAGGAGGGATAAGGAAAGAGAAAGCTCATGCAGAGATACTGTTTTGAAGATAACTCGTGGGGAAGAAATGGGCAGTCATCTGGGCAGCCAGCAAAACCTATTCCATGAACCCTTGGTAAGTAAGTGGCTTTGATGACATAGTGGAAAAATGAGCACTGTTACTGGCTGTCTTGTTGTTTAGCTGTCAGAAAAGATTGTGCTGCTTCCTACATCTGCTCTCACATGCTCCTTCACCTGCTCTGTCTTACTGAGATGGATAAACCTTGTAGTTCAGGACTGTCAAGGGCACTGCAATTAGTACTAAATCATCCTCACTCTGACAAGTTCTGGCAACAGAAGTTTCTGGCAGATGTGTAAGTGCATTTTCAGTGTTTCCTGAGTGTCTGAAGGCATAGCAGAGCCCTCCATACACTGTGCAACTTAATTCGATAGTGAATTCAATGCAAGTTTAGAACAGGAGAAATATTAGAAATAAAGATGGGCTGTTGTTTTTTGCAAGTCATGATCAACTTTGTTTAATTTTCAATGTATGTATCTTTAATAAGGTAATAGGAAATCCATGTTTCATCTTGAAACTCCAGAAAGGGTTTTTATATATAAATGTTGCTGTACCTCAGATGCTGGTGTACTTCAGATACTTCTTCCCAGAATCGAATTAGCTAGTTCTGGAAGAGCATATAAATAATAGTGATCAAAGAATATACCTAGTAGCTAGAAAATAAGAAATGATCACTGAGAAATTAAAACATTATGGATTTAAAATGTTGGTTTAACTTGAAAGACAGCTCTAGAGCAGTGGTTAAAAGCCCTGGCTCTGGGACCAGACTATGTGGAGTTAGATACCTTTGCCTTTATTATTTAAGCATTCCAAACATTTCTTTTTCTGCAACCCAAGGGTAGTAACATACAGGCAAAAGGATTAAATGAGATATTAGGTTAAAAGATGACTGACACAGTTATCTGTCCAATGCATGTTGGTTGTCTTTATGATGGTGATGAAGATGAGACTTCCATTTTCCATGCTCAAGTAAGTCAAAATGAGCGCAGAAAGCTGGATAAACATAGATTGTTTGTAACCATTTTGGCAAAAAAATCACAGGAGAGTGTGGTAAAAGATTAAAATAAAACCTAAGGAGGTATAAAAAGATGAAGGTATTAGAAATCCTATCTCTACAAAAATCGAGGAAATGGAGAAAAGATAATTTGTGGGCTTTCAGAATAATTTGTTAGCATTTTCAGTTTTATGCATTTGAATATGGTTTTGGATTTGCCAAACTATTGTCCTGAAACTTTTGAATTAATGTTGTAATTGTGTACTAGTGTTTTATCCTATTTCACAGAAGTCCCATGGACATTAGATAAATAAGATTAATTAGCCTCTTTGTTACCAGTTGTCAGAACTATAAAGAATCCTTTCACTTGTCTGGCCTAACCGTGATATTGGATTTGGTCAGGGGTTATGTAGGTGTTTGTTTTCTTAGTTTGGTTCTTTGTGATCTGGCTGTAACCTTAGTCTTAGGCTGCCATAGTAGAAGAGCTCTGTTGCAGGGAGTATTTCCTTTGTTGCTTAAGAGAACCCCACTTACCTGGAGCTGCTGTCTTGACCGTGTCTTCTTTTTATGATATGGCTAATGTGCGAGAGTCACCCGGTTGCTATAGAAGTTTTTATTCCTTCTATTATTTTTAACAAAACTCTGATGTTAGTTATTCAGTTATTATCTGATTCCTCTTGAAAGTAGAGTCTTTAACAAATACAAAAAAGGAAGCTTCCAGTTAATCAAGATTTAACTGCTTCATAGAGAAGCTGAGAGCTGTTAAACAAATGTAGTCAGACATCCCCTGCTATGTGCTACTCTTTAGTTTCTGGTTCATTATGTCACATATTAGTATTGTTTATATCAGAGCAGGCTTGTGTTCAACAGTGAGAAGTGAGCTAGCTGTTTCAGGGTGTTAAGACAGTTTTGGCTTTTGGGCAGATTAAATAAATGGGATCTTCTAAGTGGCAGAGGGGTGGTGGGAAAAGCACTGGCTCGGAAATCTAGAACTGAGTTCTAGTTCTGGTTTTGTTGGTGACTACCAGCATGTGATATCCACAACTAGAAAATGAGGAGAGGCTGGGCATGGTGGCTCATGCCTATAATCCTAGTGCTTTGGGAGGCCAAGGCAGGAGGATCGCCTGAGGCGAGGAGTTTGATACCAGTTTGGGCAACATGGTGAGACCCCCGTCTCTACAAAAAATAAAAAATTAGCCAGGTGTGGTGGCATGCAGCTGTTGTCCTAGCTACTGAGGCGGCTGAGCTGGGAGGATCACTTGAGCTTCGGAGATCAAGGCTGCAGTGAGCTGGGATTATACTACTGCAGCCCAGCCTGGGTGACAGAGCGAGCCCTCATCTCTAAAACAAAACAAAACCAAGAAAATAAAGGAGATTGGCTAGATAATATCTCTGATTGTTTCTGTCTTTAATTATTTATCCTGATTTGGTTCTACGATTCAAAAAACCTTTTTTTAGGAGATGGAGGGAAGGAGAAATGCCACCAAATGCCTTTTAAAGCATCTTCAGAGATTTCAAACCTGTCTGACCTTCTTTACATCAGGGCACTGAAACACATGGGAGTACCAGGCATTAACAGTATCTCAAACCCACGCAAGCTATATTCCTCACACAGAGGTTCCCTTCTTCAGATGGTGGTGGTACCATCCCAGAGTGGGTTAGCTGGCTGGTTAAAGAAATGTGGCCTACTCACTGGTCTTGAATCAGCATTCCTTGTGTGGTTTGGAAGTCTTTTTATGATCGAGTCCCTGCCTCTTCCTCTCCAGTTGTGCTGGCCTTCTTTTAGTTCCTGGAATGCTGAGTGCTTCCTCCTGACATAAGATCTTCTTTATCCTTGCCACTCTCTTTGCCAGGAATGCTCTTTGCACCTCCCTCAGTCTAATGCTGTTTGTTGTGGCACCTCTCTCAGTTAGCTAACTCCTACTCACTCTCCAGGTCTTCCCTCAAAAGGGCCATTCCCCTGATCTGCCTGACTTGGTCACTTGTCCTTATTATGCACACTTTCAGTGCCATGTAATAATGTCACGTTTGTTTGTGTGGTTACTTGATTAGCCTGTTCCTTCCCCGATATTCTGTAAGCTCCGAGAATGCAGATCACATGCTTTGCTGTCTTTTGTATTTCTTTTTTTCCTTTTCTTTTCCTCCCGAGATGGAGTCTTGCTCTGTCGCCCGGGCTGGAGGGCAATGGCGTGATCTCAGGTCACTCCAACCTCCGTCTCCCAGGTTCAAGTGATTCTCCTTCCTCAGCCTCCCAAGTAGCTGGAATTACAGGCACGTGCCACCACACGTGGCTAATTTTTGTGTTTTCAGTAGAGATAGGGTTTCACCATGTTGGCTAGGCTGTCTTGAACTCCTGATCTCATGATCTGCCCACCTCGACCCCCAATTGTGTTGAGATTACAGGCATGAGCCACCACGCCCGGCCTGCCTTTTGTATTTCTGGTGCCTAACTCAGTGACTGGAACCTAATAGGTACTCAGTGTAGATGGGTTGAATGAATAAATAAGCCAGCTACCAAAGCCTCTTGACTTGGAATAGGTTATGATAATAATGATAACAACCACCACAATAACAGCAGATATTTATTATGTACTTCCTGTGTGCCAGGCACTATTCTCCTCCTCTCCATCATCATCATTGTTTCCAAAATCACCATTACCACCACTTTTTGCGTAGTTACTGTGCAGAGTACTTCATGTGTTATTACATTTAATCTTAACAGTATACTTTAAGGTAGGTACTATTACTATCCCTCTTTTTCAGATAAGGAAGTTGAGACTCAGAAATTTAATAAACGGCTTATTAACTCAGGAATTCTAGGTCCCTAGTATTCACATCCTTGGCAACTATGTCTTTATAGTTGGGATTATTGTAGGAAAAAGTCAGGAGCTTGCTGTAATGTTTGCTACTCTGATCATTGTAACACAGTGTAACTTCATGTAGGTCTACCACTACAGTAAGAGTGTAGTGGATATCTTGTCACTTATTAGATGCTACCCAGCATCTATTTTCCTGGGAAATTCCTATGTGTGGAAATCCCTTCTCCCTTCCATGAAGACAGAGCCTCCCTTCTATTAAGCTGAAAATGTCAGACACTTGCTTTCTCAGCTTTTCTTGTAGCTAGGGTATGGGCGTATGATGCATTTGCCCCAGTTTCTGAATCAGAAGCTAGTGACACAAAGAAGTTACCAGGGAGAGAATCCATTCTGCTGAAGTTAGGCGGGAGCAGCAGCTATACTGGGTTTCCAGACAGGACTGTCAGCCAATCTAGAGGTAGCATCCAGGGCCCAGAGTTAGTGGTACAGACTCTAGGGTTGTGGTTTCTTCACGGAACCTGTTTTAAGGTATGATTTTGGACTTTGTCCCAGATCTGGATTTCCAAAAGGCAGTATAAAGCATGGACTCTCATGCTAGACTGACTGGGTTCATATCCCAGCTTTTATCTTGGCTCTGCCACTTACCAGTCTTGTAACCTTGCTTGAGGTGGTTAGTTAACCTCTGTGTGCCTCAGGTCCCTCAAATGTAAGAAGGGGAAATAATAGCATGTACCTCATAGGCTTCTTTTGAGGATTAGGTGACTTATTTAAAGTAAAACTCTTAGGACAGAGTCTGGCATATTTATTGTAATGTACATTAGTGCTTTCTATCATTTTTTTTTCTTGATAATGATTCTTTTTTTTATTATTATACTTTAAGTTCCGGGATACATGTGCAGAACGTGAAGGTTTGTTACATAGGTATACACATGTCATGGTGGTTTGCTGCACCCATCAACCTGTCATCTACATTAGGTATTTCTTCTAATGCTATCCCTCCCCCGGCTCCCCACCCCCTGACAGGCCCCGGTGTGTGATGTTCCCCTCCCTGTGTCCATGTGTTCTCATTGTTCAGTTACCACTTATGAGTGAGAACATGAGGTGTTTGGTTTTCTGTTCCTGTGTTAGTTTGTTGAGGATGATGGTTTCCAGCTTCATCCATCTCCCTGCAAAGCACATGAACTCATCCTTTTCTATGGCTGCATAGTATTCCATGGTGTATATGTGCCACATTTTCTTTATCAAGTCTATCATTGATGGACATTTGGGTTGGTTCCAAGTCTTTGCTATTGTGAACAGTGCTGCAATAAACATACATGTGCATGTGTCTTTATAGTAGAATTATTTATAATCCTTTGGGTATATACCCAGTAATGGGATTGCTGGGTCAAATGGTATTTCTGGTTCTAGATCCATAAGGAATTGCCACACTGTCTTCGACAATGGTTGAACTACTTTACACTCCCACAAACAGTGTAAAAGCATTCCTATTTCTCCACATCCTCTCCAGCATCTGTTGTTTCCTGACTTTTTAAGGATTGTCATTCTAACTGGTGTGAGATGGTATCCCATTGTGGTTTTGATTTGCATTTCTCTAATGACCAGTGCTGATGAGCTTTTTTCATATGTATGTTGGCTGCATAAATGCCTTTGAGAAGTGTCTGTTCATATCCTTTGCCCACTTTTTGATGGGATTGTTTTTTTCTTCTAAATTTGTTTAAGTTCTTTGTAGATTCTGGATATTAGCTGTTTGTCAGAGGGATAGATTGCAAACATTTTCTCCCATTCTGTAGGTTGCCTCTTCACTCTGATGATAGTTTCTTTTGCTGTGCAGAAGCTCTTTAGTTTAATTAGATCCCATTTGTTGGCTGGGCACGGTGGCTGACCAGCCTGACCAAATGGAGAAACGCTGTCTCTACCTAAAATACAAAATTAGCCAGGCATGGTGGCACATGCGTATAATCCCAGCTACTAGGAGAATCGCTTGAACCTGGGAAGTGGAGGTTGCAGTGAGCCAAGATTGTGCCATTGCACTCTAGCCTGGGCAACAAGAGTGAAACTCCATCTCAAAAAAAAAAAAAAAAAGAAGAAAAGATCCCATTTGTTAGTTTTGGCTTTTGTTGCCATTGCTTTTGTTTCAGTCATGAAGTCTTTGCCCATCATGCCTATGTCCTGAATGGTATTGCCTAGGTTTTCTTCTAGGGTTTTATGGTTTTAGGTCTTATGTTTAAGTCTTTAATCCATCTTGAGTTAATTTTTGTGAAAGGTGTAAGGAAGGGGTCCAGTTTCAGTTTTCTGCATATGGCTGGCTAGTTTTTTCAACACTATTTTTTAAATAGGGAATCCTTTCCCCATTGCTTGTTTTTGTCAGGTTTGTCAAAGCCACGGTGTTTATAGATGTGTGGTATTATTTGTGAGGCCTCTGTTTTGTTCCATTGGTCTATATATCTGTTTTGGTACCAATACCATGCTGTTTTGGTTACTGTAGCCTTATAGTATAGTTTGAAATCAGGTAGCATGATGCCTCCAGCTTTGTTCCTTTTGCTTAGAATTGTCTTGGCTGTACAGGCTCTTTTTTGGTTCCATGTGAAATTTAAAGTAGTTTTTTTCTAATTCTGTGAAGAACGTAAACAGTAGCTTGATGAAGATAGCATTGAATATATAAATTACTTTGGGCAGCATGGCCATTTTCATGATATTGATTCTTCGTATTCATGAGCATGGAATGTTTTTCCATTTGTTTGTGTCCTCCTTGAGTTCCTTGGGCAGTGGTTTGTAGTTCTCCTTCAAGAGGTCCTTCACATTCCCTTGGAAGTTGTATTCCTAGGTATTTATTTCTCTTTGTAGCAGTTGTGAATGGAAGTTCACTCATGATTTGGCTGTTTGTCTATTATTGGTATATAGGAATGTTTGTGATTTTTGCACATTGATTTTGTATCCTGAGACTTTGCTGAAGTTGCTCATCAGCTTAAGGAGATTTTGGGCTGAGATGATGATGGGGTTTTCTAAATATACAATTATGTCATCTGCAAACAGAGACAATTTGACTACCTCTCTTCCTATTTGAATACCCTTTATTTCTTTCTCTTGCCTGATTTCCCTAGCCAAAACTTCCAATACTATGTTGAATAGGAATGGTGAGAGAAGGCATCCTTGTCTTGTGCCGATTTTCAAAAGGAATGCTTACAGTTTTTGCCCATTCCGTATGATATTGGCTGTGGGTTTGTCAAAATAGCTCTTATTATTTTGTGATACGTTCCATCAATACCTAGTTTATTGAGAGTTTTTAGTATGAAGAAGTGTTGAATGTTATCAAAAGCCTTTTCTGCATCTATTGAGATAACTGTGTGGTTTTTGCCTTTGGTTCTGTTTATGTGATGGATTACGTTTATTGATTTTCGTGTGTTGAACCAGCCTTGCATCCCAGGGATGAAGCCAAGTTTATTGTGCTGTATAAGGTTTTTGATGTGCTGCTGTATTCAGTTTGCCAGTATTTTATTGAAAATTTTTGCATCGATGTTCATCAGGGATATTAGCCTGAAATTTTCTTTTTTCGTTGTGTCTCTGCCAGGTTTTGGTATCAGGATGATGTTGGCCTCATAATATGGCCCAGGGGTTTGGGGCCCCTGTTCTAAGTACTTACTATTTTTAGCAAATATTTTGTCTAATTAAATTTATTAGTTGGTGTATGTCACTGACAACTTAGAACCCTGACTAATATATACAGCTCATACTTAGTGAATAACTATGTGTGGGATATAGTATAATCATGGGTTTCCTTTTAGGAGGGGATTTATAGAACCATTTCTTCATGTATGTTCAGGGCCAAGGCTAATGTTATTTTTATTAAATGCCCAAGTCATTTGCTCTCTAGTTTATTTCGGGTTGATTTATTTCATTGAAGACCTTAGGCCTTGACTCCAGGCTTGTTGCAATTTTTGTTTGTAAGCCCTGAAACAGAGATTCTATTCTCCCTGAGGGAGAAATGGTTATGAAGAGAGCTTCTCATGTTAGGATGTAGTGGCTGGTGTCAGGCAGTGATTTCCTTATCATCACCGTTGTGATTATCTTGGCATACATATATTGCTGATAATTGATATTCTCTATGAAGAGCCTGTTTAACTCACGTCTCATCCCAAGTGAAGGGCCATCTTGAGCCTGAGTTTCCCTCTGGAACTCTCTTTATGTTGCTGAGAAGCACAGTGCCTCCTGGCACATTAGCTTTCAGTCTGTGAAAGCAGATACTTTCAAATGGGAAAATGCCATGCAAGGTGAACTGTTGGTATTTTCACAGCAGGCAAATTCTTAGCACCCTCAGTATAAAAACACTAGTGAATCACATTTATGGTTTTGTAACCATTACAATGAGAACAGACAGTGACATTCAAATCTCAGAAAATTGAACCCTTGATATTGATTGTTAATGTGGAAAACTTGAAGAAGCAGGTAGAACACTGTGACCTTACGATGTGAATTCTCTAATCAGACCATACAGATCAGTCAAGTATTTGACTTATTGATTTTTGGAGAAACAAGCTATTTTGTATGCAAGATATGAAAATACTAGAAGTTTTCGCCCTTGATTCAGAATAAGCAATGAGAGTCAAGGTCTTATGCAGTAAATTTGAAGTTATGTTAAGTAGTATATACTTTCAATATTTTAACAGAAGGGATCATCAGTTTTCTCATACATGTAGCTACATATTTAAAACAGTATTATTTGCATTTATATTTTAATTTCTGTTTTATCTCATATTAATTTATTAATACAGATGTAATGTTATTAAGAACCAAACATACTATTCTAAATATTTAAAAGATCTCCACCACACAGAATTATAAACTTCTGCGGCCCACATTTGAACATACTTCTTTTCTGCAGTCTCATCTCTGTAAACTTTGCTCACTTAAAAAACTACTCATTTAGAGCTTTATCTCCAATTTCTAGTACTTTGGAGGCTAAAAATGCAGTTGGCTGAGTTACCCTGACCTGTTAAAGCAGTCTTTCCATTTTAACTTAAGTTCACCTTAAGAAACATAGATTATCTTTGGACAAATGGTGTTGGATGAATTCTGCTTCCTAAAACAATAATGTAAGTAGTATTTGAGTAAGTAAGTATTTGAGCATTGTGGCATTTTATCAGAACAATTTAAATTTTCCCCTAATCTCTTCAATCACATCTTACAAATATTTGAAAACAATTATTTCCTCACTCTGGATAACCCTGTTGTACTTGCAGCCTCTCCTCCTTGCGACCTTCTTTTCTCCTTGGTGCTGTGTTCTGCAGCTGGCTCTTCATTTAAATTCCACCACAAATTAGTTGGCTTGGGTTTTCAGTGTTCTGCTTTAAGTAAGAGGGGCCTCTCCCCCTCTCCTTCTCACCCTCTCCCTCTCTCCTTCTCAGTCTCTCCCCCTCTCACCCTCTCTCCTTCTTCCTCTCTTTTTTTGGCAAAGAGTAATCTTTAGGCAGTCTTAGCTTCTCCCAAAGCTTAAGACTAGAGCATTGCTGCTTAGGTAGAATAATGTGTAGAGAGAACTCTCATGTTTCAGAATGACTTTGAGAAACCCCAAATCCCAAAATTGTTTTAATCTTTAAATGACGTTGAGATTTTTATATCGAAAGTATTAAATAATTGTATGTAGCCTCTTGTTGGTAGATATTCTAATTTGGTAGGATTAAAACACATTGTCCTTTAAAAGCTTACTAGTTATAGCTAGTTTTAGTTACAGCCTACATCTTGTGTTTTTATTTTTATGGTTCAAATAGTGCCTGAATTCTAGATCTGCATGAAAACCATGCTTTCTTCTCAGCGTTTGGCACTTTAGTTGTCCCTCCCTGCCAACTACCTTCTTTACATATACACTTCAGAGGTTAAATAAGAGGAAGCTAGAATGAGTCTGAATAGTAGATTCTAAGGCACAATTACAGTATTAAAATCTCATTCATCTCTGCTCCAGTTTTGAAAGAGCATTGGTGGGAAATTATAATT
Source organism: Homo sapiens (assembly GCF_000001405.40). Taxonomy (NCBI): domain Eukaryota; kingdom Metazoa; phylum Chordata; class Mammalia; order Primates; family Hominidae; genus Homo; species Homo sapiens. The sequence continues at coordinate 60,363,949 of NC_000006.12, forward strand.
ATAGCAATAGCTGAGTTGGCTCCTTGTGACACAGATTTATAATGTTAGATATTAGGGATACTTATTTTTTTTTTCCATCCAAAGTCTAATTTTCTGAGTCACTTGGAATTTTAGATCTTGCCTTTCTCCAGGGACCATCTGGTTTGGAAAAGGTACAAAGATTGTGAGCTGTGGTATGGGCATGTGGAAGAGATACTAGCACAAGGCACTAAACAAATAGAGGAGAGAGATGGCTAAGGCAGAAAGAGCAGGAGAGCCAAGGGGAGGGAGTTAATAAGGCAAGAACAATAAAAAAGGGTGGTTGGTGAAGAAGGTGTTGTGGTGAAAAGGAAGAGGAGATTGAGGAGAGAGAATGTAGAGAAGAATAAATGGTGATAAAAGGATGGAGGGAGAATGGATTCAAAGGCAGAAAAATTAGTAATAAAAGAGCAGTTAAAGGAGAGTAGGAGGTAGAGAGTAGAGGAGGGTGAGGAAAGGAAGGTTACAAAGATGGTGAGGAAGGAAGAAAGAAATGGATTGACTCCATATCCAGTGTTCTGCTAACATTGGTGGTAGTCACTGCTGTTAGCTACATGGTCTGTTTATATTGAAGGTGAAATCACAGCAGTATAGGGCAGATCAAGTGGCATTTAATGCTTCACAGTTCCTGGAGGGGAATGGATGAACAATGAATGATTTGCATCTTTTTACTTTTGTAAAGAGTCATGAAGTTAAACGGAATTAAGTGAATCATCAAATCACCTTGTTTTCCTCTGAAAAAAATTAAGTATATGCTTTGGAAAGAGAATTTATTTGTGTAGCAATAACAGTTTATTAAATACATGAAAAGTTGAATTTTACATATTTCATTCAAGATAGGAGAAAAAAGAAAACTTAAGCTAAACTTTTAAAAGACACAAGGTGTTATAAAGCAGCTTTTGGTGACATTTATTGTGGAGCCCTTGTTTTGAGATATGCGTTTTTTTTTTTTTTTTTTTTGGAGAACTGTTGTTGCTGACCAGGGAATATTTTAAAACTAGAAATAGGGCCTTCATTAGCTTGGAGTTATTCAGAAGTCAGCTGCTATTTAGATGATTTTTGATGTAGGGTAGAGGGAGAGACCTCAAGGATATACCTGAAACTATGCACTTTGGCTGGGCGCGGTGGCTCACGTTTGTAATCCCAGCACTTTGGGAGGCCAAGGTGGGCGGATCACCTGAGGTCTGAAGTTCAAGATCAGCCTGGCCAACACAGTGAAACCCCATCTCTACTAAAAATACAAAAATTAGCTGGGCGTGGTGGTGGGCTCCTGTAATCCCAGCTACTCGGGAGGCTGAGGCAGGAGAATCGCTTGAACCCGGTAGGCGGAAGTTGCAGTGAACTGAGATTGCATGTGTCAAAAAAAAAAAAAAGAAAGAAAAAGAAAAAAGAAACTATGCAGTTTGTCAAAACGGGCAAACTGAGTCTCCTAAAGAGGGCCTTTCTGTGTAAAGTGAAGTTCTGCCTAGGATTGGTCCTTCCTGTGTAAGTGAAGGTCTGGTGTGGAGCACTTCAGTTATCACTTGACGGATTCCTAGCTGGCTACACTTGATACTTGTATCTTTAAATTTTTCTTGATTTGTATTTTTGTGTGGGGCAATTTTACCTAATATATTATTCCATTCACAGAATAGAGGAATTTAATCAGCATGAAATCTTGGAATGTTCATATCTCAGAATAACTAATTAAATATATAATAGACCATTGTGAAAGTTGGCCTTACTGGTCTATTAGATTGAATATAAAAAGGGACAGCTAAAGAAAAATTATTTTGCTTAAAATAAAAACATTCTTTTAAAAGTTTGCTTTGGAGAGCAGGAAGCAATTGTATTGTAAGTATGTATAATTATCTGCATTCCTTTCCAACCTCTTTGGGATCAAATTGGTTTTCTCCAGGAAAGGCAATTATATGCAGGAGGCCACTTTTTGTTGAATTAGTGTGTGTTGCATGTGGTGCATCCCACAAACCTGAAATCAGAGATGCACTGCTATGATTTATAATACCCATTAATTACAGCTTTGTATTAAAGGCTTTTAGTTTTCTGCTTCAGTAAACCTAAATTCTCCCTTTGAAGAAGAATTGCTTACATTAGGTCTTATGCTAACTAGTGAATCCTGTCTTTTAGAGTCTCATCAAGGGTACTTGATGCAGCAAGAACTTCTCAGTTGGCTTTAAATGGGCTTTGCTGAAGCTGTTTAAGATTGTAGGGTGATGAGATAACTGGAAGAGATTCTGGTCTTGTGATGGGGAGGTGGCACACAACATGATTCAAAGCATTAATCAAAAAGGATTTATGCACCAGATGTTTATCATCCTTATAGCTCCATGCCAGACTTTGTACTGTATCTGATGTACACACTTTCCAGCTAGCTCAGTGGTTCTTAACCCCAGCTGTTCTTTAGATTCACCTGGAAAACTTTTTTTAAAAAGTGCTCTGTTTTCACCCCAGAAGAATTAAATACTAGGCATGGATGTTTGTAAAGGGCCCCTTGTTGAATCTAATATGCAGTCAAGACTGAAAACACAAGTCTATTCAGTCCTTCATCGTGGCTTTTTACTTGAAAAGTTAGATTTCCCCTTCCCTTTGTTTTCAGCTTCTTATTCCTTCCAGAAGTAAATAATGTGACCAAGCAAAACAAACGAACAAAACCGGGTTGCATTATTTTTTCCTGAGCTTCTGTGATAGTTTCATTCTATATTTGGGGGACAAATATTTCCCTGGCAACCCTCTTAAGTTTTGTAACTTTACCTTCCACCACCCCTGCGCCCTATCTGAAGAATATCTAGTCTAAGTCTAAGGTCTCTTTGCTAAACTTGAATAACTTTGCCAGAGACCTGCTTTTCAGTGGGGCTCTACTGTTTTTTTTTTTCTCTGTGAATATTTAAAATCACATTTCGACTTAGAAAAGTTTTGAAATTAGGATGATAGTGTTTTTCATTACATCTTTTCTTGTGCAAATTACTCATTAAACTTCATTTTGTTTAGATTTCACATGCTTGAGGAATTTGTAGATATTATGCATCCATTTTTTAAGGAAAGGAAGCATGATTAAGTATAGACTAATCTTCCAAAGCATCAGTTTGTCCATTTGAAAAATGTCTGTGTTTGCTATCTACTTTTTCTGCAATTCTGCTATCTTTTTTTTTTTTTTTTTGAGTCGGAGTCTCGCTCTGTCACCCAGGCTGGAGTGCAGTGGCGCCATCTTGGCTCACTGCAAGCTCCGCCTCCCGGGGTTCATGCCATTCTCCTGCCTCAGCCTCTGAGTAGCTGAGACTACAGGCACCTGCCACCATGCCCGGCTAATTTTTTGTTTTTTTTTAGTAGAGACAGGGTTTCACCTTGTTAGCCAGGATGGTCTCTAATCTCCTGACCTCGTGATCTGCCTGCCTCAGCCTCCCAAAGTGCTGGGATTACAGGCGTGAGCCACCGCGCCCAGCTTACTCTGCTATCTTTAAAAACATTTAAAATTTTTTTCATTTTTATGTGTACATAGTAGGTGTATACGTGCCATTTTAAATTTGAATATATTTGGAAATAATACTCTACTTGTGGCAGGTATTCCTAAATGATGTTGCAAGAAGTTAAGCAGGGAGAATACTACTACTGCTGCTGCTGCTGCTGCTGTTTGAATGTGGCCTCTCCCAAATCCAGGTGTTGCCAGTGTGAGACTATTAAGAGGTGGGGGCCTTTAAGAGGTGATTAAAGAGGTGTACTCAGTTTATGATCCCTATTTAATAGGTGAGAAGAAAGTGGAGGCTAGAGTGTGAGAGAGCCCAGGTTTGCCAGACACCAGAGCCAAGCTTTTAACCCATGCTGTTCAGCCTTTTCTCCTACCTCTGTGCACTTCAATGCTGCCACTGGCATAGAACTCCTGGTAGCATACTCTTTTTTTCCAGGGGAGCATATTGACTTGATTTGCTTTAGATTCTTTGTTTCTTTCCTCCCAATATTGAGCATTAGGCAATCGGCTGCTCTGGGCATCCGATTTTATTTGCATGCAGTGGACTAGGCACTGAGGAATGCAGGCATGCTTTGAGGCTCCGTCATGAAGGGCGAGCCAGAAGGGCCTATGGAGAACAATTAATATGTTTCCCCTCACAGATATAAATACAGTTTGATTGGTGACTGTATTTTCTTTTAGCCTCCTCCCTTCCTCCTCCTACAACTTTTTTGTAATCAGCTTCGAAGTATAACTCACATATCACACAATTACTCATTTAAAGTATATAATTCAATGGTTTTTATGTATTCACAGAGTTGTGCAACCATCACTTCAATTTCAAAATATTTTCATCACCCCCAAAAGAAACCCTGTAACTATTAGCTTTCATCCCCAATCTACCCATCCTCCCAGACCTAGACAAACACTAATCTACTTTCCCACTCCATAGATTTGCGTATTTTGGACATTTCATATAAATGGAATCATATGTGGTCTGTTGTGACTGGTTTCTTTCAGGTAGCATACTTTTAAGGTTCATCCATTTTGTAGCATATGTCAGTACTCCATTCTTTTTTACTGCTGAATGATATTTCATCGTGTGCATATACCAGAATAACGACTGTTTTCTAGCTTGTGCATTTCACTTGTCAAACTCCCAGCATTGTTTTGACTGCCACAGCCAACGTCCTGCCCCTCACTAATACAGGACATAATAGGCCCAGAGCATGTCAAGGATTTTCCAAAGTTGCATAGCTAGACTATGGCTAAAATGGAACCATTCATTCTTTTGCACATTTATCACATTTTTATTGAGTGCCTAACATGTGCAAAACACTATGTTAGGTTTTATGATATATACAAACATAAAAGACATGGCATGTTTCCTTAAAGAACTTAGGATCCTCTAGGGATGTTGAAATATGAAACAATCTGTGTCTGTGCCCTAAGTGTGTCACGGGCAAAGTCAGGTTCAGAGGAAGGAGAGAATTGTTTCTGCTTGTGATTTGAGGCTACCAGTTTTCCTGACTCCTAGGTCAGTGTTGTTGTTGTTGTGGTTTTGTTTGTGTTTTTTTAAAAAAATCATTACCTTACCTCTCTGATGTCACTTTGGGTGTCCTAGATACACTCTATATTCCACAGATTTATTCCCATGCCCCTATCCCCTCATGAACTTAAACATTAAACATGAGTCATTATTGGAATTATTGTAGTTTTAACTAATAAATAGTAAAATTTTATTGGACTCTTGAAGGTCATGGGTCATCATGGACTTAAAAATTTTAGTGTCAGTACCCAGTTGTCCAGAATTTAGAATTGGTAAAATACATTCAGCTACCAAAATTGCGCAGTAATATCATCCTGTTTAATTCAGCTGGAATTTAAGTTAATGGCAGATTTAATGGATGGGACACTTTGTAGCTTCTGCAGACCCTGATAAGCTTTACATAAATACCAAGTTGCAGCTACTTGAGTGAACTACAGTTCCACAAGAGAAATTCACTTTAGGATATTTTGAAATACCATTCATCTGCTTCAGTTAGATATTTTAGGTACCATGTCATTCTTCCCTATTTATTAATGTTATATAATATTATACCATGTAAAAAGTATTAACAACGTAACCATCATTGTATTTGCATTGTAGCGTAATCAGCTGTGAAAGATGAATTTTCAGATGTATACTTATAGTACTCTTTGCTAAAAATTCTGTAGGCCACCCTGACTCATTGGTTATAATATTGTGTAGTATAAGTAATTTCATGATGTGATTATTTTTATATTTATTTATTTATTTTTGAGATGGAGTTCACTCTTGTTTCCCAGGCTGGAGTGCAATGGTGCGATCTCGGCTCACTGCAACCTCCGCCTTCCGGGTTCAAGTGGTTCTCCTGCCTCAGCCTCCCAAGTAGCTGGGATTACAGGCATGAGCCACCATGCCCAGCCTCATTATGTGATTTAAAACTTTATAATAAACTGTAAGAAACCAAAAACAGATTTTACTCATGAATTTTATGAATGAGTTGGATTTTAAGAGATTTATTTATTGGGCCTCACTCTGTCACCAAGGCTGGATTGCAGTAGTGTGACCACAGCTCACTCCAGCTTTAACCTCCTGGGCTTCATTGATCCTCCCACTGCAGCCTCCTGAATAGCTGGGACCCCAGGTGCTTGCCACCATGCCCAGCTGATTTTTAATTTTTGTTTTATAGAAACAGAGTCTCCTATGTTGCCCAGGCTGGTCTTGAACTCCTGGGCTCAAGCAGTCCTCCCACCTCAGCCTCCTAAAGTTCTGGGATTATAGGCATGAGCTACTACTGTGCCTGGCCAAGTTTTATGAAATTTAATTCCTAGTTTTAGAAAATGATACGTTATATATTGCTTACAAATACTACTTAATAGTTATAGTTTGGGGCGTATGTATTCATTTAAAAGTAGTATAAAGGTATTTTTAGAATTAATAACGTCAAATATCGTACAATATTATTCAGCAAAATTAAAATCCATAGAAGATAGCCTTTCTACCACTTTTCACAAGAAACCAGAATGCTTTCCATTTCTATAACATTTGTTGCTTAAAATATTTAAGTGAGCATTTATTTTTATGTCTTGTCGACACATAATTTTTTCATATTCACATATGTCTTAGCTAAATACTACTACTGTTAACAACACTACTCGTAATAGATATTTTAGTTAAATTGATATTTTAGTTGAAGACTATAGATTCTTTATTTAAGGGTAGACTGGTAGACAGGAGGTTGTAGTAGTGAGAGTATTGGAGACCCTGGTAAGGAAAGACATATTTGTTTAAAACCAGATGATAACCTCTGTGAAGGATAAATCAAAGTTTGTCTTTGTGATTATAAGCAATATTTTTAAAAAGTATTATAACCCCTATTTGTGTTGTAAGCTGTTTGCATCTTTTATAGCATAGTATTCCCTGTTCATAACGGATCATCTATGTCAGTGATATTGCACAATCATGCACTGCACTAAAATATAAACAAAAATAAATGAAATAACAATAGTAATAGCTAATGTTGATTGTTTTCTGTAAGTCTGATAACGTGTATGTTTAATACCCGTAATACTACGAGGTGTAGAGATTTCTCACTTTACAAATGGAGAAACTAAGGCACAGAAAGGTAAAGCAGTTTGTTAATGATCACTTAAACTTGACTAATCCCCTTATCTGTGTTCTTGACCTGCTGTACTGCCTTTTAAAAAAATTACTCTATATTCCTTTTCTCAAACATGAAATACTGTATATTTTTTGTAACAAGTTGAACAAGTAAGAAAGAGGTACGTTGACACTTAGACTATACATTTCATTTTATTAGTTGTTGTTGTGTTTTTTGTTTTTTTTTTTTTTTTTTTTTTTTTTTTTTTTGAGAGAGATTCTTGTTCTCTCATCCAGACTGGGGTGCTGGGGCATGGTAGCATGATCATAGTTCATTGCAGCCTCGAACTCCTGTGCTCAAGTCTTCCTCCTGCCTCTGCCTCCTGGGTAGCTGGGACTGCAGGCAAGAGTCAGAGTGCCTGGCTGCATGTACATTTTTTGATACATACAAAAACACATATGAGTTTTTTGGAAATTAACATACTCTACTAAAATTATTTAATCTTGACTTTGTATGAAAGTACCTTCTTCTTAGTTGGAAATTTGCAAGTGATTTTAGGTTGGCCCGTGCACTAGAATTTATATTGACTTTGAATTAGACAGACATGGGTTTGAGTCTTGACCTGCCAGCGTACTGTGTTCCCTTAGACAAGCTCTTTAACATCTCTGAGCCTAAGTTTCCTCATCTGTAAAGTAGTTATCATTTTTTCCAGGGTTCTGTTCTTGTCTTAAAGATGAAAGATAATCGATTAAACGATACTCTGGTTAAAGATTTATTACATTCGGCCGGGCGCGGTGGCTCATGCCTGTAATCCCAGCACTTTAGGAGGCCAAGGTGGGCTGATCACCTGAGGTCGGGAGTTTGAGATCAGCCAGAAGAACATGGAGAAACCCCGTCTCTATTAAAAATACAAAATTAGCTGGGTGTAGTGGCGCATGCCTGTAATCCCAGCTTCTTGGGAGGCTGAGGCAGGAGAATTGCTTGAACCTGGGAGATGGAGGTTGCTGTAAGGCGAGATCGTGCCAATGCACTCCAGCCTAGGCAACAAGAACAAAACTCCACCTAAAAAAGGAAAAAAGGATTTATTACAGTCATTCCATATAATTTTGAGTCACTAAAAACGGAAAGAAACCCCATAAATTAAGAATAGATAATCAGAACTGATTTGTGTGTTGGTTGATAATTCTGAGCATTAACTGACTTGCTTATATAGTAATCCATTTGAAATTGGTTGATTGGCCATAATTACTTGGTTAATGTGTTGTAGACTACTAAAAAAAAGCATCAAAATTTAAAACAATTCTTTCAAGAATAACGGGAATAGGAAAAGTTACAGGTACACTGCTTTTATTCATAGCCCTTTTATGATTCATCTTGTTTTTCAGGTCTTAACTGAGTAGAGAGAGAACTAATTATTTTTTCTGTCTGAGTAGGCGATAGTTTCCAGCTGTTCTTTGCAGATTTTTAAAAGCTACGTTTTTAAGTGCAATTTAATGTTCTTATTACTGTATTACAGAGGGAAAAGGTTTGCTCTCTCTTTCACAGCTGTATATATTGTCCCATACACATGTGGCCTTTAAAGAACATTCAAATGTGCCACTGTCCTCATTATGGAGCTCAGATGGCTGAGGATATAGTGGATGAAGACCTGGCAACATTTTTAAGAGTGTGTATGTGTTGTGGTTTTTTGGTGGTTGTTGTTTGTTTATCTGTAAACTACTTTGCCTTTTGCAAATCCAGCTAATATATATTGCAAGGTCACCAGCCGCGTGGTAGGCAAGATGAAGTCTGAAGGGAAGCTAAAGCAAGTAACTATAGTATCAGGCAGAATACGATAATTTACATTACAGAGTAAGTAGTGTTCAGAGGAAAGGAGAGAGAATGTCTGGATGAAGAAAGCAAAGAAGGCAATTTGAAATGCACCTGAGAAATGAGGAAGATTTATCAAGAGATGGGGATGGAGTATAAAGAGGTAGTTAGGCAGATGCTGTAGGTAGAGAGAATCTTGTGGGCTGAGAGTTGGAGTCATAAATGCATGACATGTGTTTAGAGTATGGCAAAGATTCACTTGGAAGTAAGGAGAGGTGAAGAGTATGGAACAGTGTGAGGAGCTTGAAGTCTGAGTACATTTGTATTTAGTAAGCAGTGGAAAACTGTGACTTTTTAAATTTAGTTTTTCTTCTTCCTTTTTATTATTTGTAAGCTTTTTATCTTGAAAGAGTTTTACATACACAGGAAGTTGAAAAAGAAATGTATAGAGGAGTCCAGTGTATCCCTCACCCAGTTCTCCCCAATGAAAACATCTTGCGTAACTTTAGGTGTAATTAAAAAAACTAGGAAATTAATGTTAGTACACAGAGCTATTTAGTCTTCATCAGTTTCACATGCACTTGTGTGTACTTGTGTATGTGAGTAAGGAATTTTATCATATTTATGGATTCATGTAACCATCACTACAAGACTTCCCTTTATCTATACTCACTTTCTCCAACTCCCCACCTCCTACGCTTGTCAGACACTAATTTGTTCTCCATTTCTCTGATTTTCTTTTCTTTTTCCTTTTTGAGACGGAGGCTCACTCTGTCACCAGGCTGGAGTGCAATGGTGTGATCTCCACTCACTGCAACCTCCGCCTCCCAAGTTCAAGCAATTCTCCTTTCTCAGCCTCCCGAGTAGCTGGTACTACAGACGCATGTCACCACGCCCAGCTAGTTTTTGTATTTTTAGTATAGACAGGGTTTCACCGTGTTGCCAGGACGGTCTCCATTTCCTGACCTTGTGATCTGCCTGGCTCAGCCTCCTGAAGTGCTGAGATGACAGGCGTGAGCCACCACACCCAGCCCATTTCTTTTATTTTCTTATTTCAAGAATATTATATAAGTGGAATTATATAACTTTTAGCTTTTTAAAAAATTTTGAAATAATCATAAGTTCATAGAAAGTTGCAAATGTAGTACAGAGAAGTCCTTCTCATATATCCTTCACTCAGTTTGCCTGAGTGATTACATCTTACATTAACTATATTATAATATCAAAACCAAGAAGTTTACACTGGTACAATATGTGTTTGTATAGTTCTATGCTGTCTTATCATGTGAAAATTTGTGTAGCCATCCCTGCAAGAAAGATACAGAACTATTTAATCATTACAAAGATTTTCCTCATTCTACCCTGTTATAGTCATAGCACCCCATCCTTAATCCCTGGCAACCACTGATGTGTTTTCCATAAATTTTGTCACTCCAGAAATGTTATGTATATATAGACTCATACAGTATGTACATTTTAAGATTGGCTGTTTTGTTGTTGTTGTTCAGGATAATGCCCTGGAGATCCATCCAAGTTGTTGCATATATCAATAGTTTGCTTCTTTTTAAATCACTGCATAGTATTAGTTTGTTTAACCATTTATCTGTTGAAGGGCACTGAATTATTTCTCGTTTTTGGCTATTATAAATAAAGCTGCTATCAACATTTGTGTACAGGTTTTTGTGCGAACATAGGTTTTTGGGTTTTTTTTTTTTCTTCATTTCCTTGTGACAAACACCCAAGAGTATAAATGTTGGGTCATATGTTAATTGCATATTTCATTTTTAAAGAAACTGCCAGATGATCCAGAGTGACTATACTATTTCACATTCCCACCAGCAATGTAAGAGTGACTCTGGTTTTGTATTCTTACTGGCATTTGGTGTCATCACTGTTTTATTTTTGCTCTTCTGATAGGTATCTAGTAGTATCTCATTATGGTCTTGATTTGCCTTTTCCTAATGGCTAATGTTGTTGAACTTTCTTTTTCTATTACAGACTTTTTGTGTTAGAAACAGACATGATTCGGGATGATTTTTTCCTGGCTTACATGAGGAGAGAAATAAGCGATAAGGAGGTTATGTTAGAAGCTGTTGAACTAGTCTAGTTGGGAACTTCAGAAGGCTTCGTGGGTGGCCAGTGTTAGAATAGAAAGAATGATGGGTAAGTCTGCATGGCTGGGATGGGAAGGATTATGGAAAGAAAAAGTAAGATGAAAATTTCGGTATTGATGCCTGGTGACCAAAGGGTCAAGATATTGCTGACCAAAATAATTTGGATTTTTTTTTGTTGTAATTTAGGGGAAAATGATGAGTTTGGTTTGCAGTATGGTCATTTTGAGTGCAGATAGGTTATTTAAATTGAGTTTTTCAGAAAGAAGTTATAAATCTGAGTCTGTAGCTTAGAAAGGTTATGGCTAGAATTATTTGAAAATCAAATATAGAGGGATGATAATTTATATTTTTCTTGGGGAAGAGCACTAGTAAGCAAAAGAAATATATAAATCAGAGATTCAGAAGAAAACCTGGTGGGGGGGGGACCAATTTAATAGACATTGGTGGTCAGCACAGAGACATTCTATAGAAGACTGAGGAATATAAGCACAGAAGAAAGGTGCTGAGGGCAGTTTCAGTTCATTGGTATATGCAAAGGCCAAATCTTAAGGTATTAAGGTGTGTATATGTGAACAATACATTTAGGGATTTTTTTGTTTTTTTTAAACACAGGAGAAACGTTTATATAAAGAGAAAAGAGGAACCAGTAGTACCGTGAAAGATTGAAGATGCATGTGAGAGCAAATTATCTCAAAGCTACAGAGAAAAGATGCCTGATAAGAGAAGCAAGATGTGAGGGGCACATTAGGGATAGCATCAAGAGACAGGAGAAAGTATCAGCTTTGTCAAGGAGATTAAATATATATTTTATAGACTCAAGAGGGAAGGAAAAAGTCTACCAAACACAAAGATTTTTTTGAGGCGAGAGGCTGAGGACCAGCATCAGATGGTCTCCTTGATCCTCTTAGGAAAGTAGATTTTTTTGTTGTTGTTAAGATGGAATCTTGCTTTGTCGCCCAGGCTGGAGTGCAGTGGTGCCATCTCTGCTCACAGCAGCCTCCGCCTCCCGGGTTCAATCTATTCTCTTGCCTCAGCCTCCAGAGTAGCTGGGATTACAGGTGCGACACCACACCCGGCTAATTTTTGTATTTTTAGTAGAGATGGGGATTCATCATGTTGGCTAGGCTGGTCTCGAACTCCTGACTTCAGGTGATCTACCAGCCTCGGCCTCCCAAAGTGCTGGGATTACAGGCGTGAGCCACTGCGCCTGGATGATTTTTTTTATAAGACATTTTGGGTGATTCTAGATTATTTATTTCCAAAACTATGGCTTTGATTAAAGCCTCAGGATATGAGCACAATACAATCTTTCATTAAAATGTTCAAACAGCAGCAGCAGCAAGAAAGGAATGCCAACGGCATAAACAATATGTCTTATAGTCCTACCAGTGGTTGTTACAAAAGGGACACACACATATCTACCCATGTATCTTGCCAGAAGGAACTTATCTTTAAAAGTATTATGGTGAACATGGAAACATACTATTCATATAAGAGACATAGTTTATAAAAAACCCCACCAAAACCAAACTTTATGAGTCTTGGATAACCCAGAAGCTAGTATTTTTCAGTAATGAGGAGTAGAGGAAACGGTCACTGGGCAAGGCAATTGCTAATAATGAGTGTTAGTTCAGTGTAGATTATGAAATTCTGCAGGCCTGGGGAGCAAAAGAAGGAAAAGACACATGCAGCAGGAAGAGAATGGGAATAGTGAATGAAGAGGCCATTTCTTGTATTGCATGTAGTGTTTTTGATTAGGAGAGGGAGTGGTTGTTAGTGTTGATCATCAATCACTAAGACCTGGTATTTCAAATAACAAAAGTACCTTTGTTGTAAAGTGAAATATTTATTTTCTTTGAAATGTAAGGTTACATAACTTGCAATGAAATGTAAGCCAGTATTGGTCAAAACTAAACAAAACCATGAGAAGACAATTTAATTGTGACGTAGAAGGAGTAAAAAGGGTAAATAAAGTGGCCTGAGTTTGGTCCTAAAATGATTACGATATTAAATAGTTCTCATGCCGTTAAAATAGTACTAGGCCTTACTTCCTTTTATTCATTGATTTAATAATACCACATGCTATTTCATGTACTTATTTCTATGGGATTTTGGTTACTATTTATAGCTAAAATTTATTTACTTTATTCTGCTTATTCACAAATAGTATTTCGACCTGGCTTGAGCTTTATAGACCTAAAAGCTTTAGCACATGGAACATTAAAACCATGCTTTTCACTTGGATGACTGCATAAAGCCTTTTTATAACAGATTCTAAAGCCTGATGCAGGACAGTATTCACACAGATGTTGAAAGAGTAAGTAACAGATATAGGGATTGTTGTAGGGATTATGCTGTTGTTAGCTGTTGTCGTCGCTTTCTTTTTTCTTCCAGAGTATAGAATAAGAAGGCATAGACCTAAGTTTCAACTGAACTCAGTTTGCTTGGACTGAGAAGAAACTCACGTGGTTTCTTGTCACACTCAGAATTTAAAAAAATCCCAACTCCTAACTGTGATCCAAAAGCATGCTCTGGTCCCTGTGTGTCTGCCTAATTTCATTTTTTAAAACTAGGATTTCTTTGTTCTTTTTTAGCCATACCATTTTGTTGTTATTTCAGGGCCTTAAACTTGGCTTTTCCTTTACTATGGACCATTCCTTTCTGGTTTTTCTGTGACTCTCCAAATACAGGTACTTTAGGCCCTTTACATTTGCTTTTTCTTCATCCTTCAGTATTTTCCCCCTAGTTCTTTGACCTTTATTCAGGTCTGTTTCCTCAAATGTCTCCTTCTCAGATAAATTTTTCCTGTCTAAAATAGCCTTTTAGTCCCAACCTTCCCTTATTACTCCCCACTCCCTTACCAGATTGTTTTCATTATAGCAGTTAATTATATCTGACAGTCAATTTTGTATTTGTTTCCACCATTAGAAGACAGGGACTTTGCCTTGTTCATGTCTCTGTCCTTAGCATCTAGAATAGTGACTGTCAGGGAGTAATCTAGTCAAAGTACTCAAATAAGTACTGTTGAATGGATGCAGGCTTGCCTAATTAAGTTGTAAGGACAAGTTACGATGAAGCCATTATTTAGGAGATATTTGAATATGGGTTAGTTAGGTGGGATGATAAGTAGAGGGATGAATATCCATGGTAGAGATTGAGATTCCATGAACATGTGACAGACTGGGAAATCATACTTTCACATCCTTCTGGCCACCGTGGTTAGTCTAGGGCAGCTTGACCCAAATTGAACTTAACCCAAATTGAGCTAGGCAGAGTACCTAGCTTTATTCTATGAGGCCCTGCCCTTGCCCTGTTTACCTTAACTCTTCCTTAGATCCTGTGAGCTGCTGCAACCTGGAATCCTTTTGATACTGCTGTTTTCCCCTCTTTGGGTAGTTAGAATTTAGTTTCTATTCTTTGTCCATGTAAGAGTTCTGCCTAATATCAAGGGGTAGAGATAGGTCATGTGAATTAGGTCGGAGTTAGATGTATGTTTGTAACTATTAACATTAGACCTGAGCAAGTATTGGTTTATGCAAAGGGCTGATATATGCAGTACTGCATTTTCTTGTCCTTTTAATTTTAGGTCTCTAAGACAGAGTAGAAGCTACGGAAAAAAAATGTGTGTCTATATGTTAGGAGTTTTTAGGTTATAGGAAATCTGAGCATCTGTAGTAGTCCACATATCATTATCAATGGCTAGAGAATCTATCCACTTATCTGGTTGGCATTTAACGAGTGTGTACCATGTGTAGGACATTTTCCTTACATACAAAGGTTAATTAATTCATTTTACAGAGACATTTATTGAATGAAAACTCCATGCTGTGTTTTGCAGGGTCACAGTTAAACAAGCCCTGGCTTCCCCCTTAAAGGAGCTTACAGTCCAAGAGAGTGAGCATGACAAGCAAACAGATTTGTGCAAAGCGCCATAGGAGTGTGTGTTGCAGGGATGCCAAGAAGGGAGTCATCAGTTCTAAGGTTAAGATAGGAGAAATTTCTTGGAAGGTTCTTAAGAGATGGAAAAGTTAAATAGGTGTTTGGCAGAGAGAGGTATTGGGTGTTTGTGGAAGGAGAATTGGAATTCCAAAGAGTAAAGGTGTGGAAGTGCTGGACCAGTGGAGGAGATGTTGTTCAGAATGTCTGGAGAGTATAGCCTAAAGGGAAGAAGTGTCAGGTGAGGAATGGGACAGAAGAGGAGGCTGAAAGAGGGAGAACAGGCTAAAGAGTTGGGACTGTATATGGAGGGTAGTAAGGAGTCATTTAACCCATTTATGCCTAGTGTTCCATTATTGGAACGCTAAGCTTGTGTAGTAAGGAGTCATTTAACCCATTTATGCCTAGTGTTCCATTATTGAAACGCTAAGCTTGTGGGGGTTATTTATATCCTGCTCATGGTCATCACCAAGGTCTGATTTTTCACAAAACAATTTGCAACCTATGGCATGAATGGGTTAAGAGACTTATTCAAGGAAATAGTGGAACATATTTGTATTTTGGCAAGTACCCTGCCATGACAAAGTAAAGAATGGGCTGGAGGCAGGAAGACCACGGAAAGCAGATAATCTGAAGCCTTATGTTCTTAGTCACAGATCCGTCCTTAGGGAAAGTGAGGCCTTGCCTGAGCAGAGGCTCTAGATGGGCGGATTGAACTTCATGAGGATGCTGAGAACAGTGAACACATTCCTGATGTGTCCAGTATATATGGCATGTTCAACTCCCCCAACAGTTATATCATCTTTATAGCTCAGCCAGTCATATTTCACATTAAATGGCAAACCTAGGCATCAGAAATGAGACCTTGGAAAACAGCTAGATAACTAGCATTGACATAGGAATTATTGTGTAACAACTTGGCTTGGTGAGATTCATGTCTGGGGAAAATGGATGAAAATTGAGTAGACACTCAATAAATATTTCTGTGGTTGGTTATTTATATAAAAGCCTTAATCTTTTTTCCCCTTACATAGAGTGTACATTTGATTTCTTCTAGTGTGAAGCATAAGGATTTGTTTTTCATATTCAGAAAATAAAGCAGTTGAGAAAATTGTGTGATGAATGGCAAAAGAATTTAATGTTTATTTTTGGTGACTTTTATGTAGCCCTTGAATTTTTATAGTCATTGTTACATCAGGAAAACAATTTAAAAGATTACTAGTCAAGTTCTAACAATTCCCCTAGAAAGTTACAACAAAAATGACTTCTAATAAGCTTGTTTAATATTAAATTTAATTGGAATAAGCACTCGATTTTGAATCAGTGTCTTCAAGTTTACCATCTTCTATGACATATTCATGTTGTTAAAGATGGACAAGAAGATGGAAACTTCCATGTTGCCCAGGCTGGAGTGCAGTGGTGTGATCTTGGCTCACTGCAACCTGTGCCTCCCAGGTTCAAGCTATTCTCCTGCCTCAGGCTCCTGAGTAGCTGGGACTACAGGTGCATGCCACCATGCCTGGCTAATTTTTGTATTTTTACTAGAGATGGGGTTTTACCATGTTGCCCAGGCTGGTCTCAAGCTCCTTGCCTCAAGTGATCCTCCCACCTTGGCTTCCCAAAGTGCTGGGATTACAGGCATGAGCCGCTGCCCCTGGCCTGATCAATGAAATTTGGATCTCAAAATTATTTTTATGGTACTACAAGCACTACATTTAGAAATAATTAGAAGCAAACACATTTAACTTGCAGAAGAAACATTTTACTAAAAACCATATGGCGATAGATAATTTGATTTTTTTTTAAAGAAGCAAATTGAACACATTGGGGATTGAAATAATTTGAGGATTCTGTAAATGTACTCTTAAAATAATTGTCTCTAGGGTAAGCATGTTAATTCTGAGTGAAGCTCAGTCAATTAATTCGAAATAGGAGAAGTGATAGTAGTGGTGATGGTGGGAGTTTTAGTAGTGTTTGTTACTAGCAGCAGCCACTAGCTTTTAGCACATAGTCCATTGTTTTATATAATGCATATTTGTTGAATATATAGTTGAAGGCCTGTTTATATGTTCCCTTCATTTATTAATTTTAGTTAATACAGTAAAGTTTAGTTTACAGTAGCTGTGTAAAATTGGGACTAGTGCCCTCATTTACAGATGAGGAAATTGAGGCACTAAGGAATGAATTAAAGGTCATATAGCTAGTAAGGGCTAGGATTTGAACTCAGGCATGTCTGACCTTCAACTCAGGCTTACATCATTTGTTACTATGTTCTTTCCATCTGACTTCTGAATTCCCCTTTCAGTTTTATTTATATTAAAGTCCCTAGTATGTAATCTCTGAGTACAATCAGAGCATGCATAATATTGATTTTATATTGAAAGAGGTTGGAAAAGGAGAACCCCACTAGAATGAATGGCCAATAAGTTTTCTGGTGGTGTTGGTTGGAATCCCAGCCAACCATATTTACCAGGATTATTGCCTTAGCAACAGCCTGCCCGCCTAATATTTAATCTGCAAAGTAGTCTGCTCCAGGAGCAGTGTTCTTGGGAAAACTTTAATCTATACACCAGGGTTTCAAAGCTGGGCCTTTTTGGCAGTAGAAACTGTAATTAGTTCAAAAGTAGAATGTAGATTAAGTAGTCACTTGGAATTTTACTGAGAAATGATTCTGAGAATGTTTTTATACTTACTGAGCAAGTGAGACCTGTTACCACCTTCAGGGGAGGAGTCCCACTGTGTGGAGGACAGCAAGGAGCATAACAACACCTACTGTCAGGAGCAGCAGTCCCAGGATGTCAGCCCACCACATGGTTGCAATTGTTGGATTCCTGAAGAGATACATGACTCACACAGGCTGTGGATGGAACAATACTTTACTCACATAGAGAAGAGGTGGCAAAGTCAGCTTCAGTAGTGAGTTGGTTGCCATGTCTAGCGGGTCTCACCCTGCAGCCAAGGCAGGGAGGTTGTGGGTGTGCCCTCATCCCCTCATGCTACAGATGAACAACCCTGTTCTCTCCTTGCCAGATATAGCAGTGAGGTTGGCCAGGTACTATATGATGCACATGCTTAAACAGAACAAAGAAAGAAACCTCCAGCCCAGAACAGGGAAAGACAGTCCCTAAGAGATATGTGCAGTACAGCTTGTGAGAACTCTATCTCTTTATAAGGAAATGTAGGCCCAGGCACATCCTTATGTGGCTGTGCAAGGGGCCACAGGCTGCACATGAGTGGGCTTCCCAAGGGTCCTTAAGCTGTAACTGAAACGTCTCATGCTTAGGAGTATAACAGAGTTCTCTGTTTTAAGAATTATTCTTAATTATTGGTTATTAGTCTGGCAACTGGATTTGAGATTTGTTTGCATTTTTAAGAGTATGTGTGGTGTTTTAAAAGTGTTAGATTATTTAGGCCGGGTGCAGTGGCTTAGGCCTGTAATCCCAGCACTTTGGGAGGCCAAGGCAGGCAGATCATGAGGTCAGGAGATCGAGACCATCCTGGCTAACATGGTGAAACCCCGTCTTTACTAAAAACACAAAAAACTAGCTGGGCGTGGTGGCGGGCACCTGTAGTCTCAGCTATTTCCTACACTGTAGCACAGGGAGCTGTTCCTTTGTTAACTTATTTGGGATTCTGTCAAGATGGAGAGTTAATATAGGCTGTTGGCTCCTTCTCCCAAAACTAACCATGGAGAAACTACAGAAGTAAGAGGAAAGCAGAGATCTGAGGAAATACCTAAAATAACTATGAAAAATTATAGGGGTGACTGAGGCTGTTGCAAATTGGTATGCCTGTGTATGTGGTTTCGTGTAGGGCGCAGGGTGTCCTGAGGCATCAATCAGGAGAAGCAAAATTGTTTTGTTTTTTTTTTTTGTCTTTGAGGTTTGAGGTTTGATGTGACTTTCTCCAATTGCTTTGAGACAACGATTGCCCGCCCCTTGCCACAGAAATTGGTGTTAGTTGGGTTATTTCAGGGCAGCACTAAAGGCTGATGGGGTGAGGAGCTGATGAAAACGGGTACAAGCCAACCAGCTGCCCCAGGGCACTGATTCCTCCTGGAGCGCGCAGATTATACCCTACTGAGATTGCCTTCTTCCAGTGCTGCTTCTTTCTGGGACTTTAAAGGCTAATCCCTTTAAAAGAGTTACCCTTTAAAGGATTTACATTTTAAAGGAGTTTCCTGGTGGTAGGCAGCAAACTGGAGTGATCAAGAGAGATTTTTGTTGCCAGTGGCTCATCCCTTCCATCCTTCTCAAATTCACCAAGACAGACAGTACTAGGACTTGTGTTTTGGCCATTTTTTTCATGTATGTTTCTAGACCTAGTAGCTCATAGCTTGTGTTGAATATGATCCCAGAAGCCAAAATAAGTATATGGAGAGTACAGCCACTATTGAAAATATGAGGAGATAACAAAAGGAATAGTATAGACTTCATGAAGCAGAATTATCGAACTGAGGGATCAATAATTAAAAATAAACATAATAAATGTATTCAGCAATAAAGGACAATAGTAGCAGTATTAACAAACAAGAAGTCATAAAAAGAACAGAGTAGGAATATTAGATTGACAAATATAAGACCTGAAGTAAAGAGCTTAATCAGATAAATAGGATGGATATAGATAAAAGTGGATTGTTGAACTTGAATATCATGTTGAGGACCTCCGGAGGCAGAAGGAAAAGCAGAGATAGAAAATATATATTTTTTATTTTTGAAGAGACATCTCACTATGTTGCCCAGGTTGGTCTCAAACTCCTGGGCTCAAGCGATCCTTTCACCTCGGCCTCCCAAAGTATTGGGATTACAGGTGTGAGTCAATGCACCTGGCCCAGCAGAGACAGAAAATATTGGAGAAAGCTAAGAAACATGGAGGGAGAGAGATAATAGTGCTAGCATTCAAATAATAGAATTCCCAGAAGGGAGAAAAGAATTTGAAGGAGAGAAAAATATTCAAATAAATAATGATGGTAAATTGTTCAGAATTAGGAAAGAACAAAGACTTCAAATTCAAAGGGCTAAAAGAGTATCATGAATGAAAGACAAGAAAAACCCATATCCTGGTAAACTGTAGTGTAGTGAAATTTAGGAATATCAAAACCAAAGAAATCTAAAATATTTTAGAATGATAGCATAGATTATCCATATGGAACATGAGTCAGACCAGATTATCTTTTCAGCCCCTATGTTCTCAGTTACTCTGCATATTTGAGGTGAGGGAAATCACCTATATAATGTATAATTCAAAACTTGCAAAATAAATTTATGAATTCATATTCCATTTGATAAAGTATTTCTCAACGTAATAAGGGATATATTTTCTATATAACCTTCCTGATTGAAAAAGATACAGGGTGGCAGGTCATGATACATAACCTTGTAATTTTGTATAACTATTTGGGAGAAGTTACTAGCATTTTCATTAAAGAGATACATCTCTTTTTACTTTTGGGAGTGTGTACATGCTGTTTTCTTTGATCTCATATTACAGTATGTATTTTTTAGAAACGTGCTTTTGCAGCCATAGATACAATGAAATAGATGATTTTCTAACAATAACATATAACATAAATGATTTTTAATCACATTGATGCAGGATTTTTGCTCCTTTAGCTCAGCTAGTTTTGGCTTCTTGTCTCACCACCAGGAACATTTAGGCTCACAGGCACCAGAGATTGACTGGAGTAGAATTTATTAAGCAAAAGGAAAGCTCTCAGCAAAGAGAGGGGTCCTGAATGCAGGTTGCTGGATGCCCCCTCACAGTTGAATACCAGGGCTTTTATTTAAAAGCTGATGAGGCTGGGTTCCTTATTTGTATAAGATGCCAATTCCTGGCAGCTCCACCCAGTCCTTCCAGTGTGCATGTGGCCCCTTAGTTTGAGCCGCTCCATATGGATTTATTTCCTGTGCTGCGCATGTGTTAAGGAATGGAATTTTCTACTGCGGGCATGTTTAGGCAAGCCCCCTCTGTAAGTTCCCTTACCTGCACAAAACATCTGGTGTAAACACTTGTGGGGCGTGTCGGAGGTTGTCCGGGGACCCTTCCCTTACTGTCTGCCTAAAGCAAGATGGCTAACTCCTTTCAACATGTCCTCATGCTCCTAGATTTTAATTCATTTAAATATCATGTTATTATTGCTTGTGTACCGGACAGAAGTCTGTCCAATAGAAATGTGAACCACATATGTAATTTAAAATTTTCTGATCTCACACCTGTAATCTCAGCACTTTGGGAGGCCGAGGCGGGCAGATCACCTGAGGTCAGGAGTTTGAGACTAGCCTGGCCAACATGGTGAAACCCTATCTCTACTAAAAATACAAAAATTAGCAGGGCATGGTGGTGGGTACCTGTAATCCCAGCTACTCAGGAGGCTGAGGCAGGAGAATTGCTTGAACCCAGGAGGCAGAGGCTGCAGTGAGCCCAGATTGTGCCACTGCACTCCAGCCTGGGTGACAGAGGGAGAACTCTCTCTAAAAAAAAAAAAAAAAAGAAAAGAAAAAAAAAAGGATGAAGTTAATTTTAATTTATTTGATTTAACCCAATATATTGCAAATATTGTCATTTTGATATATAATTAGTATACAAAGTTATTGAGATATTTTACATTCTTTTCTCTATGCTAAGTCTTTGAAATTTTGTGTATATTTTATGGTATATCTCAATTTGGACTAGCCACATTTCAAGAACTCAGTAGCCACATGTGGCTAGTAGCTACTGTATTGTCAGCACATCTTTAAAGCAAATAATTGTTCAATATTCTGAGAATTGTTGAGCAACTTAAGAACTGCCTTTAAGACTTCCATTTTATTAAGAATTTGTAGAACTGGATAGTTCTGTAGCAAGTGATACTTGTATCTATTATAGCTTGTAATAAAAAGCATTAATACAGCAATACATTATATGTTTGCTCTAGTTTTAAGGATAGAAATTACATCAAAGCACATAAATCTACAAAAAGTTCTGAGATTGATCGATTGATTTCTACAGCTTTTTCTTAAGTCCAGATAGTTCTGCCTGGATGCTTAACAAGCAGTTCAGACTTAACATGGACAAAACTGAATCTTAGTTTTTCTTCCAGATTTATTCTTGCTCCTATTAGTGAGTAGCATCTTCATTCTTGCCTTGCATAGGGGCCAAAAAATCATGTCTTGACCTGCAGCTAGAATGTTGGTGAAAAGTCACAGCCTACTGTTGTAAATGTCCTGTTTCCTTAAGTCCTTTGTTGCCCATATGTTTACTATATGTCTTTAACCAAAAATATTTACTGTACTTTTAGGTAATGTTAATGTAATTAAAAAAATCAGTGGCAACTTATGGCAAATACATGTGTTTTTTGGTAGTTGACTTTAAAATGTGAACTCTTTGATAGTTCAAATGAGAGCACTGTTGAAGCATCTTAGTAGGACAGATTTTAATTCATGCTGGCATTAATTTGATTAAATAAAATTGATGATTAAAAGTTGATTAAAATAAACTGAGGGGGAAATAAATCAGGCACAAATAGCAGAACAGGAAAATCAAGCTTTACATTTGGTGCTCTGTGCTTTGTCCAGAGGATCTTGTGACCATTCATTCAAAACATTTTACTAAAGAAAACAAAATTTAACTAAGACATGCAAGATGAAAATCTCTCCCTCTTCCTAGTTGTATAACTGTTGGTGGTTCTTTAATTGCAACAAAGTGCATTTTTATTTAAAGATTGTGGCTGCTTCAAAATAATACTATTTGGGGCTTCCTGTGTGTATTGAGACCTCTTGGAACTAACATTGCCTATGGGTTTTTGTTCCCTTTCCCTTTTCCTAGGATGTGTAATGAAACATGAAGACGTCAAATATAAAGGATGGCAATTGCTCAGACTTGTCCTTTGCTTGTCTAGTTATCCATCAAACACTATCAGTGTGATTGTGCCAGAAAGTATGAAATAATGTTATTGGAAAGCAGTCAGTCAACTGTATGTCAAGGTCACTTAAAAGTCTCAGCCAGCTGTTCTGATATCAAAGAGCATTTTACAAATATGATATATTAAAATGATTACTCTTAGGAAGTGTATCCCCAAACATGCTTACTTTACCCTGACTCTTGATTTTATGCCTTGGTACTTTGAGTAGAATAGGGCAGGTACAGATAATAGTATGTCACAGTGGTCTAGAATCTACACCTTTCCTGCTTGCAGTATGGTATTAGCTAGGGTCCATTCCATCACGAAAGTGGCAGCTCATCATTTTGGGCAGTCAGAAAAATAGGCAGTTGTTATAATAGCTACATTGTTTTTTAAAAAACTTATGCAAGCAGGTAAGGGTTTTTTCACTTTTAGACCAGCATCTTTTCTTTACCGTAGAATCTAATTATTGTCTCTAATCTAAAAGGAGATAGAAAAATGTAGTAACCTAAAGGAAACAAAGAATAAGAAAAATATCTACTTTTTGTAAGAATGGGATTTTGCATGTAATTTGATTTACTAGGTGACCTAAGTTAACAGGGAACTGATTTATATTTTTACTGGTATTAATACATTAAATTCAGGGGTTTCTGTGTTGTTAAAGGAATTCTGTGTCATTTGAAACTTCTATGAATTTAGAAATGAGAAGACATCAGTGATCTAGGTGGCTACTTGTGATGATTCCTAATTTTGTAAGGAAAATAAAAAGGAGATGGAAAAAGGATTTGGAACAACCCTGATGTGTTTGTTACAACATTTCAAAATATGTCTATTTCATTTTCCTTCCAACATCCTCAATAATGAGTTTTGTCTCTAAATTTGTGATGAATTAAACATTTGTGAAATGCATCCTATGTAATGTTGGATCAGAGGCTGAGGTGAAATTTCCAATTGACATAAATGTGCTTATCACAGTGAAGACATTATACTTTTCTATTTTCATTTCATAATCAATGGTTTCTATTGATTTTTGTCTGTTAGCAACGGAAATTATTTACTTCTTCTGTTTTGTTTTAAATATAATTAGGAAAGTTTTATAATTAATCACAAGGCTCTAGTTTTAATAGGCAAAACATGTTTATGTGTAACTGAAGTTAGTCACATAGTTTAAGAAGCTCCTTTTAGAAGGGCTTAAAAATAAAAATCCTTTAGTAGAGCAACAAAATTGTGTAACAGTCTCATTTATTTTTAAAGAAAAACTGTAGTATTAGTTTATGAATAAAGAAAATAGCTTAAATTTAAACTAAACCGAATGAGTCCAAAAATAGTGCAGTATCTGATTATTTCAGTTAGATAAATAAACTGTGAGTGAGATGTAGAGGCACACTGGGCTGTTCTATATTTTAAAACATTTTCAACATCTACAAAGGCAAGATGTCTATCGAGGAAGACATCATTGTGCTCTAAGAGAGCAGAGAAAATTAAGTCACAGAGCCAAGGAAAAGTAGCTGAAGTACTAAGCAAATGAATACTTTCTGCAGCATCTGTTAACATAAACATTAGAGGTATGTTGTTAGCCATCTGAGGCTACCGTCTTTGAATTATACATTTGGATCAGTGGTTTGAGGTTCAGCTGTTGGGGAAATGGAAATCTCTATGTATTCTTGTTGATTACTTGCTCTTCAGTTCTTCAAGTGCATTTCCAAGGACTATGTTTTGTTACACAACAGATTATTATCACTGAGGCATTAGTAATAATATCTTGTCCACCTCCTACACTCCACTCCCCATTGCCTTGTTGTTTCATTTTGTTTTTGTTTTTGAGACAGGATCTTGCTTTGTCACCTAGGTTGGAGTGTAGTGGTACAGTCATAGCTAACTGCAGCCTTGATCTCCTGAGCTTAAGCAATCCTTCTACCTCAGCCTCTCGAGTAGCTGGGATTACAGGCACGTGCCACCACACTTGGCTGATTTTTTTATTTTTATTTTTAGTGGAGATGAAGTCTTGCTATATTCCCAGGCTGGTCTCAAACTCCTGAGCTGAAGCAGTCCTCTTGCCTGGGCCTCCCTAAGTGCTGGGATTGCAGACTTGAGCCACTGCGCCCAGCCCACTCTGAATTGTTTTATAGCCATTCCCAAATGTTAATGAAAGTCCAAATTGGGGGAAAAAGAGTTCCTGCAGAAAATGATAGTGTATATTTACATATACATGTCTTTTCTGTGTCTCTTCACTTTGGTAATTAATATAATTGTGGATCTTTGACACTGATTTTAGATTACTTAATAAAGAATGTATTTAAGTGTAGTGCAGAATAGATTATCTTTAATGTTTGCAAAAAGTGGTACACTGTTTAGTAATATTTAGGTAAAATGGTAAGATTGCCAGTGTAATGGGCAGGTTATATGTCTGGAAATAGGCTCAGCAGGAAGTTAAAGGAATCATGGCCTATACTGCTGACAGAAGATAAACAACATGCACTATGAAACCCACTAATTCAGTCTGGGCCCTCTTTTAAACATTTACTAGAAGCCTGTAGATACGGTCGGTAACTCCAGTGTACATAGTAGAATTTATGTGCATATTCAGGAATTTCTATGAGAAACTTCCACATAATAAGATTTTGCGGAAGATTCATGCTTACAATAAACAGTAAAGGAACAGTTTTGGTTCTGGAAAACCTAGATAAGCATTTATTTCCTTACATTAAATAAGAAATTGACAAATGTATGTTTAGGTAAATATGGTATAGATGTTTAGGAGACAAAAATGATGAATGAAAATACAATCATAATAAGGAATTTTAGAACTTAAGTTATTGCCTCACAAATTTATTAAGTGAATGAAAAATCTAGGAATTTAAATGGTTTTTAGAGTCTTTGCATAAAACAATTTTTGGCTAAAAAAATGTCATCTCTGTCTCTCTGAACGGTGGTAGTCACATGAAATGACACAGTGAAAAGATCCAGAATTGTCTCAGCCAACTCCCAGCCTCAATTGTACCACCAAAGACTTACCTCACGTGGGCTGTAAGGAGTAAAAATGTAGTAATATGTTTTCTAAAGTAATAAAATGGCCAAATGTATGGGGCTAACTATACTAAGGAATAGATAAAACCATAGGATAACAATGGCACTGTGTTACTCAGTGGTAAAATAATTAAACATATTTATAGTAAAAGCAAGAACATGTTCTAGAGTCAAATGTAAATTTTGTATACACTTTTAAGATAACTATATGACATTAAAGGAAGTTGATGGTTAGGGCATAAAGGTCACCTGTTGTTCACCCTCCTTGAATGTTCCAGGTACCTTTGGCTGAACAGTTTGAGAGGCCTTGAGGAGCCTCAGAGATAATATCCAAGGGAGAAAAGTCAGTGATCCATGTACATTTATCACTGCATATCTCTTAATACCTTTTTTCCCCTTGCTCAAGCGATTGTTTTACATTTCTAAGTGATGTAGAGCATCAGTAAGGTGCTTAGGTTAGCCTTTGAATAACAAGCTTCTTTTCACACCATAGGTTTCATGATCAAAAATTAGCACTGGGATGTCTGCTTGCACTATTCCCAGGTTTGCTTCCTCGGTTCTTCATATCATCCAGACCCCTGAACTGGAAATATCTTGTTAACTCTGCACTGTTTAATATTCTTTGGAAATTAAACTACTTGGGCATGTTTAGAGCTCAAATGGAATCTATGCGTTTTGCTTGACAAGGTCGTTGGTTGCTTTTTAGAGCTTACATATTGAAAATCATGTTTGCAGCCAGCTGATAGAGAAATTTCCGTGTATCAAAGCATTGTTGTGATGAAACCACCTCTGTTGTGAAGATCACCTGAAATAATGTGTGTGAGAGCCCTGTGGAAACCAAAAAGTGCTGTGGGCATTTGAACACTAGACTGTTATGATTAGTGATGAACAGCATCTCAGCCTGCCAAGGGAGAACATGAAACTGGAGAACAAATTTGGTTCCAGGAGCAAGGGGAAATGTAATGTGGAATCTCACAGTTTGGGGTTTGTAATTGGGATCCGTTGCTATTATAAGAAAATGTAGTTCAAAAGACACAGGATTTTCTGTTAAAATCAATGAAGTTAAAAGAGCAGCTGCTTGTAAAAGTTAATTTTATTTGACTTGGTCCCAGTAATAAAAGTGATAGTTCTGTTGAACAACCTGTTCTCTCTAAAGCTATATCTTTTTGTTGCTGTGAGGTCTGTTTAAATAAATTGTTGCCTTTTGATTATTTAAAAAAATTTTCCTGATCTATAAATTGTTTATCTCTTAGAATACATACATAAGCATAACCTATGCATCTTTAATTTACTAGAAAAGTGTTGGCATTCTAGATTTTGAGTTGGCACTCTTGGGAGTTATAAAATGCAGTAGGAGCCATCTCAAATCTTGTATGAAATGAGGAGAATGCAAAGACATTTTGAAAAATATTCCTTATTTATTTTCCATTAAAATAAACCTAAATTTGGTTCTTTGTCATTTTACATAATAAATAATATTTATCTCTTTGTCATTTGTAAATAATAAATGCCACTGCCCTAATACCACTGTAAGAGAGTACTATTCTGGTTCTTTCAATAGGCAATATTAAATGAAAACAAGGGACCTAAATTGTACTGATTACCTGTCTTGGATTTCTTGATGACAATTCAAGAGGAATTGTCATTCCTCTTGAGTTTTTGTAAGGAAGCTGAAGTGAGTGGTAGAGGGTAAAAACACCAGAGAACAAAATTGAGCAATATTTTCCAAGTGAGCATTGTTTTCCTGTCATTTTTATGTGTTTTGATTTCACCAGTGTTGGGTGAACAGTTCAGAGAAGGGGTTTATTATTTTAAAATGAAGCCACCCTCTTGTTCTTAATTTTCAACAGATTGGGCCACCTTTGCTTTTAAAATGTCTGTTGACTCTTTAAGAACCATTTACCATATTTGCTTACGTATTTACCTCCTTGTGTATTCTTGTTCCCTCCCTTCGTGCTCATCATTTGAAAAAGAAAATCATGAAAAATATGTTCTTCCTACAGGCCCTTTTCAATCCTTTCAAACAATTCTACTTCAAAATAGCAATTGGCTAACAGCAGAATATCCTTTAGGGGGTTTTAAGAGCAACAGTCAGCTTCATAGCTGGAGGCAGAGGAACATTTTTTCACAAAGTGAAATTCATTTATTCTAGATGTACAACAAGATTTATAGGAGCTACTGGTTACGCTTTCTAACTAATCTATAATTGCTTAAAATCAATGTTACACAACTTCAAGTCTATCGGCAAAATTTCTTGTTCCAGCTAAGAATGGCACATGCCTGACAGATATTTCTAATCTCCCATTCCTTATCCAGAGCAGACATTTCAATCTGTACTGTTTCCTTGATGTGGCTTGTAACTGATGGCATTTAGGACATACTTCTTGAGGGAACAACAGAAACAAGGAGGTCATTTTCACCTTCTCCTGGCTCCTTCTCTTCTGAAGCAGGCCATAAACCCTAGTCAACCTCCTCCTGAGGTGGTTATAAAACCTTCATTAGAGATATGCCCTTCCCAAACCTGTCTTATCTCTGAAGACACAGGGACAAAGAGAATATTCTGAACAAACAGGACTTGCTAAGTTCCCCCCAGTTAATTACCATTAGACTATACCCTTTGGTCCTTCAGTCATACTTCTGCACAACTGTCCATAAAAAACACATGTTTCCCTGTTTCTTTGGGTCTTCATTTATGAAGGCTCCCACATCACATAAAACTTTAATTTGTATGCTTTACTCTTGTTAATCTGTCTTTTGTTATAGGACTCTCAGTCATGAACCTAGTGATGGGAAAGAAAGATAATACTTTTTCTTCTCTACAGAATGAACCCTCAACATACTGCTCTAATGAGCTACTAGTTAATGACAGTTGGACATCCCTGTTTTATGCATATAATATGGGAAGGTTTAGCCAGTTCATGGCTTTATCTGCTACTTATTTGCTGATAACACTTAAATCTAAATGTAAATCTCTCCTGATCTCTACATCCATATATATTTAGTTACCTCTTAGTTAGTTGAAAGCACCTCAAATTCAGCATGCCTAAAATGAAACTTACAATTTTCCTTCATTTCCCACCTTCCTCTTCTGTAGCCACTGTCTTGCAGCTGATAGAACTATCTACCTACCTGCACGTCCTCTCCATCTTCCCCTTCTCTGACAGTCAGTTCTGTGGAGCATACCTTTACATATTTCTTATGTACATGTCTTCCTTTCTGTCGCTATTGCCTCTGCCATAATTTGGCTCTTCATCTTGGATCCCTAGATCACTGCATGTGCCACCCTTTTGACCTCTTTGCCTCTACTTTAGTTTGCTCTCCTCCAAGCCGTTCCTCACCCTGCTAGAAAATAAGTCAGTTTTCACTCTCTGCCTCTCTTGAACTATTGCAAACACAAATGTATGCAAAATAGTAGAACATTCGTGTATTTACCTCTAGGAATTAACCAGTGTCGACATATTGTCAACCTAAAATAATCAAAAGGGTCAGAGTCTAGTTGAAAGAAGGTTTACTCAAGCAAAAAGTTTGGACTAGCCACAGGGGAAACACAGACTCCAAAGAATGGAAGGCAGTGTTCCAAAGTGTAAAAGCATAGGATTGCTTATATAGACAAAACGTAGGGAAGTTTAACCCAATTTTAACATCTTTCTATGTTAGGCTTAATGCATACTTACAATGATTTGATTAGTTAAGGCGCTCTTTTTCTTTCTGGAAAGATATTTAACGTTCCACATTGAAGATGTAACTGTCATGGAGTCTTGGGTGCCATCTGGTCTGAGTTAGGTAAGGACAATAAAGAAGGCCAGTTAATCTGTAACAAAGGTCAGTGATTGGAAGCAGGGAGGTTTGGTCTCTCCTAGTTATTTACAGAACCAATACAATGAAAAGAGAGATAAGCTAAAATCTAAGAAACAGAATTGCAAACATGTTAAGTGATTCAGTCTCCAGAGCTTTACTTCTTCCTCGGCATAAATTTAGAGGGTTGTATTTGCTTCAGAACTTTCTTGCATTGAATCCAAGGAAAGGATGAGAATATCTTTGATAAAACCAAAGCTTTCACTCTCCCTAGTCTCCTTTCCTCTTGCTTTTCCTACGTGCAACCAAAATTGCTTCCTACCCCACTTGTTAAAAAGTGTTATTGAATAGAGAATGTAATTCTAACAATTACCTTTTCCATCCTGATCAAGTTTATTTTTAGCTATATTAAACAGATCTAATTTAAGAGGGAAGTCTAAAAAGAAAAAATATTTTCTGTTTGCTTTACTCTTGAAAAGATATGACAAGCATGGTTTATATCCAGATTTTTCTATATTTGAGTAGATTTACCTTATTATTACTATTGGATTTCAGTTTTGTTTTTTTTTTTTTTTTTTTTTTTGGAGACAGAGTTTTGCTCTTGTCAGCCAGGCTGGACTACAGTGGTGTGATCTCTGCTCACTACAACCTCTGCCTCCCAGGTTCAAGCGATTATCCTGCCTCAGCCTCCTGAGTAGCTGGGATTACAGGCGCCCGCCACCACGCCGAGCTAGTTTTTGTATTTTTAGTAGAGATGGGGTTTCACCATCTTGTCCAGGCTGGTCTCAAACTCCTGACCTCAGGTGATCCACTCGCCTTGGCCTCCCAAAGTTCTGGGAATACAGGCATGAGCCACCGTGCCTGGCTGGATTTCAGTGTTTTTAAAACTTTATGTCCTTTTTAGGAGGGGTGTTTTGAGACAGATATTTTGGACTCTCTTTCAAAATAACTAACCTACCAGGAACTACAAGTTATTTATTTAGCAATAATATCTTGAAAGGTGTTTAAACACACACTTTTATTTTAGCATTGTGATTTAAATAACAAAGGCTATTTCTTTACATTGGTCTGAGTCTTATTTGAATAGAGTCATATTTACACTGTCTGTTCCTTAGTTACTTTATATAAATTTTTGAAGCAGTCTCAGTCTTGGCTGGTTAGGCTTTTTTGTTCTTTTAAATGGCTGTTCACTGTAAACGACTTTGAACTTTGTGTGTTTGAAATTTTTAATAATGTTGGGAAAATATATATTCAGCCAATATTTCTGCTTTATTTCTAACAATCAATTGGTGACCCAACCCCTTCCACCAAAAACCAGAGAGACATAGATTAGAAGGAAGGAACTATGTCATGGTCACTCTTTTGGTAGTGACTGTTATAGCATATTTTAAGAAATAAAAGTAAAATTTTAAGCCCCCCAGCCAAGGGAACCCTGGAGAAACCTTGGAAGTTGAGTTCCCAGCCATGATGGAATGGGAG
This sequence comes from Homo sapiens, assembly GCF_000001405.40. Classification (NCBI taxonomy): domain Eukaryota; kingdom Metazoa; phylum Chordata; class Mammalia; order Primates; family Hominidae; genus Homo; species Homo sapiens. The sequence goes on from NC_000006.12 coordinate 60,395,074, forward strand.
GTTGGACATGCCTCATTATGCCCCATCCCTTGCTAACTGCCATTAGGCTAAACAGAAATGAGCCCTCAGGAAAGACTCATTCCATCCCTGATATCAACCAACCACCTGATGCTCACCCTTCCCTTTGCAGTTTCCACCCAACAGTTTACCAACATTCCCTCCTGACAAGAGACTACTAACTACAGAGTGGTTCAGGCCAGTCTATGGAGGATGCGCAGTGAGGGTTTTCATATTCTCTGCTTCACTATCCGATGCCGGAAAGCTCCACCTTTGGATCACGCTAATGCCGCCATTTTTTTACACATGACTCATGAAGGGACGTGAACCTTAATTGCATGTGTGCATGCTTCTCCTCTCATAAATATTCATGACTCCTCCTATAGCTTATTAAATATGTGTATTTGGCTACCCTGTTCAGCATAAATTCCTGTTTCCTTTGCTCCTCCCTCAAAGTGTCTGTTTCTGGCTTCTGGGCAGAGGCTACACTTCCTAGTCTATCAGAATGGCCATCCGGCAGGCTGCAACCCTTTATGAGAAATAAAGCTTCTCTTTCCAGATTTATGAACCTCATCATTTTTCAGCTGACAATCCATAATTTGAGTTTTGGACTGCTAGTTTTGGGTTACTTGTTTCTTTTGAACCAGGAGGTCACAGTTTCAACTACATTGCAGGGTAGTGCACTTGCCCTCATTTTAACAGAAGGACTTGGATATTCCATTTAGCTGGAAATGAAAAGAGAAACGCGTATGACTCCTCTACCTGATAGGACATGTTTACTAATGAAAACAGTTAGAAATACAAGATCAAAAGGATCGGTGTCTAGGGCAGACTTTTCTAAACTTATGCCTCTGTTGGAAATATTTCAGAGGGGTAAACCTTACATTCACTCTACAAAACTTAGTGAGTATATACTGCATGCCATACCATGGGCTGTTCTAAGCAGTCGGGGGAAAGTGATGACAAGATAGAAGAGGTTCCTGCCCTAACAGAGCTTATATTCTTGTGATGAGAGAAAGACACAGTAAGAAAATTAATCAGACAATTTCAGATAGTGATAAATGTTGTGAGGTACCTGAGTAATAGCTAGAATACCCTGCTGCTTTACGAAGGGTTAGGGAATACCTACTGCTTTACCAAACCTTTGTTGGGAAAGTATAGATTTAGTCAATATTTCTGCTTTATTTCTAACAATCATTTAGTGACCCAGCCCCCTCCACCAAAAATCAGAGAGACATAGATTAGAAGGAAGGAACTATGGCTGGGTGCAGTGGCTCATGTGTACGATCCCAGCACTTTGGGAGGCCGATGCGGGTGGATCACTTGAGGTCAGGAGTTCGAGACCAGCCTGGACAACATGGTGAAACCCCATCTCTACTAAAAATACAGAAATTAGCTGGGCATGGTGGCACACACCTGTAATCCTAGTTACTCAGGAGGCTGAGGCAGGAGAATTGCTTGAATGCGGGAGGCGGAGGTTGGAGGTTGCAGTGGGCCAAGATCACACCACTGCACTCCATCCTGGGTGACAAAGCAAGGCTCTGTCTTAAAAAAAAAAAAAAGAAGGAACTATGTTGTTGTCAGTCTTTTGGTGGTGCGTGTTATAGTATATCTTGAGAAATAAAATTCTAAACCCTTGGTAAAGCATCAGTTACTCTTTACCAAAGGTTAGGGAAGGCCTCTGTGAGGAGGTGATATTTGAGCCAAATCCCAAATGATGTGAAGAAATTTTCCATGAAAAAATTTGGGAATCTTGAAGACTGAAAATCTGTGAGGTAAAGTGAATCTTGAATAGTGCTGTCCTGTTTTGAGGGGTGAGGGACTCAAAGGAGACAGAAGTGCTCTGAGATTAGGTGAAGGCTTCTGGCCATGCCAGCAACTAGTTGCTTATGGCCTGAGGAACCTGCTTTCCTCATGCATAAAATGACAAAGTTGGACCAGGCACCTCCAGACTCTCTTTTGTCTCTTGTACTTTGAATGTATTTGACATTTATTGGCATTTTTCTTTATTTTTATGATTTACAAGGGTACAAGTGTAGTTTTGTTACATGGATATATTGTGTAGTGGTGAAGTCTAGAGTAACCACCTGATTTATTGGCATTTAATGGAGGATTATTAGTTGGTAAAAATGCATTATTTTTGTAACCAGATAGATGTCAAAGGGCAAAATTTACCCAGTAATACTAATTTTTAAAATGAGATTTATATAAGAGTTAGTGATCTGTTATACTTGTCTAAAAACAGTGGAAACTGTATTAGTTAATTCAGTGGGCTAATATAGTTTTAATAATGAAAGGACATCTTAACTCACCCCTAACCTTTCAACAATAATGAGAAATAAGCTATAAGTTATGCCAAATTGTATGATGGTTTTCATGAAATAGCCCAAACTTAGACAACTCATTTAGGCTTTGCAGATGCAAACTGTGATAGATCTTCCTTCTCTTTCATTCTTGGTGATTTATGTGTCCGGTACATTGTTGTGTTTTCTATAAAAAGAAAAAAAAATTAAAACATAGTTGGAAGCCAAAGTCGATTTAACCGGATAGATATAGCTTTCTAGTTGTAGAGGAAATGCTAAAAATCTCATTGTGGCAGTGTATTGCTTTCTTGGAAGGCTTGATAATTGTTACTTAGTTTAGTTTTGATTTATATTTAGTTTTGCTCAAAGCAGGAATTTGAAAAGCTTTATGAAACATAGACATATACTTTCATTTTTATCAATTAATGAAATTACATACTTGCTAAACTAAACATCTGTTGTGTTGCAAGTGCTAGGGATGCGGTTACCACTCACAGTCCAGTGGATGTAAGTAGTAACTACGTTAGCTCAGAGAAAAATTTCAGAAGAAATGGAGCCAACAGTTCCTAAAATGAAGTTTGCATTCTGTCAGCAAAAGGTTAGCAGATGGGTTTGCCACTTTAAAGAGCTTTGGAATAGCTTTATTATTTCATATCCTTAACATGAAGAGATGCATGCTCTTTTTGTAAATGCTAATTGTTTTAAAAGTTGAAAAGAAAACCTTTGGAAAACTCAGAAATCTTCCTTGAAATAATTTTACTCAGAGCATTGGCCTCTCCCTGGTTTAGGAATCATTCTTGCCAGAGATTCAATCTCGAAAGTAAGTTGGAGGTGGGAAGGGGAGGATGGGAGAACTCAAATCATCGAGCACATGTGTTCCAGAAAACTGGAGCTATGGAAAATTTCTACCTGATGTGCTGTCATTGTGTTTTGTGGAATTGGCAGAAGCTGTATAGTCAGTCAATCATTCTGTGCCTATTGTTTCAGTAATGCCGCCTAAAAGGAAAATTTTAAGAAAATGTCTGATGAAAGACTGATGTAATAACTTTACCCTCGGAGCCAGAGGGAATTACTACATGATTTTAATTAGGGGTGTGGTTAATTTTCATTTTGAAAATTTCACTCTGACCTTGGTATAAATTAGGGAAGGGGCAAGAATGGCAGCAGAAACAACAGTGGAGATGTATTAATAGTTTAGGGAAAAGGAAATGAAGACTGAAATTAAGATGAAGGGGTAGATGTGAAAATCTTTCCTATGTGGACTTAACAGATGTCTAGAATATTTTGCTGTTACTGAGGTGTTTTTCGTTTGCCTCTATTAGAAAGCATACTATATAGATTGACAGAAGTGACTGAAAAAGCCCACTCTGTCCGCTCTGTTTTCAGAGCACTGACTTTTGAAATGTCTAGATAAATCATTTAAATTGTTTTAGAACACAGCTTTGGTTCTGAGACATGAAATCTTTTGAACAATGAAAATGGCACTTTGTAACAGGATTTGACATTAACAGATAAAGGATGTATTAAAGTATTAAAGTGTTTTGTTTATAGAATTTGATAACCTTGATAACATCTTATATGTTACATATATGTTACTTAGTATTTTTTTAATACTTAGTACTTAGTATTTTAATACTTAGTATTTTTCAGGGATACTGAAAGTCTGTTGATTGTGCTAAAATTGCAGCAGATTAATTGTCTCTATTGTATTTTAAATTAGTAACTGTCGACATGTTGACTCTTGTACAAAATTGGGAAAGCTTCTCCATTATTATTAGAATATGGCACTTTGGTCAACTTTTTTTCAAAAATATAAAAGATATTTTTAGATGATAGTTTTATTTGCATAATATAAAAATTAGATTTGATGAATTAAATGTTTTCCATTTTTAGGAAATTGTAATTAATGTATGAAAAAAATTAAAAAGAGAGCATACACTATATAAACCCAAAAGATATCTTTCAGTTTGTTGCTTGTCTTAAGGTTCTTTTTCGTGAATTGTTAAATGATTGATTAGTAAAATATGAGAACCATTTTGATCATAATTGAATCTTGAAGAGATTTATCTTTTATTTTTGTTTTGATGTTTTATTAAGTTTACCTCAAGCTATCTGATTACTTTGAAAGAATGTCGTTAATTTCCTTGTGTCAAATTCTTTTAAAAAGGCATTCTCTTAAGAACAGAGAAGAAAATAGAGATACATAGTTATATAATTAATATTATTGTAATAAAATAGATCATAAATTCACATTTTGATGATATGCTGTCAAGTTGGTACACAGTATTGGCTCTGACTTCTTATTTCCTAGCTCAATTTGAGGTCATATTTCAATATTAAATACTTTGAGTTGCTTCTGTATACTTAAAAGATATCCTTGGTTCCTTATAGTCATGTGGCTGACAGAATAAAGTACATACACTTCTGTATGTAACCAGTTTCACAGTGGCTTAGCTATAAATCAGAATTTATCTTTCCAATTTATTCATCATCTTAGGACTCGGTGCTACAAGATAGGTTGTTATACAGTTTTACATTTAGAAGTTTTTCCTTTTTTATTTACAAAGATAATAGTCTCATAAGTGAATGCTTTTTCATGAACTCAGGACACTCCCTTTTACTCTCTGTTTTGCTCACCTTTTTCTTTACTTTTAAACTTAGTGACATACCCTATGTCCTTAGAACCATGTAGCTAGCTTTGATCATGTAATGTGTCAGGTTTTTATATAATTTCTTGATTTGAAAAAAGAGAAATAGAACCTTATATTTTTAAGTATTGCCTCCCTATTTGCCCTTCAGCTCGTTTTACATTTAGTATTCAAATATGTTCGGTGTTCGGCCTTTGCTGTTTTTACTAATTTTCTTCCCTGCTTTTAGTTAACAGCCAGGTCCTTGCCTGCTGTGCAGTCTGATGAAAGACTTCAGCCTCTGCTCAATCACCTCAGGTAATCTAAAGGCACAGCCTTGTTATGCTTATAAATCCAAGTGCAGTAAAGTGAATAAAGTATATTAAAGTGGTGAAACCGCTTCAATTACTAAAAACTTATTTTTTTTTCTTGCTTTCATTCCATTATTCAAATTGAAGTTCTTAGTACCATGTACTTGTTACCCTTGACTTTAGGGCACTGTAGAAAGCTCTTTTAATTCAACAACAGTGTGCTGAACTGCTTGACAAGTTTAAGTTAAATGAGTAGAGATAACTAACTTTACAGAAAGATCTCAAATGAATGAGCTATTTACGTAAATACAAGGTTAAGGCATACTTTTATTGAGGATAGATGAGTTAGATGGAGTTTGTTTCTAAATACAAAAATAATATAGTCTCATTATTTAAAAAATAAAGTTAGAAAATACAGGAAAGGAAAAGGAAAAACCTATCATTACTACTCAGAAATAATATTTATCTTTTCTATGTTTTTTAATTTTAATTTTAATTTTTTATTTTTTGAGATGGAATCTTGCTCTGTCGCCCAGGCTAGAGTGCAGTGGTGCGATCTCCGCTCACTGCAACCTCCGCCTCCCAGATTCAAGCAATTCTTGTGCCTCAGCTTCCCAAGTAGCTAGGATTACAGGTGTGGGGCACCTCGCCTGTTTAATTTTTGTATTTTTAGTAGAGACAGGGTTTCGCCATATTGGCCAGACTGGTCTCGAACTCCTGACCTCAGGTGATCACCTGCCTCAGCCTCCCAAAGTGCTGGGATTACAGGCATAAGCCACCGCACCCTGCCCTTTCTATGTTTTTGTTGTTGTTGTTGTCGTTGTTGTTTTTCACTTAGTGTTGAAATTATAGTTTATGTGACTATTTTTTCCATTTTTATAAATATTGTAATTTTTTTCCCTTAGTATTAAAATCTTTCTAAAAACATTATTGTTAGTGACTACATTATATTTTCTTGTATATCTGTACTATAGCATATTCATCTCCCTTTGGGAAGCTTTAGACCATTTCCAGTTTTTTATTACTACTATAAAATAATGCTATATGTTAACCTTTATTTGTATTTTAGATCATTTTCTTAGGGTAGGTTTTCAGAATTGGGATTACTTTGTCAAAGCGTGTGAACCATTTTAAAGATTTAAGTGTATACGTATATTTCTTTTTCAAAATCTTATTCTACCTATACACTCATATTTGTAAAAGACTGCCATGTAACTATACTCTGAACAAGATAGGGCAGTCAAAACCGTTGCTAATAGGTTAGACATAGAGATACTGTTGTGATCCTGTGCATTTTGTTGGTAATAATAATTCATTTTCCTTATTTGTGAGGTGGGATTAACTACCTGTATTCTTTGCTCACTTATTGATAGCATCTCCTGATCTTATTTGCTTTTACATACTTTAAAGGATAGTGACTCTTTGTTGTATTTGTTACATAGTTTTTTTCTAAAATTCTAAAATTGTATTAGTCAACATACCTACATATTCAGGTTTTATGTAGTCAAGCACCAATAGTGTTTTCTTTATGGTTTTGAAAAATTCTTTTTAAACTTCTCTTTCAGAAGTGTGGATAGATTTTTACTTTCACCAGAAAGTTTTAGTTTTAGTTTTCTTTTTCTTTCTTAGTATTTCTTTATTTTTCCTTTCTTTCTTCCTCCCCTCTCCACTTTCCTTGCCTTTTCTTCCTGCTCTCCAGTAACTGTTCCTTCCCAGACAGCTTTTTAACCTTTGTATAATTGTTTTGTTGGGTTACGAAGAAGTCGTAACCTTTGTGTAATTGTTTTGTTGGGTTGATCAAGTCTAATATTTCAGCAGGGACTGAATAGCATACATTTTTATGTATAACAACATTTATACATGATTGTTAAATTTACTAGAGCTCTGTGTTAGTGAGTTAACAATCTCAGAAATTATTTTTGAGTCTCTTGCTTAATGCCCACCTGCCACATTCAACTCTGTTGGCAATTTTATCTCTTAAGTATATCTCTTGCTATCATAGCATCTTGTCTGCTTGCTTTGCCCTTTCTGATATATTTCACAGCATTGCCATATGTGTTTATATTATTCATTGGCTTAAGACCCATCTCTGCCTCTCCAATTTCATTCTGGAGGAAGTCCGAATTTCTTAGCCTGGCATAAGAAGTCCTTCTGGAAGAGGCCTGGGCTATCTGTCTCTTTGGACTCCTGTTTTAACACTGAGATCCTAATTTCACCAAATGCCGTGAAGTTCCTTTAACACAACATGATTTTTGCTCACTCACCTCTACGGCGTTACAAATATTTTTCCTTCTGCCACTTCTATTTATGTAAATTTGTAGATATATAATATATATATAATTTTAAAACATTTTAAATGTATTTAATATAATTTTAAGGTATTTTAAATGTATTTAATTTAATTTTAAAACATTTTAAATATATAATATAAATATATATTTTAGAAATATATATTTGAAATATATTGTAGATGTATATAAATGTGCAAATCTATTTATATTCTCCTCATGCTCCACTTTTATAACAACTTTTGCTTGTCTTTTAAAACTCATCTCAAACATTACCTCTTCTGATAAGTTTTCCCTGACCATTAATTAGTTCACCTCCGTAGTCTGAATTGGAAGTCTTTTATAGATATTTTCATAATATCCCATGCCTTCCTCTGTATTACAGAATTTGTGATATTGTTATTGTTTGTTTACTGTTTGATTTCTCCATTATAGTATGCTTGAAAGCTTGTAAAGTGATGTTCATATTTGTATTTTCAATAGCGGAGACAGTATCTGGTGTGTGATAGGTATTATATGTTTTGTTGAATGAATGAATACAAGTTATATTAGTGAAATTTTCTTGTTTTTTCTGCATAAAGTTTTTATAATTTATAAATCATAATGTCAAATTTTTTTTCCTAGAAAACCACTGGTTCAAAAGGTAAAAACCTAAAGGGTAGAATCTAGCTTCTAGTTAATCTCACAGTTGATTCTGAGAGATAATGATGGATTCTCCTTCCTCCGTCTGAGTATGGTAATTGCCAGCTAGAATTTAGATTAACTACTGGCACATCTCTTTGAGTCCTTGAAAGTTGCACAAACTGTACATTCATTTAAGGGCTTTTATTCTCTGTGGATTTCACTCATGACTGGTTGCTAGGCAACCAGGACTGGATGCTACATGTAATGTGCACCCACTGCTGTTGCTTTATTATTATTATTAAACAAAACGGTTTCTCATTTTATTACCATGTCAGAGACATGTATATGTCGGGTGGCAGCTGATGTGCATAGTTTGACACTTCCTGTTCTACAAAGTAACCTTGTATAACGCCTTTCAAGAATATTGAATTGTTGCTTTTGCTTGTCTAAATGTAATGTTTTTATTTTATCTTCCTTTTGCTTAGTTCTAAATAGGAAATAATATTATTTGGTTTGAGAGATTTTAATAATAATTTTGTTAGAAAAAAATTGATTTGCATGAACTGTGTAATTTAAATGTTACCTAGAGGCGGATGGACATTAGGAGGTTGATACCGAGATCATTATTAGGTCTAATTTTGTTTATTGCCTCTAATGAGGAAAGAGGAATGATGAGTAGCATTTTAATTAAATTTGTCAATAAAACTAATTTGGGAGATAATACAAACACCTGTAAAAATTGAAGTAGCAATACAGAGAAATTCTCAAATCATTTTACAGGATTTAGAGACTCAAAGAGAATTAAGGTAACACTGCCAATCAAATAATCTAGAATATCGCTTAACAATATATATTATTTTGAGACTGCAGAAGTGATGTGTCCAAACTGTTTTAGTTGAATCCAATTCTCAAGTACAGAAAAACATCGTGCTTCAATATCTTATGGCAGTACAACTGTGTTTTTAATTCATTAGTATCGTCCATTCACTCATTAATTACTTAGTGCCCGTTATGTGCTTAGAATTTAAAGAAAACACACAATCTCTGTTTTCAGGGAGTTGGGTTTGATTTCATTTGAGAGATAGGCACTTGAACAAGTTATAAAATTTGTATCATTTTCTATCAGAATTAAATACAATGTACATAATTTTGTTAATTGAACTGTCTCCCTCGTGGAATTATCTCCTCAAGTAATCGGGCCATAACTTAATTGTTTTGGTTTCCGTGCATTCTAGCACAGTGGCTCACAGTGGGAGCTCAGATTGGACTGAAATTTATTCTTTTTTTGTTGTTTTATTCTTAGTCAGCTTTCTCAGGCTGAATGGACTGAACTGTAATCTCACTTGAGGGATAATATTGTCATTAACTAAGAAGGAGAATAAAGAAAGGAAGACAAGGCAATTAGGGAATGAATATGATTGCTTAGATGGTAATTTCAGTAGTTTCAGACATTTTAAGCTTGAGATACCCGTGGGGACCTATGTGGGGGATGTTTAGTAAGCAGTTCAATACAGACCCACAGTTGAAGAGTGAGGTTTACATCAGGGAGACATTTGCTAATCATCACTGTGCAGGTCTTGGTTAAAATAAAGGGAATGGTTGAGATCACCCAGGAAGAGAGTATAGAGAGACAAGAAAAGGGTGAAGGGTTCTGAATCGAACCCACAGAATATCAGTGTTTAAATGACTTGTGATGGGCAGTGCGGGAGTTGGGATATGAGAAACCGGTAAAAATATCAGGGAGGAGCCTTGAACCAAAAAGGATAGTGGTATGATGGGTGCTAATGGTATGGATACAAGTCCAAGTCTTATGAGGATTTGAGGAATAAATAAGAAATGAGGCTGTGGAGATATAGGGAATAGGCTACTCTTGGTAGAGCTTAATTCTGAGGACATGTAAGGAAAAAAGACTGCATCTGTGAGCTTCATGGTTGAAGAAAGTGTTTTATTTTTTCCTTAAGATTGGTAAGATGAGCATATTTACAGGTTAAGGCAGAAATGAGTAGTATGGGAGTAAGACGGACTAATTGAAGGGGCAATGTTTTAGGAGGGGTAGAAGGGGATAGGCCAGGAAATCAAACTGACTGGAGTTTAAAAAGTACTTTCCAATCTAGCTTTTTGGTGCATACTCAGAACAATCCAGTGTGGATGGTAGATGGTTATTTATCATAATCCCTATTTTACAGGTTGGTGATGGAGCCTCATGATGTTCTCATTAAGAAAACCTAATTTTTCTTTTTCTTTCTTTTTTTTTTTTTTTGAGACAAAGTCTCACTCTGTCGCCCAGGCTGGAGTGCAATGGCATGATCTCAGCTTACTGCAACCTCCTCCTCCTGGGTTCAAGCGATTCTTCTGCCTCAGCTTCCTGAGTAGCTGGGACTACAGGCATGTGCCACCACATCCAACTAATTTTTTATTTTTAGTAGGGATGGGGTTTCATCATGTTGGCCAGACTGGTCTCTAACTCCAGACCTCAGGTGTTCTGCCTGCCTCGGCCTCCCAAAGTGTTGGGATTACAGGTGTGAGCCACTGTGCTCACCGTGCACCAGCCAAGAAAACCTGATTTTTCTAATGAAAAATACTGCCTTTCCCTCTCCTCAAAAGAGATGAATTAATTATTTCATAAGACCATACCATTTTTCAAAATTGATACCAGGAACTTTTCTATTGGAAGAAATAAACTTACTTAGACTTACAATAATATGAAGTTTAGAGAGAATTTGTATAAATCATTATTTCTGCTTTCACCAAATTGCATATGATTAGATATGTAATCTAAGGAGCCTGCATCTCATTGTGGCTTTACTGTCATTCTTATGGTTATATATCACTGCATTTTCTAGGGTGAATTATATCGTTCACTGATTTGGTAGTTTGGAGATACATAAAGGTCTTGGAATATGTTCCCATGAATGTAGAAGTTTATTGTAAATAAGTATCTTTGCTATCCTAATGATGGTACCATGGGATAATATTTATAAAAATGGCATTAGGCTAGCAAGTGTGCATGATAAAGATGTTTATTTTTATTTATTATCTCACTTATAAATATGAAGTATAAATAGGTACAACTAGAGAGGAAAACTTGCAGCCCATATTATACATGTGATAACTTTTAGTTGTATGATTGAGAATTTTTCCCCCTTAAAAATAACACCTACAGTGTATGTATCTTCCTCCTTTATCCCTTGACTTCAAGATATGAAGTGCATTGGGGGACAGCATATTATAAGTCACTGTAATAGTTGCTATTATTGGCTGGACGCGGCGGCTTATGCCTGTAATCCCAGCACTTTGGGAGGCTGAGGCAGGCAGATCACTTGAGGCCAGGAGTTCGAGACCAGCCTGTCTCTACTAAAAATACAAAAATTAGCCCACTGTGGTGGTGCACACCTGTAATCCCAGCTGCTCAGGAGGCTGAGGCAGGAGAATCACTTGAACCTAGGAGGCAGAGGTTGTAGTGAGCCAGGATCGCGCCACTGCACTCCAGGCTGGGCAACAGAGCAAGATTCTGTCTCAAAAAAAAAAAAATTGTTATTATTTAATGTTTTGTCATTAAAGAATAACTCATTTTTAAAATGTGTATTTGTCACACCACAATTTTGTGAGCATATTTCAGCCCAAGAATGAATTAGAAATCAAACAAAGATAAAGCAAGCTAAGACAAGTATTACTTATAGTAAGTACTTGGACTGCATCATATGGATTAACTTTTAGTGCATACTGATTTTGCAAGCAGATGTTTATACAAACTGTTATTTTAAAATCATTTAAAGTAATAAAAGCATCTTCCTTCAGTTGGTATTATTACTACTTTTGTAAAATTCCTTTTCCGAAGGCAGTACATTTTGTTAATATGCACACATTTCTACTTATTTTTCTAAAGAATATGCTTTCACAAATTTTTTATCAGACATATAATCTCTGTAAGAAAGCTTTTCTTACTATCCAAAGTGGTACAGCTATCATTGTTTTCTTTTTGAATTAGTTCTCATTTTGAAATCAGAAATTGTGTGGGCATTCATGTGTCTATTGTGGTAAATATGAAAATAAACGCCAGAAAATGGTTTAGTAGATAGGGGCTTCATCAGTTGAGGGCTGAAATGAAAGCCTCATTAGCCTGGTCCACATGCTTCAGTTGTTTGTTAGCTCTTTCTCATCACCTGTTTCCAGTCTCTGGCAGTACCTTGAACATTTATTTCCTTTTCTACATGCAGCAGCACAAACTTTTAGTTCACTGATTATAGTGAAGGTTTTCCAGGTGCTGTGTAAGATATTAATAAATTAGAATATATTGTTTTCCATTGTCACCTTTGAATTACAATTTTTTCACATCTGTATGGAAAATGTTAATGCCTTCTTAGAGGTATACTTGTGAATAGTCAGCATTTTGTTAGAATCAGCCCGTTGTGTTAAGGGCACTATAATTGGTACTGATTATGTACAAAATAACTAATAGATGTGGTCCCTTAACTCAAGGTGCTTATATTTTTAAGGGGAAAGAGGACCAAAATTTATAAATAGTTTCCCCCTCCCCACCCACACACATACCCAAAGCTGCACCGGAATAGTTGCTGCAAGTTAAGTAGATAGTAAAGAGAGTGATAGGAAGTCTTATGAGAAGCAGTATCTGCATGTGGATTATGTTACAAATTTAATGTCATTTAATGTTTTTGGTAAAATGTATAGTCACAATATATAAAATCACCTCCCTCCCTAATGCAACCAACACTAAGCTTCTTTTGTGAACTTGATGCATACTTTAATTATAAAGTGGTTAACTTTTAAAATTTTCACTTAATACGTTATAACTAGGTAATAAAGTAGAAAATTGATTTTCATGACTCCAATTTTAAGTATCTGCATAATAGTCAATCAAGAATAGATATATCTACTTTTACTTAGCCATTGCCATTTTATCAGATATGTATAGCTTTTGGGATTGAATAAACCTGTGGCAAAAAATTATAGAATGTGAACAGTTTCTGTGTGTTCAGCCAAAGTAACTGAGAAGAAATACTGTAGTAACTTTATGTAGAAGGAATTGCATCATAGATGTTTTCCAGCAGATCAGATGGAGATAAGAACAAAGAACAGCAGCAGCCTAGGTGGTGTATAGCTTTGAAAATACAGGGAAGTTCATTAGTCTAAAAATGCCATCTTGCCCAAGTGAGAAAGTGGCAGATTTCTTAACAAGTGAACGAGTGACTTGAAATAGGTGGAATTGAGGAAGCCAGATGTTAAAGCTTATTAGCGTGTGTAGATTAGAGCCTTTATAGCCATTTTTTCAAACACTCCCTTAGAATATTTAAAAATCACTCGTGTCATATGTCTGTGTGCGTAAGTACATTGTATATATATTCCCTGATATTTAGCAATGACACTAGCATTTTTATATAAAGAAAATAAAAAGTGACCAGTGTATTAGTTTTCTATTCCAGCCTTAACAAATGCCACACATTTAGTGGATTAAAACAATGCCCATTTATTATCTCACAGTCTGTAGGTTAGAAATCGGACATGGGTCTTGCCAGGCTAAAATCAAGGTGTCAGCAAGGCTTATATTCCTTACCGGAGGCTCTGGGGAAGAATTTACTTCCAAGGTTATTTAAGTTGTTGGAGATCCTGTTTTTATGCTGGCTGTCAGTTGAAGCCTGGTCTTTCCTCCTAGAGGCTGCCCACATTCCTTCTCATGCTTTCCATGATTTCCTAGAGGCCTCTGAAGTCCTTGCCTGTGGGTCCCATCTCAGAGCCTTCCCATGCTTCAGATCTCTCTAACTTATGCTGCTGTGTCACACTGCCTCCAACCTGAGAAAGTTTTCTGCTTTTAAAGGCCCGTGCGATTAGATCAGACTACAGGGATATCCAGGATAATCTTTTCATCTAAGATCCTTAACCTTAATTACATCTGCAGAGCCCCTTTTACCATGTAACCTAACACATTCAGAGGACCCAGGAATTAGAGCATATGTGGAGGGTCACTGATTCGGCCTCTTATAGTGAAGGTTTTCTTTTGAGGTGGTAGTATGGAGTGAAAACAGCTTTTTGTATCACTTTTCATCAATTTTACACGTAAGTCACCATTCTTAATTTATGTAGAATACTAACGTTTCCTGGAGTTTTGTAGTTAATTTACTTTACTAGTTTAATATATCTTAAAGTTGAAAAAAGGTATAAGAAATGAGTTCTTAACAGAAATATAAAAAGTTACTGATTTTCTTTTTAATGCTATTGAAGGAAGATAGAAAAATCTTTCTTGTCTTATCAACCAGCTACCTAGAACAAGGCAAATAAACACTGCAGTAAATAGTAGACTTTGTAATGAGGTTACATATAGTGGCTGAGATGTACTGAGGTACTTTATGTGAGAGCTGTTCAGTAATACATGCTCACACACCTTTTAGCATTCTAAGAGTTTGTTTTATTTATTGTTTATTGGACACATATTAAAGGAACTCTTACTGGTTGCCTCACGTGATGTTAGGTTCTAGGGGTACATTTATTTCTGCCTTTGTAGGACTGAATAGTTATCAGTAAAAAGAGAAGTTTAACTAAAGTAATTATAATAAATCATGATGACTCTTGGCATAGTGGAGGTATGTGATTATATGAGAGCACGTAGCATCCTGGAAATAATGAAACTTTGCTTGTCACAGTGGTCTTGTAGCTTATCTCCAACCAGACATTGTAGATTTCCCTTAGTCCTCTGACTCCAAAGTTTCTCAGGAATTTCTGGATTGTGGATACAGGATACTGGGAGCCTTGTATGTATGCAGTAAGTCAAGAACCAAGATACTGCTGGAAAGTGAAATTTATGATTTCTTATGCTTTTTTAATAGTTTTAATATCTGCAGTTGTTAAATTTCCTATTCTTCACTCATTGGGTTTCTTTAAAACATTGATCGCTCTCTGGTTAAGTTACAAAGGAAAATTAGTGATTTTACACTGTGTTAGTCATGAAACACTAACAGTACAAAATAATAATGATGTTATGGGAAATAATATTCTTAAAAGGCCTGAGAAAGCATTGTGGCAGTATTGGTGATATATTAGCAACAAAAAGCAACTTGTTGAATGCTATGTAATAGAACTTTCTGTGATGATGGAAGTGTTCTATACCTGTACTGTTTAATCTGGTAGCCAATAGCCACTTACAGCTATTGAGCATTTGAAACATGGCTAGTGCTACTAAAGAACTGAATTTTAAATTTTATTTAATTTTAATTAATTAAAATTTTAATTTCAGCAACCAATTTTAGTTAATGGTATCTGTATTTGATAGTGTAGTTCCATATTGTATTGGAAATTTATTTAAATAATTACATATTTTTTAAAAATCATAGTAGTGGGGCTTAGAGTTTCAAATCTGAGGTAGCCCTGGAAAAGCTATATGTATGGAGCTGTTATAAGCAATTGTGGCCACTGAGGGTCATGAGGCTCCTAAGTCAGGGCAGCTCTCACATCTACTGGTGGGGATTTTGCCTCTGTACCTGAATGAGCTGTCCACCTGTGCAGGACTGTGGTAAGGATTCCATGGAAGAGGAATACTTGAAGCTGCCCAGCTAGCAAGCTGTGATTCCTGTCCTGGATCTTTCCAAGTAAACTGATGCCACAAGGGGTCTATGGCATAGTCATGTGAGTCTAAATGTTTAGTTAACCTAAGAGCACCCCCTGGCATTCCAGAACCAATTAACCTTTATTTACTCAGAGTAAACACAAAACAAAATTAATAAATTGAGCTGAGGAAAGGCAGACTACCAAGACTCACCAAAAGTTTAATGCACTCTCAATTGTTTCTAATTACTATTTGGAAAGTAGTGCTAGAAAGGATAATACAAGATTAATTTTAAATGCCCACTTTTAGTAGCGGTATCTTGGTTCTTGACTTACTGCATACATACAATCTACCAGGAACAGTCATCAAATGTGTACAGTGGTGGAAACAAACAAAAATGTGTATAGCGGTGCATCTTCTCAGGTCTTATTGAGGTGTGTCCTTAATCATCCAATGTAAAGTCACCCTCACAAGTGCTTTATAATATTTTCTCACTATGTTATGTTTTCTTCTCAGCAACATCACTAGTTGGAATGATCGTTTTAATTTGTTTGCTTGTTCAGTATTTTTTTGCCTAGGGTATGAGCTCCATTAGATGAAGGAATTTGGCCATCTTGTTTACCACTGTCTCCCCATTACTTATAAGAATGGCATAATAGGACCTCAGTAAACACTTGAATGAATGAACAAATGAATGAATGGATGAGTGAATTATAGAAACTGTCAGGTTAAAAAATTTTACCTTTAATTCCGTTTTCCAAGCTGCTAAATATTGAGACTGAATGAGATGGTAATTTGGACAAAAAGCTGATGGATTTTCTGTTATTTCCAAAGGATAACTATGATAAAGAAATGCTTTTTATCTTTGTAGAAATGTACTGCTGTTTTTATCTTTTGTTTTGGGACATAAGACTCTTCTTTATGCAATTAGGAACTAATCATGGAGGACAGAGAGTACTTTCTATTCCTCTGTGTGATCTCAGAAGTGCTCCCTCTTTTTCTTACCAATGACTTATTATTGGGGAACCTGCCCTGATATTCACGTAGGTTCTTTTCTATTTTCCTTAAGCGTCGGCCAGCTTGAGAAATAAAGGGACAGAGTACAAAAGAGAGAAATTTTAAAGCTGGGTGTCCGGGGGAGACATCACATGTCGGTAGGTTCCGTGATGCCCCACAAGCCGCAAAAACCAGCAAGTTTTTATTAGGGATTTTCAAAAGGGGAGGGAGTGTGCGAATAGGTGTGGGTCACAGACATTAAGTACTTTACAAGGTAATAGAATATCACAAGGCAAGTGGAGGCTGGGCGAGATCACAGGACCACAGGACCGAGGTGAAATTAAAATTGCTAATGAAGTTTTGGGCACCATTGTTATTGATAGCATCTTATCAGGAGACAGGGTTTTTGAGATCAACCGGTCTGACCAAAATTTATTAGGCGGGAATTTCCTCTTCCTAATAAGCCTGGGAGCGCTATGGGAGACTGGGGTCTATTTCACCCCTGCAGTCTCCACCATAAGAGATGGCTACGCCCAGGGGGGCCGTTCATAGGCCTACCCCCAGGCGCGCATTCTCTTTCTCAGGGATGTTTCTTGCTGAGAAAAGGAATTCAGCGATATTTCTCCCATTTGTTTTTGAAAGAAGAGAAATATGGCTCTGTTCTGCCCGGCTCACCGGCGGTCAGAGTTTAAGGTTCTCTCTCTTATTCACTGAGCAATTGCTGTTATCTTGTTCTTTTTTCAAGGTGCCCAGATTTCATATTGCTCAAACACACGTGCTGTACAATTTGTGCAGTTAATGCAATTATTACAGGGTCCTGAGGCGACGTCCTCCTCAGCTGACAGGATTAAGAGATTAAAGTAAAGACAGGCATAGGAAATCACAAGGTTATTGATTGGGGAAGTGATAAGTGTCCATGAAATCTTAATAATTTATGCTTAGAGATTGCAGTAAAGACAGGCGTAAGAAATTATAAAAGTATTAATTTGGGCAACTAATAAATGTCCATGAAATCTTCACAATCCACGTTCTTCTGCCATGGCTTCAGCTGGTCCCTCTGTTTGGGGTTCCTTACTTCCCGCAACAACTTATTCAAATGTTAACCACTTGTATTCAAAAACAAAACCAGCAACAAAACTGTTACATACCTTGCTCTTTTGATCTATGAAATGAAACCCTTAAACATTATGAGGCATTGTCAATGGCTATGTGAGACTGAAGTGGCGTATAAGGAAAGGATGTAATGTGACTGTTGGACTGTGACTTTTAATAATAATCCTCATTAACTGTTCCAGCACCCCCTACCAAAGCTCCCAAAACATTGTGGCAGTTAGTGGGGAACAAATGTGAGGGGATTATCCTAGAATGCCATAAATGTGTAATAGCTCATCTCAGTAACATTCCACATTGTGTAAATTATTTGTGGGGGAATGGGAAGACGTTGTCCATCATTTTAACGTATTAATTTTGCTGGATGTTGGAACTTTATTCCCTCGACCTCTCACTTTTTCATGACTAGCCTATTATGAATCCTTTCTTTATTGTAGTCATTTGACTATCCTGGACCCAACCCAAAACCAAAACCATCTGTATTTGGGTTCGTTATATTACTAGAATATATACTAAGAATATAGAGAGTAAAGGAACATAAAATTTTTACTCATGAAAATAGATATGTTTGTTGGGGGTCTTAAAGTTATATGGTGAAAATACCAGTGTAAAGCTGTAGTTTGAATATATGTTACAGGGGTGTATGTGTGTATTTTACTTTTAAAATCAATTTTATTGAGGTACAATTTATACACAAAAAATCCACCCATTTAAAGGGTATAGTTCAATGTCTTTTGACAAATGTACAGATATTTTTATAGAAAAATGAGATGCAACTTTCACTTATCTTGGAGTTCATTGGATTTTGGTTATAACTTGGAATAAATAGGAAAATATGGGCCACATGGGGAAGATGAGGGAAACATAAAATAAAATAGCAGTTGTACCATTTATAGTTCCTACCTGATATGGAAACCCGTATGGTTTCCATGGATATTTTAGCCTCTTGGAATCATACAATTTCTCCCAGTTATAAAGAAAAATAGATCATTATACTGCATGTTGTCTGATGGTAGTTTTCTGCGGAGACTTTTTTTTAAATAAAGTTGAATAAAATTTATGCTTGTGGAAAAATAATCTACATTCAACCAATTTAAAACAGAATTTTATTGATTGTGTTCTCATTTGGAATAACTGCAGGGAAAATCACCTGGGCTAATACAAGTTGGATATCATTTACTAGGGATTTAGCTGGAGAAAAAAAACCCAAACTCATTTCAATTTCCGTGGTGACAGCTGTTGACTGAATTTTCCTGTGATATCCTTCACTGCAGGAAATGATATATTGTAGCTTTGGTTCCTTTGATTTCCTACCCACCCAACAAATCCAAAGTGCAGGGACTGTGCTTTCTAAATGTCTGAGTGGCTTAGTTTATGTGGATAGGGTTTGTTTTTTTTTTTTTAACACCCTAAGTGGGTAAAATTGTGATTGCAAAAAATAGATATATGGGTAATGTACAGAAACATTTATTTCCTCTTTCTGAAATTGTTTTTCCATTTGTGCTATTATTACACCTGGCTTTATGTGAAAAGGCTGTATTGGAACTTGGTATACTTTTATGGAATGATGTAGGAGATTACAGTTCATTTTGAAAGATGTATTAGCTTACTTTTTAATGGTCCAAATAAATATGTTTCTTTGATGCAGAGATCAGTTTTGATTATTTGTGATGCTTTCTTCACTGCTTTTTTATTTTATGCTAGTTTAAAAAATATGATAAACTATAACCTGCCAGATAGAAAGGAGTAAATGGTGTTAACCTCTTTAGGCTTAAGAATACTGGGAAATGCTTGACAAAGAATGGAAATATGTTTTATATGTTATTGTCTTATGAACGTCAGAAACTCTGTCTGCTGGTGGGGAGGGAGGGCAGAGAAATACCCCCTGAGGATGAGGGAGGAATTCTTTACACTCTGGCTTAGGATTTTGCTGTAAGCCACATTTGCATCCTGTGTATTATGGCTTCTTACAAATGAGAGAAGAATGGACAGTTGCAATTAGGTATTGAGGTTGAGGTTGGCCAAGCAGCCCCAAAGCCTCGCAGATAAACATGTCACAGCTTTCTTTGTCCCCAGAGAAACAATTCAGGTTACCGCCAAGCTAATCAGAATTCAAGATTGCTTCCCTAATAGTATAAATGGCAAACTATGACTTAAATATAAAAACTTGATTCCCAAGTAAAATGTTGTAAAAACAAGCACAAGCACTTCCTTTAGTTGGCCTAATTGCAGCCTGTATTTTGTTTATGACTGGCAGAGATTGATCTTAGTGCAGCAAATAGAAGTCAGGGCAAGTCATCTGGCTATTCTATAGGTATACCTAGTCCTCCAGAGAACTATTTGATTGTTTTATGTCATTGTGTCCTCACTATACAATAATGCTATCCAGTAGAATCATAATGAGAGCAACAAATGTAAGCCACATGTATAATTATATATAATTTTTAATTACTCAGTGAAATTAATTTTGATAACATACCTTATTTAACTCTTATTCAAAATATCTTTTATTTATTTATTTTTTTAAGAGATGGGGTCTCACTCTTTTGCCCAGGCTCAGCTACTTGAACTCCTAGGCTCAAGTAATCTTTCTTCCTTAGCTTCCTGAGTAGCTGTGACTACAGATATGTGCCACCACACCCAGCTCAAAATATTTTAATATGTAATCACTATGAAAAATTGTGAATGAAATATTTTACATTTTATGTACTAAGTCTTTGAAATCCAGTGTGTACTTTGTACTTGTTGAACATCTCAATTTAGTTTAAGCTACATTTCAAGTGCTCAATGGTCACATTTGGCTAATGGATACTATATAACAGTAAAGCTTTATAAAAATGGATTTCATTTAAATCTCTACTGTTTAAGTTGAATATTTGTACTTCGGACACTTCCTAAAAATGTAAATATAGACTATAATGATAGACTCACAAAATCTTCCAGATATCAGGTTATTCAAGGACATCTAAATTCTCCTATTAATACTTTGAGGTTAAACATTTTATGTGATAGTATGAAGAAGGTTGGAAGGAAATTATTTTTTCTAGTATTCATAGGAAGAAATTGGCGAACGTTAAGAACAGAGAAAAAAAATCCAAAATGTTTAAGAACAATAAATTTAGGCCGACATGATGATGATGTTTATTACAATTTAAGTGAAAAATACTGTGATAAACACTACAGACATTTCATTTGTCCTCACAACAACTTTTTGAGAGCAGCACTTTTGTGATCTGTTTTATAATCCCTGTTTTACCAGTGATTAAGATGAAAGCAATTAAGAAATCTTTGCAAAATCACACAGATAGTGACTGTATGCAAACTTTTGCATGACTCTTGAATTCTGAAACTTACCCTCTTAATCACGCTTCTCTATTTATTGCCTGGTTCTTTTATGCCTCCATGATTGCCTTGGGCAAACTGGACTTGGAGAAATTATACAAATGAAGAGAAGTTGCAGCCAATTCCTAAAGTGTTGCAACTATTCCACTACTTCCTGTTTACTCTGTCAAATTTTCATCAGTAGTCTGAAAAGGAGAAAATGACTGGAGTTGTAATCACCCATGAAAAGCTGACTTTTGCCCTCCCATTTTGTCAGTAATGCCCTGTGGCATTTATATCACAGTAGTGGAGCTGGTGAATACCACTCTTGGAGCTGAGGTGTGATAATCCATCTTCTGCTAACAATCAGTGCCACAGCATGAAAAGATTATTATTATTTTTCTTAACCAGCTAATCTTGCCATGAGACCCATAAATCCACTTTCATGTAATTTCTGCTTTTTGTTTTCAACTCTGAGTTTCAACACTCAAAAACAATTCCCTGTTGAGTACCTAAGTGCTCATATTGATATTTGTGGTACATTGAACAGGACTTAAATTTCTGTTGTTTCTACAAAGTCCAGGAGTAGGTCTGCCTTTCACTACAATTCACAGATCAGATGTGTGCAGATGTATCTGTTTCAGATTTATCCTTTTATATATCCATGGTATTTTTGCGCTGTACATTAGATGTTTGTGAGACAGTATTTGGGGGAAACTCTAGTTTAGTGTGGATGTGATTAATTATGCCTTGCTGTCTTGGTCATTCCCCAACCCCTGCATTCACCAAAATTAGATGGATTTAATTGGATTTAAAATGGGATCATTTAAATTTGGTTGCGTAAATATGTGTTTTGTATGTTTTGAAAGTCTTAACCTTTCTCTTTTCAGCCTATAAATTATTGAAATTCTGTTAGCTTTATAATTTTCTGTTTACTGTGATTTTAAGCTATATTGGAAAACTAGCCATGCTGGCCTCTTATGTTTAATGAGCGAGATAATATGAGAGGGAAAAGTTCCTCAGGTGTGACTGTGTTTTAATTAAGTTTTACGTAAGTTTATTGAACAAATGCAACCATTAAAAGATGCTTTTGGCTGGGCACGGTGGCTCATGCTGGTAATCCCAGCACTTTGGGAGGTCGAGGCGGGCTGATCACCTGACATCAGGAGTTCAAGACCAACCTGACCAACATGGAGAAATCCCGTCTCTACTAAAAATACAAAATTAGCCAGGCATGGTGGCACGTGCATGTAATCCTAGCTACTCGGGAGGCTGAGGCAGGAGAATCACTTGAACCGGGGAGGCAGAGGTTGTGGTGAGCCGAGATCGTACCATTGCACTCCAGCCTGGGCAACAAGAGAAAAACTCTGTCTCAAATTTAAAAAAAAAAAAAAAAAAAAAAAAAAAAAAAGGATGCTTTTATATATTTTGTGTATCATGAATTCTCTTATAGCAGAATATATAATTTAAGACCATCACCTCAAAACAAAACAAAAACACCAGATTACTTTTGTGTAGGCAGAGTTTGTTATACACAATTGCAAAATTCTGTTTTCTTAGAAGGCACTATTATATGTACACTTAGGTGTTTAGAAACCTGGAGAAAACCTCAAATTTTCATGAAAACAGAAACTTAGCACTATATTATTACAAAGGAAATAGGACTTAAAGGGGTTTTTAAAATTATATTTTAATGGTCTTTGATTAAAGACCTATCTCAGGACCTGCCTAATTTCCTACCGAATTTCTCCCCCACCCCCTGCCCACCTGCCTTTGCTTGTGTTTTTTCTCTAACCTAACCTTTTCATCTATAAACTACTTTTTAGAAATTTTCTTGGCTTTGCTTCTCTTTTCTGCCCCTCCATCTGTTATGTGATAAGCCTTCAGATCCCAAGAAAAAGACTTTATTATTCCAAAATGCTACGCCCTTATCACATTCTTACTTTAAAACCCCTTCAACAGCCTTAATAAACTTTAATCACATACTTTTATGAACCTGGTCAAAATGTCAGAATGTTTTAATATATTCAACATTGTTAAACTACAAATGATAAAAATATTCAAACAACCAGGCCTTTGACTTTTTTTGTGATTATCACATCCTACTTCTAAACCTCCAAGCTTAAATTATTTTCCAACTACAATCTCTAATTCTTCCACTTTACTCCCTAGTTGCTCATTCCTACTGATTGTCATCTTCCTTTCATCCCAGACTTCTATTTCAGTTCCCCAAGATCACCTCCCCTTGTGGCTCTGCAGGCTTCTCTATTCAATCTAGACCTGTTGTCCGGTATTTCAACAACATTCTAATAACATTCTAGAATCCTGTAGTCTGTGTTTCTAAAGCATAACTCTCTCTATTCAGTGCCATTGTATTGCTCAAAAATCTTTAATGCTCCACACATTGCCTACCTTCTCCTCTCACCCTTCATTTAGAAGAGACCTCCTCTCTGCGGGCTTGAGGAACAATTGTTTTGAGCATTGTTGTGGCACTCATCACATTATCCTCCCTGGACTATGTCTGGATCCTTCACTGCTTGGACCCTTCCTTGGTCACAAAGGTGCTTAATAAGTGTATGCTGAGAGATAGGGGGGTTGTACAGGGATTCCTGAAGGGGTGTGTGTGGCGTTTTTTTATTTGTTTGTTTTAATAATTAGAATCTTTTACATCTAGATAAGGACAACAACTGGGATGTGGAAAAAAAGTGTCTTATAGAGAGAGAATCTGACAATCTAGTGATATTAGAAAAGTAGTTCGTCCTGGGTTTTATGCATTTATATGGTTCTGTTTCAGTAGTGAAGGTGTTTATTTTGCTGTTACAGTGCAGCAATTGTTACATTTTAGCAAAAATACACTATATCCTTTTACAATCCAGTGTCTTCAGATAGATTTCTAATGTAATTGAATATTCACTGAACCACATCTTTATTGTTTTCACTACTTTTCTATAACTTGAGAAAACTGATAGTTCACCCTTAATGCCTTTCACCTGATACTTTAGCAAATAAATTATGCATAGGGAGTGTAAGTAAATCACTGCAATTCCTTATCCATTACCACACATATTTATGGATGAAAAAAATTGATGCATAGCTTGCCTTGTCTTTTTCCTTTTAAACTTGTGGAAAATTAGTGGCTAAACTGAGAATTAAGGAAATCAAATTCAGATTTTTCAAGATTCTCTGATTAATCAAACATTGTCCTTTATATTTGGCAAAATAGTCATTAATGACATAATTTGAATTTTGTGACCCATTAAAATGTTCTTCGGTCTTCTATATTGAAAAAATGGTATTTGTGTTACATCTCACTGTATTCTTTTATGAAACATTAGGAGTAGGAAAGCTTTTATGCTTACTGAATCCCTTATTTAAAAAACTATGTTGGTGACAGTGAATGTCTCTCAAAATAAAGCTGTGAGTATTTTAAATGGACAGAAAACTGTTTTCTGCTGGGTTTGCATGTGTTTATAGATGTTGAAGCAATTAGAAATGTTTTTTGCATTTAAAAATGACTTTCTGTGTTTTCCCAATATAATTACTAAGACATGTTCCCTCATAAAATCGATCATTTTCAAATCATGAAAATAAGAATATATTTTGACAATTCATTAATATAGCAGCTTCATTTATTTGGCAGCAGTATGATAGAAAGCTGGCGCTGAGCTCTGAATGGAGAAGGGCG
This sequence comes from Homo sapiens, assembly GCF_000001405.40. Taxonomy (NCBI): domain Eukaryota; kingdom Metazoa; phylum Chordata; class Mammalia; order Primates; family Hominidae; genus Homo; species Homo sapiens. Next base: position 60,419,891 of record NC_000006.12, read on the forward strand.
CGTCTCTTCCCTGGCTACCTGTTAGGATTCTCCTTTAGAACCATCTTTTGGCACTTCCAGGTAAAAGCCAGTTTCATGAGCCAATGTGAATTGCTTTTAAGGGTTTTTTTATGTTATGGCAGCATTATTTGTTTTTCTTCTACCTTGATTTTTGAGCTTCTGTCAATGTTTCATTATTATGAGGAAAAAACCATTCACCTGGAAACATTGTAAAGATGAGTGAAGAAAATTTATTATCAAAACTTGTATTTTCATAATTTCTTTGTAAGTTTATTCCTGAGTTACAGTTTTATTGTTTAGGCTAAATAGTTTTTATCTTGTGGAAAGTGAAATCTTGGCTTGGAAGCACTCAGTCACTCAGGCTAGAAACTGATCTGTTATTCTTGACTTTTCTACCTCCTTCATCAAAGCATATCCATTCTTTTCCAGAAAATTTCCTGAACCCATCTATTGCCTTCCTTTCTCCATCGTTACTACTTTACTCAGGCTCTCACCTTTCCTCGCCTGGATGTAACATTGCCTACAGTATTCTTCCAGTTAGTTGCCAGTCCCTCCCCTTTCTAATTATTTCCCCACACTGCTTTGTTTCTCAAGTGTAAACTGGATTATGTCAGTTCTTGCCTCACATCTTTTCATGATTTTTCACTGCCTGCAGAGCATGGGATACAGGCTTCTCACCATCTGCCTTTCTTGTGTTGTATCTAACAATCCCCCTGCCCCCCAGCTATCCTTAACTAGTTCAAATAGGTTTAAGTAGCTGTGATGTTTATTATCACTTCCTCTAATGCAGACATAAGTAAGCCTTTCTGATTATAGATGAGTAGAGGAGAAATGTCATTCCTAATTCTGATACTTAACATCTTCATTTCTATCATATTCATCCCCACCCCCATGGGTTCCATACTTGCCCACACTAGGCTGGTGGCCTTCTTTCTATTACGTATATGTCTTTTTCATAGAGTTTTTATTTTTTATTTTTGAGACAGGGTCTCAATCCCTCATCCAGGCTGGACTGCAGTGATGTGATCATAAATCACTGCAACCTCAAACTCCTAGGCTCAAGCAATCCTCCCACCTCAGCCTCCTGAGTAGCTGAGACTGCAGGTGCGTGCCACCACACCCAGCTAATTTTTTTTTTTTTTTTTTTTTTTGTAGCGATGATGTCTTGCTATATGTTGCCCAGGCTGATCTCTAACTCCTGGGCTCAAGCGGTCCTCCTGCCTTGGCTTCCCAAAGTGCTGGGAATAGAGGCATGAGCCACTAGGACTGGCCAAAAATATTTTTAGAAGTTTGATGTCTACACAGTTTAAGTCTACTTATATTCTCTCTGTAGGCATTTATACCAATAAAGTCTTTGCATTCATCGTTGCTAGCATTCTCTTGCTTTTTTTCTTTTTTTCCTTGAAATTTAGCCCTTTTGTATATTCTAGTGAGGTGTGGAAGAACAAGCATTTTATACTGTCATTTAGGCAAATGTATATGTCCTCTTTATATGTCTTCTCTTTGTACTTAGTATAGTATGCATTAATCTGGGCTGAGAACAACTTCCTTGTGGCAAAGTAATCATTTGGCTTCATTTACTCAATAACTATAATTCTGTTTGTACATCATTTTACCATTTATAGAGGCCTTTCATATTTGTTTATTTGATCTGAACCAATCCTGTTACATCATTGTAATCACCACCTTCAGCTGATAGACTAAGAAGCTGAGACTTATAAGGGTCAATGGCATGGCCTAGTACTTCCCAGCTGGGTGATGGCTCCTCTACAGGATCATGCTATTGTCTCTCTTACAATCCTGTTATTTCTGTACTTACTGGTCAAGACTGCAATTGCTCTTTGTGCTGGAGTATGCTTTACTGATTTTAATTAGCACTTTGGATACATTATTTCATTTGATTTCCCCAGTATTTCTGTTAATTAGGCAGGGCTGGCATTATTAGTGCCATTTTACAAATAAGGATGATGCAAATCAGAATGGTTAAGTGACTTGTCCCAGTTTGCAGAACTGGTATTTAAAGAACAAAAACCAGCCGGACGCAGTGGCTCACGCCTGTAATCCCAGCACTTTGGGAGGCTGAGGCGGGTGGATTACGAGGTCAGGAGGTCGACACCATCCTGGCTAACACGGTGAAACCCCGTCACTACTCAAAAATACAAAAATTAGCCGGGCGTGGTGGTGGGCGCCTGTATTCCCAGCTACTCGGGAGGCTGAGGCAGGAGAATGGCGTGAACCCGGGAGGCGGAGCTTGCAGTGAGCCGAGATCGCCCCACTGCACTCCAGCCTGGGCGACAGACAGAGCGAGACTCCGTCTCAAAAACAAACAAACAAACAAAGAAACAAACAAACAAACAAACAACAAAAAAAAAAAACCAAGAACGTGTCTTCATACTCCTAGCCTACTGCCATTCCCAATGCCCCATGCTGCCTCTTTGCTCTACTGTAAGACATGTTGGAAAAAGAAATAACATTTTTATTCCTGAGATTTCACTGAAACAATTATCTGGTTATGCTGTGTACTAAAGTCTAAAACATTAAAGTTAAATGGCAGCTATCAATTTAACTTTGCATGAGTTTTATATGCCATTGTGCTACTGCAATTAATGGAATGCACAGAATCCAATAACACATTGTCAGAAAGGTGTTACTCAAGGGAAAGATAATTCAAGGCAAGGGAAAATAATACAAGAGGAGATGTGTTTTAGGATATGGTCTCATTGAAGACCATATCCTATTGAAGAAGAATTTTTTCTTCAAGCCCTATAGGTTGGAAAGGACCCATGTAACAAAAGACAGATTAATAGGAGAAAAACAAACAAGTTTATTAACATTTTGTATCAGTTTTCTGTGCTTATAACAGAATATCTGAAATTGGGTAATTTATAAAGGAAACAAATTTATTTCTTACAGTTATGGAGAATGGGAAGTCCAAGGTCCAGAGGGTGTACCTGGTGAGAGCTTTCTTGCTGGTAGGGACTCTCTGAAGAGTCTTGAGGTGGTGTAGGGTATCACATGGCGAGGGGGCTGAGTGTGTTAACATGCCAGCTCAAGTCTCTCTTCCTCATTTTGTAAAGCCACAAGTTTCCTTCCCATGGCAACTCATTAATCTATTAATCCTCTATCCATTAATCCCACATCTCAATACTGCCACATTAGGGATTAAATTTAAACATGAGTTTTGGAAGGGACAGATATTCAAACCATAGCACATGTGTGTGCTATGGAAGACATATGCATGGAAAACATCCAGAAAGTAAGTAGTTCTCAAAAAAGGTGCTTTCAATTCAAGTTTACATAGCAAATTCAACTAAGAGCAATACATTTCTAGAGAAGTGACATGGCAAAGGAAAAGGACTTTGAGTCTCTGGTGGCAGCAACTTGTGAGAAGGCAAATAAATGGCAGATAATGACCAGTTGGTAAAGCTTGTTCATATAGTTTCCTCTGGTATCATCTCCACATAATAAGAATCTGAAGTTATCTTCACTGATCAACCTTTGTTCTCACTGGTAAAAGGTGGGCAGGATGACTTTTGTCTTTGTAAATCTGTGTTTTGCTTTTAGGCAGATAGAGGGAGGGCAGAGAGCTTTCCTGAATCTGCTTCTTCTTAAATTGCCTTCGCTCAATAATCCTTCATATTTTGGGGGTGGCATCTTCTGGTTTCCCTCAGTATTAGTCTACCCATTCTGCTCTCAGAGTAATTCTCAGGTCCTTCTTAGCCTGTAGAAGGAGGACTTGCAGGGAGGGGAAATCTGTACCTTTTTTTTTCCTTTTTTTTGATACGAGGTCTTACTCTGTCACCCAGGGTGGAGCATGATCTCAGCTCACTGCATCCTACACCTCCTGGGCTCAAGCCATCCTACTGCTTCAGCCTCCTGAATAGCTGGGACTACAGGCACACACTACCATGCCTGGCCAATTTTTGTATTTTTTGTAGAGACAAGGTTTTGTCATGTTGTTGCTTAGGCTAGTCTTGAACTTCTGGGCTCAAGCCATCTGCCTGCCTCAGCCTCCCAAATTGCTGGGATGACAGGTGTGAGCCAGCTATATTTTGGTTTTGCTTCATAATCCATACCCATTGTTTAATCAGTAAAATTAATTGATTATGGAAACAACAGCCTATCTACAGAGCATCTTGAGCGTATATGTGGTTCAGCAGGAAGAATCTGTAACTGAGCAGATAGAAAGTAGTATCTGGATTTTTTGTTTGTTTGTTTGTTTTTTTGAGACAGAGTCTCGCTCTATAGCCTAGGCTCGAATGCTCAGGCATGATCATGGCTCACTACAGCCTTGATCTCCCTGGCTCAAGCAATCCTCTTACCTCAGCCTCCAGAGTAGCTAGGACTACAGGCATGCCACCATGCCCAGGTTTCTGTTTTTGTTTTTGTTTTTTTTAATTTTTATTATTTGTAGAGACAGAGTCTTACTCTGTTGCCCCAGTGGAATTCTTTATGATCATAATGACTCTTCACTCCAGGGTTTCCCTTTAGTTGTGGTATTTGTATAATCTTTGGTTTGATTGTGAATTTCTATGTAATCTAGCATCTGTTTTTTGCTATGTCACACCTGCATGCACCTGAGTCTGTGTTCATGGAGTTGGGCATGAGTAGTGTGTTGTGTGAAGGAGGTGAAACATTACTGAGGTGGGTGGCTTAAGGTAGTATATACCAAGTTATGTTTCCTAATTTGAAGATAATCATGCAGGAAAATTTATTATAAGGAAGAGGATGATATGGTGCAGTGAAAAAATGGGGAATTAGGAATCAAAAGCTTTGAGTTCCCACTGCACTGCTGACTTGCTTTCTGATCCTAACAAGTTTCTAACTCCTCCAAGCCTCCATTCATCAAATGATATACAGAAATGCTCTTTCAGGGGGTTGCAAGGATCTAATTAGAGGCTATTGAAGACTCTTTGTACACTGTAAAATGCTATTCAGATATTATTTATTTTAATAAACAGTGATTGCTTTATGTCAGGCTCTTTAACAAAAATTCTTACAATTCAGACCTCCTATCAACACTGCAAAGCAGGCATTATTATCGCCATTAGTCAATAAGGCAACTGGCATACAGAAAGTAACTAAGTAACTTGCTCACATGCTACTTTTAAGTGATGATTCCCAATTTAAGTTCCAGCTGCTTTTTTGCTATGTTGTCGTGCTGTTAATAAAGGATAAATGGTAGAGGTTTGAACTTTAACAACAACTTGGATTATGCTTCTAAAAAAATGGAAGTGGCGCTCTAGACTAGGAGTCAGGAGGTTCAGACTGTTACTACATTTTTCTATTATTTTGGGGTAAGTTACTTAAATTAATTTCATTAAATATGTTTAAAACACTTGGCTATGTTTCTGCTAAGGTTTACATGTAAAATGCTTTCTTATTTTAATCATTTTCAGAATTTAAAAAATTTCCTTCGAAGGGATCAAAAGTATTTTATGAATCTGTTTTAATATTTTTTTTTCTTTTTTTAAAGTCATTCCTACACTAGCCAAGATTACAGTACCCAGGGAAATGTTGGGAAGATTTCTTTAGATCAGATTGATTTGGTAAGTAGAACATTCTTTTAAACTTAGAACTGTATCAATGGAGGGAACATAGATTTTCTTAAATCAAAGACTTTTGGGTGAGGAGATAGAATATTATTTCACTGCTTGCTGATTAATTTTAAAGAAAATCCCATGTCCTACTTAGATGATTTTTAAAAAATCATAGGAAAATCATTTAATCAGAAAATTATCTGTACTTTTATGAAAACAGAATTTAATCAACGATTCCAAACAGGAATTCTTTTAAATAGCTAAATGGAGTTTGTGTTTACATTTAAATACTGTATACATTTAATAAAGGGGAAATGGAAAACACTAAGTGTATTAGTTTGTTAGGGCTGTCATGACAACAGAAATTTATTTTCTCACAGTCTAGAGGCTTGAAATCCAAGATCAAAGGGATAGTAAGTTTGATTTCTTCCAGGGCCTTTCTTGTCTCACAGATGGCTGCCTTCTCCTTGTGTTCTCCTGTGGTTTTCCCACTGCTTGCATACATCCCTGGTGTCTCTTCTTTTTGTAAGGACACTGAGTGTGTGAGACCAGGGCCCCACCCCCATGGCCTCCTTTAATCTTAATGAGTTCTTTAAAGGCCCCATCTCTAAATATAGTCACATTTGGAGCTACTAGAGGTCAGGACTTGATATATGAATTTCAGGGTGAGAGGACAATTCATCGTCTAGTGTAGGCTACGAGATTAATAGATAGCTTATTTTAGCATCATTTGACTTTGTGGTTCCATAGGGTAGCGTACTTTGCCATACTTGTAGAATTTCTCTTTAATACATAACAGCATTTGCACTCCATACACAAAGGGAAAATAAGCCAGCCATAAATAATCTTGGGTTAGACGATTACCAAATTATTCACAAGAAATTAAAAATACACAGGGATTTTAATGCTTGGAAACAAGAACTGTAATAAGACTAGTAGAGAAAGACCGTGAGTTTGGATCAGAATGAATAGGTCATCTTCCATTTGAAAAATTATAAAAAAGTACTTGCAGTTAATATGTCTAGAAATAACAATAGGGTTGCCTACTTTACACAGTTGATTTGTTGATTTGAAATTTGTTCTCAAAGATGTCCCATCTTTTAATTTTTTTATTAAACACTTATCTCTAACAGTCCCCTTTCTCACTTCCACTCATGTGATTTGTGCTTATATAATGTGAATGGTTGGAGGTTAATTCTGTTCTTAGTTCTAGCTAGATGTTTCCCCATTCACAAGCAAATGTGAATTTGGTTGGATACTGTTGGAGTTCATAGAAATATTAATTCATTTAATGGATATGTATTGAGCCCATCAGTTATGTAGCAGCCATTGTGCTGTGGATACAGAAGTGAGGAAAACAGAAAATGTCCCTGCCTTCATGGACCTTACATGAGGGAGAGGGACAACATAATAAATAATAAATGAGCAATATAATGTTAAGTGCTATGATGATGATCTTGTCATGGGTCTGTGCCTGAGACCCCGTGGTGAGTAATAGAGATGTATCTTTTTTTGGACTGCCTCCTAACTCTGTATCTATATTGTTTGATCTTCACAACAGCATGTCATTTGCATATCCCTTGGTATTTGCAACTCTTCTCCAAATGTTTTCTTTAGTTTTTTCTTCTAACAAATCTGGCTTTCTCAATGCTGTTTCCCCTGTGGGCCTCTTCAAGTAGAGACAACTTTCCCCCCGAGTTCGTATATAGGTATGCGGTGAGTGTCTTTCTTGTTCCACATTTCTCTGCCTTCCATTGTTACAGCTCCAGCTCCTTTAAAGCCCTCGTGATCTTATTATATCATCTGATACCTCCTTTGTTGCTATTCCACCCCCTCCCCCCACACCTGTATTCGTTGATGATTTGAACACCTAGCTAATGGTTTTGTGTACTGGCGCTATTCTTGTTATTGTTCTTGGCCTCTGCAAGATCCAAGTTGATAATTTATCCCCTATCCTGGACTTATGATTCTTTTGTTTGCTTGTTTTCCATGATCATTTTTCTATCTGTATATAGCCAGACACTATCTTTTTAATTTTTATTATTTGGACTACTGCCCACACCTCTTAAGTATCCCTCCTGCTTCCATTCTTACTCTCATATTGTCTTTTCACTACGTAACAGCCAGAGTTCTCTTTGTTTATTGAATCACATCAGTCTTCTGGTCAGAACCCTCTAGTGGGTTTTCATCATATGTAGACTTAAATCCAAACTCATGTTGTGGCCTCTGAAGCCATATGTGCTCATCATTTCTATTTTATCTTCTGCTCCATTCCAGCTCACTCACTTGCTCTGGTCACATGGATCTTATTCTCTCTTTTAGCACACCACATTTATTCCTTCTCAGGATCCTCATTTCACTAGAATCCAACTTACTTTGTCTTACTTGAAATGCCATCTCCTCAAAAAGGCTTCCCTGGCCACCCAAATGGAAGTACCTCTCCCCTAATCACACTTGATTTCATTTCTCTTATTTCATTTCCAGTGTTTTGGCATCAGATGTTATCTTTTTAATGTCTGTATTCATTGTCCGTCTCCTCCTATTAAAAATAAGCTCTTCGAGGACAGGGTTTTTGACTTCTTTGTTCACTACTGGTTCCCCAGGGCTGTACACATAGTCAGTGTTAAATAGATACTTGTTGATTGAATGAATAAGAAGTAATCAAGGAATGTGCCAAAAGAAATAGAAATTGAGTTGGGTCTTGAATGATGATTTGGCTTTGGCTACATGGCATGTGCATGAGAAGGGTGCACCAGGCAGGGCTAGCAGAGTGAGAAAAATGAGAAGCTACAGAGCATGACTGCGTGGTCATCGGATAGTGAATAATCCAGTGGACTGGAGCCGAGGACTCATTTTGGTGTAGTAATAATATACTGGACTTTCCCGGGCTCCCTGTCACAGTGCTTCTGTGGTGCTCAAGTTTTGCCCTTGTTGGAGCCCTCATTTTATCATTTATTTCATGTGTTTAACTTACATAGTAGTGAATATAGTAATTGTGGTGTCTTTTTCCTTAACTGAATTAAAGGGGACAATTAGGTCCTAGCTTATTTTCCAGAACACTTAATAAATAATTGTTCTGTTATGTATAATTGAAAAGTAGTTATTGGCCAGGCGCAGTGGGTCATGCCATCTGTAATCCTAGCACTTTGAGAGGCCAAGGTGGGAGGATCACCTGAGGTCAGGAGTTCGAGACCAGCCTGGCCAACATGGTGAAACCCTGTCTCTACTACAAATACCAAAATCAGCTGGGCATGTTGGCAGGCACCTGTAATCCCTGCTACTCAGGAGGCTGAAGAAGGAGAATCGCATGAACCTGGGAGGCAGAGGTTATAGTGAGCCGAGATGGCACTGCTGCACTCCAGCCTGGGCAACAGAGTGAGATTCCGTCTCAAAAAAATTAAAAAAAGAAGAAAAAAAAGAAAAGTAGTTACCAGATATTGAGGAAACCTTGCATGTTCATACTAAGGATGTTGAATATTGATTGTATGGATTAGAACAATGTTTAGAAAAAAATCAGATATTAATATGAAGCAACAAAAATGGTCTCATGAAAATGAGCTGAAAGGCTTTCTAGTTAGTTCTACCAAGGGAGGATATAGGTCTGAATGAACTAGACTGGGGATGGAAAAATTCAGAAGTTGTTACTGTAAAAGAATGAAGAGAAACTAGATGGTCACTAGAGGGAACAGCAAAGTCAAGCAAAGTGAGACCTGCTCTTTCTTATAGATGAAGTGAACTTGCTAAGGCATATGTGAGGGAGTAAGAATTTAAGTCTTGGGAGAATATTTAAGGAAGTCATAGAGAATGCAATTGAAACCATAAGTGAAAAATTAAAGTAAGAAATGATATTTCATTTTTAGCACTAAGGCACTAACTATACTTTGTTCCTTTTAACTTGGTTTCTTTAACATATTTATTTGAATTTTCCTTATGAGAAGTTTCTCTTATTTTTGTGTTCTGCTTTGTATTTGAGTTATCTTAAAAGTTCATCTGCTATTCAGCAATTGTACTTTTATCTCAGGGAAATGAAATCTTATGTTCACATAAAAACCTCTTCAAGAATGCTCATAATAGCTTCATTTGAAATAGCCCAAACTGGAAACAACCCAAGTGTTCTTCAATGAGTGAATAAATAAATTATGATACATTCATACCATGGAAAACTAGTTAGTAATAAAGAAATGAGCTTATATACAACTTAGATGAATCTTGAGGGAATTCTGCTGAGTAAAAAATGACAATCTCAAAACAATACATATTATATGATTCTATTATACTCTTGAAATGACAAAATTATAGAGATGGAGAACCAGATCAGTGGTTGCCAAAGATTAGGGAGCTGAGGGAGGGGAGCAGGGTGCAAAAGTTAGATGGGGGTGGTTATAAAATCATGAGAGATCCTTGTGGTGACAGAACTGTTCTGCATCTTGACTGTGGTGGTGGATGTATGAACCTACATGTGACAAAATTGTATAAAATTTAATACGGAAGTAAGTGCATGAGTACAACTGAGGAAACCTGAATAAGACTAGTGGATTGTATCAATGTCAGTATCCTGTTTGTGATAATCTACTGTAGTTGTACATGATTTTATCTTTGGGGGAATTTGGATATATGCTATCTCTTTGTATTATTTCTTGTAACTGTATGGGAGTCTATAGTTAACTTCAAAGAAAAAGTTTAATTAAATTAAAAAACAGGTAAAATAAATTTTAATAGTATGTTATTTAATCCAAAGTATCTAAAATATTATATTAACTTGTAACCAATAAAAAATGTTAATAAGAAACATCTTATACAGATAAGCGTCATCTGTAACCACAGTAATAAAGCAGCACTTTCTTATGGTGTTTGTTTTTTTATTCCAATTAAATTGAATTAGCAACCATAACAAATATTACAGGGTACCTGATAAGTCTTCCACTTAACTTAAAACTCTACTGTTTTTTCTTGTAGCTTTCTACCAAATCCTTCCCACTTTACATGCATCAGTTACATAAAGCCTTGCGGGAAAATCACCATCTTTGTCATGGAGGCCGAATGCAGTATGTCCTATTTCTGAAGGGCATTGGTTTAACTTTGGAACAGACATTGCAGTTCTGGAAGCAAGAATTTATCAAAGGAAAGATGGATCCAGACAAGGTAATTTTGAAAAAAAAAATCAGAGTGGTACCTGATATTTTAATTTGGTCTGAAAATGAAACGGTCTATTTTTTTTTAAAATATGCTCCCTGCAATGTAGTTGAAAATTCTAAAAGGATAAATGTGTTGACAATTCAGTTTAGATAAAAAGAAACTTGCATATTAATCTAATACAAAAGATTGGGAAAGGAATGTTTTCCTTTGTAGGTATACTGCCAGTAGTAATTATAAGACTGAAATTGCTTTCAGAGTTATATATCTGTAGGAATATATGTGTGTCTATACATATGCACATAATGTTTTGAGCACTGGGAGATATCATGAACAAATAAAATGAAACAATTTAAAATATTTTCTATTATGTTATGCAGAATCTTTTAGAAACTTTTGGTTTTTTTTTTCGAGACAGGGTTGCCCAGGCTGGGCTGGAGTGCAATGGTGCAATCATGGCTCACTGCAGCCTCGACCTTTGGGCTCAAGTGATCCTCCCACTTCATCCTTCCCAGTAGCTAGGGCCACAGGTGGACACCATTATGCCTGGCTAATTTTTTTCTTTTTTTAATTTTTTGTAGAGATGGAGTCTCACTATGTTGCCCAGGTTGGTCTCAAACTCTTGGGCTCAAGCCGTTCTCCTGCCTTGGCATGCTGAAGGGTTGTGATTACAGCTGTGAGCCTGAGTCATCATACCTAGCCTATAGAACATTTTTAGATGGACAATAATTACTATAAACCTGAACAATTTTTTAAAAACTCTATCTGCAGTGCTTATATTCCCAATCCTATGCCTTATTTCTCTTTAATAGTGCCAGCTAATAACATTTTACTTGGAAATATGATTTCTTGCCCCTTCTATGCCATGACACTGTGGTATGAAGAACATTTTTTACTGTTTATTTCTTGATTTGCTGCCTCCTAAAAGTAAATTATAGAAGAAAGAATATTTACCAGGTACATTTTATAGTACTTTATTATGTTTTATGTTAGTTTGCAAGCATTGCCAAAATAAAATGCCACAGACTGGTTGGCTTAAAAAAGAGAAGTTTATTTCCTCACACTTCTGGAGGCTGGAAGTCCAAGATCCAAGTATTGGCAGATTTGGTTTCTCCTGAGGCCTGTCTCCTCGGCTTACAGGTGGCCTTCTTCTTGCTTTGTGCTCACATGGTCTTTTCTCTGTGCATGTGCATCCCTGGTGTTTCTTCCTTTTCTTATAAATACACTAGTCTTACAGGATTAGGGCCCCACACTCATCTGACCTCATTTAACCTTAATTATCCCTTTAGAGGTCCTATCTCCAATTACAGTTGGATTTGGAGTTAGGGGTTCAACAAATGACTTTTAGGAGATCACAATTCAGCTCGTATCTGTAGCTATATACTTTATTAAAAAGCTTAGATTTTTAAAAATAACATTATAAAAAGCTGTTACAGTTTTTTCAGATTTGTTTTAAAAACTGTCTTCATCGACAATTATCCATAGAATCTTAATGAAGTCATTTAATAGGATTTTCTTTGAGCAGTTTTGGATAATGTTTTTTATATTTCTTTTAAAGGTAATTTATTCTAATTATAGAAAATATGAAAAATACAGAAAAATTCACCTGTTACCCTCCAATTTGAAATAATTACTGTCAACATTGTAGCCTTTTACTCTAGTCTACAGAACTAAACACCGCTGATTTTCACCATTCTAAAAATTGTCATTATATTATGATTATTTTTCCATATTTTTGACCAATCTTTGAAAATATCTTAATGAGTTACATAATATATCCTTTGAAAGTGATGTAATTTGTTTAATCATTCTCCTATTGTTGGACATTTGGTTGTGTGTAATTTGACTCTGTTATATATGTTACTAATTTAAATAACAGAGTCAAATAGCTAATATCCTGTGGACATAGATAATTGATTATAGTTTTGATTATATTCTGTGTGTGTGTGTGTGTGTGTGTGTGTGTGTATGCATTCACCAGGAAATAAAATTATAAGAAACTACACACAGCTGGGAAGGTTGGCTCATGCCTATAATCCTAGCACTTTGGGAGACCGAGGCAGGTGGGTCGCCTGAGGTCAGGAGTTCAAGACCAGCCTGGCCAACATGGTGAAATACCATCTCTACTAAAACTACAAAAATTAACTGGGCGTGGTGGCAGGTGCCTGTAATCCCAGCTACTGGGGTGGCTGAGTCAGGAGAATCACTTGAACCTGGGAGGTGGAGGTTGCAGTGAGCTGAGATCGCACCACTGCACTCCAGCCTGAGTGACAGAGCGAGACTCCATCTCAAGAAAAAAAAAAAAAGGAAACTACACACAATTTTAAAGTTTTAATGCATGCTGTGAAATGACTGTTCAGAAAGGTTTTAAATTAGACCCTCTTCAAGCGATGTGAGAATTTTGCTCTGCCATTGACATCATTATGTATTATTAATTTAAAACAGTTTTTGATCTTTTTATTAGGAATTCGATGTCTTAAGTAGGTAGATGTATTAGGGTTCTCCACAGAAATGGAACTGTGTGTGTGTCTGTCTTTCTGTCACTTACACACACATGCACACGGACATACACACACTCTCTCACACACACACACAGAGCGAGAGAGAGAGAGAGAGTTGGAGGTTATGGAAGTTGACAAGTCTCAAGATCCGCAGTTGGCAAGTTGAAGACCCGGGAGAGCCAATGTTGTAGTTCTAGTCTGAATCCAAAAGCCTGAAAACCAGAAGAATGATAGTGTACAAGTTGATGCTTGAAATACACAGGTGTGAACTGCATGGGTCCACTTACATGTGGATTTTTTTCAATAAGTATATTGGAAAATTTTCTGGGGATATGCAACAATTTGAAAAAATTTGCAGATGAACCACATAGCCTAGAAATATCAAAAAAAGGAAGAAAAAATTAAGTATATATGAATGTATAAAATATATACTAGTCTTATTTACTAACATGAGATATACAGAAATCTATTGCAAAAAGTTAAAATTTATCAAAACACATGCACACAAATGTACAGACCATACATGGTGCTATTCCCAGTAGAGAGAAATGTAAACAAATGTAAAGATGCAGTATTATAACCTACATAAAATTAACTGTAGCACATTCTGTGCTACTATAGTAATTTAATAGCCCCACCCTGTTGCTATTGTGGTGAGCCTATAAGTGTTGCAAGTATCTGCTTAAAACGCTCTGTGATGCTAATCATCTCAGCGTAAGCAGTTTGCACAGTAAATTGTATATTACAGTAAAGTGATCTCTCACAGTTCTCGGGTATTTTTCATCGTGTTCAGTGCAATATCATAAACCTTGAATAACACCATCGGGCTCATAGGAAGTGTCACTAGCAATGCTGGAAATGCTTCCCCAAACCAGAGAAAAGTAATGATATTACAAGAAAAAGTTGAATTGCTTGATATGTAATATAGATTGAAGTCTCCAGCTAAGGTTGACTGCCATGTCAGACAGATGGTTCATCTTGTAAATAGATAATGTAAACTTACGGTATCGATCAATGTAGTACAGTACTGTAAATGTATTTTCTTATGACTTTCTTTCTCTTTTTGTATTTTTAGTTGAGACGGGGTTTCACCATTTTGGCTAGGCTGGTCTTGAACTCCTGACCTCAGGTGGGCTGCCTGCCTCAGCCTCCCAAAGTGCTGGGATTATAGGTGTGAGCCACTGTGCCTGGCCTATTATGACTTTGTTAATTTTTTTTTCTCCAATTTACTTTATTGTGAGGTTACAGTGAATATATATAATACAGTGAATATATGTAATATTCAAAATATGTGTTAATCAGCTGTTTATGTTTTCGGTAAGGCTTATGGTCAACAGTAGGGTTTTAGTTGTTAAGTATTTGGGGAATAAAAAGTTATACATGGATTTTTAACTGTATGGGGTGAGGGGTGGAGGTTGTTGCCTATAATCTCTGCATTGTTCAAGGGTCAGCTTTAGTTCCAGCTCAAATGCCAACAGCTTCGAGACCCAGGAAGAGTCAATGTTTCAGTTTAAAAAATGAGGTCCCAGTTTAAGGAAGTCAGACAGAAGGAAATTCCCTCTTACTCACAGGAGGTCAGGCTTTTTGTTCTGTTTAGGCTTTCAACTGACTGGTTGAGAATTATTCACATTAGGTAGGGCAATCTGCTTTACTTTAACTACCAATTCAAATGTTAATCATATCCAGAAACACCCCCTCAGACACACCCACTGTAATGTTTGACCAAATGTCTGGGCATCTCATGGCCCAGTCAAGAGCTGGGTTGTTGTTGTTTTTTTTTTTTTTTTTTTTGAGACAGAGTCTCGCTCTGTCACCCAGGCTGGAGTGCAGTGGTGCAGTCTTAGCTCACTGCAACCTCTGCCTCCCAGGGTTCAAGCAATTCTCCTGCCTCAGCCTCCCAAGTAGCTGGGATTACAGGCAAGCATCACCATGCTCAGCTAATTTTGTATTTCTAGTAGAGACGGGGTTTCGCCATGTTGCTCAGGCTAGTCTCGAACTCCTGACCTCAGGTGATCCACCCGCCTTGGCTTGCCAAAGTGCTGGGATTACAAGCGTGAGCTACTGCCACCATGCCCGGCTGGCGAGTTGTGTTGTTTTGAAGTGAAAAGAGAGAAGTTGAGCTAGCATTTTAGCTTGGTTTGTGCTGTGGGAAGAAAAAGGAAAGTAGAGAGGGAAAACCAGCTGCACCAGCCTATGTGGACACTTACCCTGAGTACTAAGTCTTTGGCTTGGACACTTGTTCATTGACCTGACTTCTTTTATGTACATCTGGAATAGCCTGTGGAGCAATATCATCAGTAGTCTTTTTTTTAACTTGTATGTTTAAATTTTTTTATTATGGAATTTTTATTTTGCAATGCAAACTTTTTTCAAAAATTCTTATAAAAGAAAATAAATAATTTTTTAGTTTTCTAGATAACATAGTCTATATTTTTATTAGCTTATTAATTACAGCAAATGTTATTTTGACTAAAGGATTATAAGACACATTTCTGACTTTCTATGACTATTTAGTGTTCTGTTGTTACATAGTCCATATTGTAAATGTTCATGTTTTTCTCAACTATATCATTTAAATGTTTTTTCAATGACATGTAATAAACTAAGGCATACTAAATTACAATATTCTCTAATTGAACCATTGTATCTATTTGTTAAGTGATACATACAATTAAAAATATTCTTAAGAGGTATAAAAATTGTTGGCTTAAAATACTGCTTATAGGATATTTTTTAGGATGATTATAGAAGATGTTAAACATTTTTTATAGTGCTAATGAAAGGACTTGGGTGTTGAACCCAGCTCGAATGATTTGAAATAACAGCTTCTGTTTGGACAGCTTATGTCCTAACAGTGTAAGAAAAATGATGTGGTAACAGTCAATTTCAACTGGAATTTTTCTGTACTATTGTTTCCCAAATGATCATAATGTCTGATTTCTTTCTCTTAATATTTGTGTCCTCATGGTGACTTATTTGAGATACATTGCTATGTGAGTCTGAGCAAATATTTTGGGTACTTAGCCAGTACTTTTGAGTTAGCAGAGACTGGTATAATATCTCCAGCACTTTTGAGCTCTAACTCTGCAGCTACAACTACCTTTCCTAGATATACTGCCTGGAACCAAATATTTCTTTACCCTAACTTCTAGCGCAGCTCTGTTCTTGAATTGACTGCCTGATCGGTATCTGTCTCTTCCTCCCATCTTTACTTACTTGTGCTTGTTGCAGGCATTTTTTTTTTAACACTTTGCTTTT
Organism: Homo sapiens; assembly: GCF_000001405.40. Classification (NCBI taxonomy): domain Eukaryota; kingdom Metazoa; phylum Chordata; class Mammalia; order Primates; family Hominidae; genus Homo; species Homo sapiens. Next base: position 60,436,323 of record NC_000006.12, read on the forward strand.
AAAACTAATGTTATACTTAATGTTGGAGGGGAATGTGTTGTCTGTATTCTGAAATAATTTACACCTGTATTAGTGTTGTTTGTAACTGTCATCCAAAGTATAAATATTAAAGTATTGTGTCTCTAGATACCTTTTATTAAGGTTAAGCAGTTTTTGTGTTATAATGCACATAATTTCTGTTATAAACATTTTTGAGTAGTAATAATGGATTGTGGAAGCAGCTTAAAGTTCTGATGCTCACTGTTATTTTTTTATTAGGAATTTGATGTTGTAAGAGTTAAAGAAGGAGGAAAGAAACACGAAAAGCAGCTCAACAGTCAAAGACAGGTTTATTTTGGAGAATAAACCTGAGTGGGGCTTCTGGCCGAGTTTGGTCAGTAATGCTGTCTCTTACAGACTGAGAGTATTTATTGGTGAGAGAGCTTGGAATGTTTCTGTGTGGGGGAGAAGTTTATGGCAGGGTTGGAATGTCTCTGGTTGGAGAGGAGAGTATGTTGGGGCTGACATCTCTCCAGCTGGAGGGGAGGATATCTCGGGACTGGCATGTCTCTGGTCAGGGAGGGGTTTGGCGTGTTTCTGGTCACAGATGTTATTTGTGGTTTATGGTCATGCTGACTTTAGCCATTAAGCTGATGCCCTTTGGATTTAGGCAGTTTTTGATCAACGTAAATTTTAAAATGACAGTGCTCGTCCAAGATGGCAATGCTCCTGCTCTGTCAGATGTATTAAGTCAGTCCTATATATGTAAAAATCAGCCATCTGTCTATAAAATGCTTATTCAGAGTTACTAGTTTGGATTATTTTTCTTGCCTTTTGAAACTATTTTCCGGCTAGCATATATATTCCAATAAATGATATTGGTTATTTGCTACCAGATTATGTTCTTTTAATTTTGGGTGCTTATGACTACCTTATATTTATTGCTTATTTATTCATTTATTATCTGTATCCTACAATTAGAATGTAAACTATATAAAAGCAGGTATCTTGTCTTTCTTGTTGACTGCTGCATGTTCAGGCACCTAGAACAGTGCCTGACTCGTAGCAGGCACTCAATAAATGTTTATTGAATAAACTAATACATGGAAATTTCCATATTATTTACATAGAAATAAATTTTCATACATGTTCATAGATATTATTTATTTATATTTTGCTGAATACAAGGTAAATTCTACCAAATCTTTAAAGTTTGGCTTTCGATATGAGAAAAAATAATCTTTATCTGTTTTGGTTCTTTTTAGATAGAGCTGTTTCTAACAAGTTATAGAATTTAAGTCATTTTAGTTGCTTTTTTATTTCTAAGAGCAGTAGATCTCAGCATCAGCATCATTTGGGAATTTGTTAGAAATATAGATTCCCAGAATCAAATTTGTTGTCGTCCATGTATTTTTCTAAATCAAAATATGGATTGGTAGAATATACAAATATACAAATATTTAACATAGTATCATATTACGATTCTTATAAAAAGTACAGAGAAATATATTTGTGTGTATATGTATATACATAGATACATACATATGTACATATTCCATCTACTTGGCATAGATCATTCAGCCGATTTTTATTGCGTGTTTATCATGAACATGTACCATTCTGAACATACTGAAATAAAAGAAACAGCCCTTATTTATGAAGACTTTCCAAGACCTTATTTTATTTATTGTAATTATTTTTGAGATGGAGTTTCACTCTTGTTGCCCAGGCTGGAGTGCAGTGGCGTGATCTCAGCTCACCACAACCTCCACCTCCTGGGTTCAAGCTATTCTCCTGCCTCAGCCTCCCAAGTAGCTGGGATTACAGGCATGTGCCACCAGGCCCGGCTAATTTTTTTTGTATTTTTAGTAGAGGTGGGGTTTCTTCATGTTGATCAGGCTGGTCTTGAACTCCCGACCTCAGGTGATCTGCCCACCTCAGCCTCCTAAAATGCTGGGATTACATGCGTGAGCCACCATGCCTGGCCCCTCCAAGACCTTATTTATGAGAGTCTTCCAAGAGATTTATTTGGAAAAACCAGATAAATACAAATGTACAGACAGAGAAAGAAGGGAATTTCATGTTAAAGGGACAACATTTTAAAGGACCTTAAAGTGCAGTCCATCCTGTAGGTGGTAGGAACCTGAACTGTACCAGTGTAATTGTGGCAAGAGGGGAGTCTGGAGACATAGATTTTTTAGCCTAATTACTAAAGATAGATTGAATTAGTAGGCCAGTAGGAACTGGTCTTGTTGGGTAGGTAGGTGCCAACCAGGATCCTGTCAGCCAGGATAGGGTCAACTGGTAACTGGAATTTAGTCAAATATGTGTAGTTTCACAACTTTGAATATTTACTAAAATAATATAATGAATGTTGGATGCTATGCAGGTTTACTGAAAAGCGGAAAATAGTATGAGTAAAGTTTCCACTTGGTTCAAATTAATTTCGCCTAACTTCGGATTTCTGATTATATAGGCCAACATTGATTTTTAAGAAACTATTTTGCTTTAGAGCAAATTTAAAAATTTTAATCTACTTGGTTATAGTTTAATTGAGAATGAAGGATTTGGAAAACAGTTCCAAAACACGTTGGTAAAAAGGAAAGTATTATTAAGGTGATGTGGAGTAAGAAAGTTATTAGAGTGGATCGTGTTAGAGACCAATCTTGAATTAAGAATTGGAGAAAGTGAATGACATGGATTAGTTGAGAAAGAACTGAGAGCAAGAATACACAGTGAACAAGGAATGAGGGGAAAGGACACAAAACATCGTTAACTCTTCCATTATTTTCTTTATTTTTATAATTATTTTAATAAAATAATTTTACAGTAATAATTCTTCCATTTATTACTCATTCACTTAGGCTTTTTATTACCTGTTTTTGGGATTGTTGTGGTTTTGACTGTTGTGATGTAAAATTCTCCATTTCCAGACTTTTTGTAATTTACCTTCTCAGTATATTTGAATACTGTTTTATTTAGATGCATATTATACTTGAGGATAGAGATTTTAGTATTAAAACATCAACCATTTCTAAGAGAACATTCCATTGTTGTATGATCTTATAGCAAACCAATTGCTTTTCACAGTATACCTTACTCCAAAAAAACATTGGTTTCATAATGTAGGGTTTTTATTCTTAAATTGTTGAATATGAATATTGATATATGTAAAATGTTAAAATAAAGCTCTTTGAGTTAACCCTTGTCAGTGAAGGATGGAGAAATTTGAAAATTGCACTTAGGTTGCTGAATCAGATTTTTTGGATTTGTGAATGATTCACAAGAAGTATTTAAAGTTTTGAACGTCTTATTCCTTAAATAATTTCCTGTATTTCTGAAATAAATGCACCTATGCTTTATACAGATAAAATTTAATTAGTCACAGTAAAGTTTTTCATGTTTTTCTTAGTTGTAATTATAATTTACAAGCCTGTCTACCTGAAAAAAGCATCACCCTGGGTGCAAGAGATATAAAATCAAACCTTTATTTATTTATTTTTTATTTTATTTTAAAAATTTCAACTTTTATTTTAGATATGGGGGTACATGTGCAGGTTTGTTACCTGAGTATATTTTGTGCTGTGACGTCATCTCCCAGGTAGTGAGCATAGTACCCAATAGGTAGTTTTTCAGTCCATCCTCCCTTCTGCCTCTAATAGTCCTCCGTGTCTATTGGTCCTATCTCTATGTCTGTGGGTGCTCAATGTTTAGCTCCCACTTATACGTCAGAGCATGCACAAACCTCTATTTAAAGTATGAATACCATGAAAATATTCTTTTACTTGGCACTTGGATATTAAATCACTTCGGCGACTAGCTTTGTTAAGTATTACATTGAACTGGATAATTCTTCTAATAAATTCAAAGCATGTGTCCTGTCAGATATTGCTCATAGTGTTGTTATTCTGAATTGCTTTAAGCTGGTTTTATTGGATATTAGGTACAACATTGATAATGCACATTTTCTGTAGCTGTGGTTTCTGTCCTTGATGACAGCATGCTTAAGGTCTATTATATGTTGTTATAATTGGGTCAAGGAACATTTAGCACTGTTTAAAAAGCTTATCTTTTCTTCCAGAATCTAGCTTGCGTCAAGACTTAGAACCAACTTGTGTTGTTAAAAATTGACTACTGAAGGATTAAATATTTGGCTGGTGGGATGTAAGTATATGAAACATTTATTGTTAGGATTTTTTATTTCAGGGACCAGTAGATCTCAGCATCAGCATCATTTGGGAATTTGTTAGAAATGTGGAGTCTCAGAATCAAGTTCTGGGGTCAGGGCCCACAATCTGTGGTTTAACAAATCATCCAGATGAAATTGATGCACACTAAAGATTCAGAACCACTGTTTTAACTACTACCCTGTCATAGTCCATTTTCTAGTGCTTATCACAGAATATCTGAAAGTGGGTAATTTATAAAGAAGAGAAATTTATTTCTTCTAGTTATGACTGAGAAGTCCCAGGTCATGGGGCTGCATCTGTTGAGAGCCTCCTTACTTGTGGGGACTCTCTGAGGAGTGCCAAAGTTAGAGCAGGAGTGCCAAAAGTTAGAGCAGGAACCAGATTTCCTGGTCTTAGCATACAAGAAAATGGAGGCGATGGGAATAGAATGTGTGTTTCTAAAGTTTAAGAAGTCAGGAAGAAAAGAAATAGAGCATACTAGGTATAGAGGGTGACTGTGCCAAGCAAGGTTTTCAAGTTGGGGTGGGCAGGAGCAGTAAAACTCATGGAAATGGAGGATGTGCTGAGAATACTTGAGGAAACAAGGCCTGAGGAGATGGAAAGAGAATTTTAAACATTTATTTATTATGTGATTATTATAATATGAACCTCTGTTTCCTATGTGATGTTCCCTGAGTGTAGAATTTGTTTCTTTCTTACCGTGATATACCCAGCACTTGAGATGGTACTGACAGACTGTATATGCTCAGTAAAATTTGTTGAATAACTGAAAGAATTGCATTGGGAGTTTAGTTTATCTCACACCTGATGGATATATGAAAAATTATGAATTGGTAAAGGAGTGTTTAAAAGTAGAAAGAAGAGCTGTGGGAGCTCACATCCACTGCTCATCTTTCCAATAAAGTAGGCAGGGGAATCGCTTACCAGAAGGATTTGGTGTATTTAGGGCTTAAAGAAAGTTGAAGAGTCTAGAATAATACCTTCCATAAGTGTGCTAAGTCATTAACTAATTAAAAAAAAAAGATTGCTAAGCTACAGAATGGTTACAGTTTGAGTTCCTAGCATATGCTAGGCACTATAACTAATATTCTACATACACAATTTTATGGAATCCTTAAAACAATCTTAGGAGATAAGTATTATTTATGTTGAGTTTACTAATGAAAAAACAGTACTAGGCTATAAATTTGTAACTGGCTAAGCCAGCACTATTATGTTGCTTTCTCTAGCAGTGTCTTATGGCCTTAGAGCAAAAGCAGAGATGGCATAATTTTTTATTCAGGTTTAGGGGTTAGCAAAGCAGGCATGCTGCTTTAAATTCTTCCTATGTTTTCTGTTTAATTTAATCTCACACCACCACCATGAGGTAAATATTATCTTCGTTTGATGGAGAGTTTAATGTGTTTTCCTCAGGCAGCAAAGGTGGTACATGATCAAACCTGGGTTAGACCCAGGTCTATTTTATTCCAAACCCTGAACTTCCCCCAGTACTCGCAGAAGGAAGACTAGACTTAGTGTTTAGGTTGACACTGATAATGATAACTATGTAAACTTTAGAGAACACAATTAACAATAGAGATTTTTCAGTTCTTGAGGACAATAGTAATGTCTGCTAAAATATTGCAAAGAATTAAGTATATATGTGAAATACTATGTAATCTATAATGTACTAAAGAAATATTGAATAATTTTAAAATGTTGATAAAGGGGTTATTCTATATCATTCACATTTTCTCAATATATTTGTAAACCTGTTAACTTCTAGACACAAATATTAGTTTTCTAATTGCCTATGTCTTGGTTTTTCTTTCAAAGAAAAGCTAGTTTTGTTTGAATGTTCATGTTAGTGAGATCCTAGGAAAGTAATTTGAATGTAATGAAAAAAATAGTTTCTTATGGCTCACGCCTGTAATCCCAGCACTTTGGGAGGCCGAGGCGGGCAGATGACCTGAGGTCGGGAGTTTGAGACCAGCCTGACCAACATGGAGAAACCCTGTCTCTACTAAAAAGACAAAATTAGCTAGGTATGGTGGTACATACCTGTAATCCCAGCTACTCGGGAGGCTGAGGCAGGAGAATTGCTTGAACCCAGGAGGCGGAGGTTGTGGTGAGCTGAGATCTCGCCGTTGCACTCCAGCCTGGGCAACAAGAGCGAAACTCCATGTCCCCCCTAAACCACCCTCAAAAGAAAGTTTCTTGCAAAAATAGTCTAATCTTTCTTATTATTTTTGGGCAGCAATTTTAAAGGTACCCTTAACAGCTACCAAGTCATCTAAAACATATTTTTGAAGCTTTATTGCAGTGAAATTTGTTATATTCTCTCTTATAAATAGTTTGGTGTATAATAAAGATATGTGTATGTTAAGGGTTTAATTCTTCTCTTGATGCTTTCCATAGCATGTGGAATACCAATTCTAGATTATACAGTATAAGAATTAATATTTAAACATTGACTTGAACAGGTTGGGCTTGCTTTCATGAATTGTCAGGAGGCTAGCTAGTCAAAATTCAAATTAAATTATGTATTGGGTTAAGTCTATCATTAGAATAAAACAGGTGTTATTATCCTTCTCCTAACACTATTCTGGCAAAAATTAGCTTTAGTAAATTTAATTGCCCTTGATGTTGTACTCCAAATACTTTTTAATTCTTAAATTATGGAAATAAGATAAAAAATAGAAGACTTCAACTCTGTCATTCATTTATAAATGTCATTTTGCCAGTGATACCTTATGGATTATGCTGATATATTAAAATGAGATTAAAAAAATAAAATGACATTTTATTCAACATTTTAAAAGGTGGGTCAAATTTTTGTTGCTAATATATGTGGTACTTTTAGGGGAAAATGACAATAAAATATGTATCTTCTTAAAAAGATGCCAGTTTAAGATATCAAGAGTATGTTTTAATTGGCCATGTCTCTGGACAAATTGGGTACGTATAAGCTCCAAAATGGGTCAGACTTCTGATACTGAAGGATTTTTCTTTGGAAGATTTATTAATATTAGGAATCTCAGGGGCTTGAAGTGTGGGGAAAGTATACTCTTGGCTTTCTTTAACAACCTGTTGTGTGTTTGTCACCCATCTTTTGCCTGTAAATCTTTGTTGAATTTATTATTTTGTTTTTACTTAAAAAAATTACTTTGAACCATCTTTCCAGTTTGTTTACTTCTATGTAAAGTAGGATTTTATTTTATTTAAAAAATAACCAAACAGTTATTTTGCTCCTGCCTGTGCGCATTACTCTTTATAGTAAGAGAGTATATAAGTTTAAACTGTTGTGGGGACCCAGAGAATGGTTGTGCTTTAATAGTGCGATTGTTGTTGTTCTATGCAGCTCAGTCAGAAAAGCAGGAATCCTAATCAGGAAAGGGCTAGAGGGATGTTTACTCAAGGGGAAATCTAGACGGTTACTGTTCTGTATTGATAAGAATGTCACCTGTTAAGTGAAGTCAGCCTTTTAATTGAGAATAAGTTCAGAGAAAGAGACACAAAAACTCACATTTAAAAAATTTGAATAGTAAGGATGATACTGATTAGGCACCCTAAGAAGTAGATTGCTTTTCGACTTTGATCCCAGAATAAGCTTGTCATTTTCTTTTGTACTATCTCGGACATAACCTGCCTTTTCCTAGGGGACTGTTTAAAGAGTGTATTTTGTTCATCCATTCAACAAACATTGAGTGTCTACTATGTCCCAGGCAGTCTTCTAGCTACTAGAGGTATAGCAGCAGTGAACAATATAGAAAAAAAAATTAAAACTCTGGAGCTTACATTCTGGTTGAGGAGAGACAGTAAACAAGTAAGTGAATTATTGATATATTACTTGGTGATTACTGCTATGAAAAAATTTTTTCATGAAGAAGATAAGGAATGCTGTTTAGTGCCTGGATGTGGTTTTAAATAGGGTGGTCATGGAAGGCTTAAACAAAAACATGATGTTTTGCCACAACGTAAGTTTTATGTAAGAACTCTAGGCTTGGCATTTTTCTTTTCATATCTTAGTGGGATATGAATAGCAGGTCTGAGTGTTCACCATTTTACAATGAAGAAACTCGAGGCAAAGAGAACTGTCCAAGTGTACTCAGAATTAACAGACACTGGATCTTAAAACCTTTCGATATGATTTCAGTCTGTGGAGGTTTGAGCTGTAATGCAGCCAGATTTAGCTAAAAAGTCAGTGGGTTCGGGGAAGACCAGCAGGAGGCAGTGGAGCACCAGCACAAGCTGAGGCCAACTCCCATTGTTGAGGCTTGGGCAAATGTAGCTTAAGTCAGGTGAGAAGCACTGGCTTGGTGGCCTGGGCTTACATGAGGCCTACACTAAGCTCACTGAGTCTCTGTTCTCAGTGAGGAAGGTGGTTTCAGACCCTTCATTTTGGAGGGGCTGTCATTTAAAACAAGGTACCAGGCTCTGTCTGTGACTCTAGGACTGATAAGGCAGATTTCCTTGCTCTCAAGTCTTTGATCCCTGTAGCCTACCTACTAGGATTGAGTAAAGCAACACTGTCTTAATCATGCCTAGGCTCAAGGATCTTGTGATTTAGTCAAGTTCTTAGAGAGGGGAAAAGGATTTTCTACTAAAATCTCAAAAGAATTCCTATATTTTAATCCCCCACTGGAAAGATACACCAGAGGGAAATGAATGATGTCTACAATAAGGTGTGTGAGTCTTGGGCACAATTAATCTTTTTACCTACTATATGCTTTAGTTTGTCTCCACATCTTTGGACCTCAAGGCCTTTTATTTCAACCTCTCATTTCCTTTTCCTTTGCATTGGTTGAGACATTTTTTAAGCTCTCCAGTTGCATTCCTGTATGCCATCCTTACCCTTTGAATTTTCATGTAAGCCTCAAAAAAACAAATATTTCTACATAGTTTCTCTCCACCTATCTTTTCTGCCCCTTCCTTTGGCAGTTTTTAGACTTTTTTTTGTACGAAGAAACCCCTTGTTTTCCGTAGGCTTTCAAAACAACACTGTGATGAACATTCATCTCAGATTTTCTCCACTGTAATATTTAAAAATTGCAAATAAATTGTATTTTATTCTACTAGATTTAGACAGTGTACTCAAAAACAAAATGTTTGTCAGAATGAGTAAATATGAAACAATACCATTGTCACTAGCTTAAATAGTGGTTAAGTGATATTGTTCAGTAAATCCATATGTAAGAATAAAGTCAGAATGGTAAAAGTTTGACATTTCACAGGAAATGTGTGGATTAAAGGGATTTTTATTTGTTTAAATATAGTCGCTTTGTAATTTAGATAGAATAATACTGTTAAACCAATTTGAAGATAAGGTGTGCTTTCTATGTTGATGTTTTTAGGTTATATTATAATTTGATGTCTCTTTACCAACAAAGGAAAGATATATATATATAGATTAATTCTCTTGGATATGAGTTTTATCACAATAATGCTTTTATTTCTACCGTTAGTTTTAAAAATACTTAAAATTGCCTCTTGAAAAATCTATATTTAAAAAAACATGAATCCAGGATATAGTCATTTTAATTAGTATATTTGAATATAATGTTCACTAATGAGAATGATCTCAAGGTAATTCAAGAAGAGATCATGAAGTCTTTGTTTTTCTAGGAAATTTCCAATTTTTTCTGTCTTTAAAGGTGGACTTATTTTTAAAGGTGGACTCTTTTTTGCCAACATTGCATGCACTTTCGTTGCCCTTCTTGTTTCCTGTTATGCTTGCTGTAACTCACTGTGTAAACCTTGAGGCTCCATTACTTGCTTTGAGGTTTGGTATCCTATTCTTTAGTGATATGGCAACTGCAGAAACACTGCAGTGTGGTCTTTAGAGTTTCAAGGGTGTCATAGTACTTAAGGCTACTTTTTGTCCTCCTTTTTTGCTTCCTTATTCCTTGCAAAGCTTTGCCTTGGCCACATGTGAGATCAAGCAGTATGTTTCCACAGTTTCTAAATTCTTACTCTAAGGAATTAGGGACAAGATGATTTCCCCAAATCATCCCTAGCCCATGTATGGGCCTTCTAGGAATAGTACCATAAAAATCTGTCTTTATTAATAGGTCCTTTCTGACAAATCAACACTTAAACATTATTTTAACACAATTTTATGATGATGATTATCTGCTGCAGTTTTATGTATTTTAATCATTAACTTATTGATTGTGCCTTGAGGCCTCTTACATAAAGGATGCAATTTGAATAATGCCTTGGTAAAACCATTTAATCTCTGTTTACAACTATATTATGTTTCATCCCAAACAGTAATGATGACTCCTTTCTATGGATAACATGGCACATATTGTTTACATGTAAATGTTGTTTTAAAAGCTATATTTTGTTAGACTTAGATTTTCACATTCAAGATCATTCCTAAAGCTTTATGTGATTTTTTAAAAGATAATTTTAATCTACCTATAGTGTGTATAAATTTATTACCTAGAGAAAAGGAAGAAATTATACTGTCTGATAGGGGAGAGAATTCTGAATAATTAAGGGGCAACTAGTTGGAATTAATTTTAGTACACTAGGGATGAACTAGATTTAGTTTAAGCCTCTGTTGATAAGAGCTCTAGAATCCTTTCTGTTTATCACAGAAGGCCCAGCCCTGTGTTAATCCTTTCCTGAGCACCTTAGCCAGCAGTGACTAACACCTCTTTCAATCTTCACTAAATTTTAAGTGTCTAAATAGCAGGGATTCTATCTTAAAGTTTTTATATTCTCCCCACCCATCTCTTGCATAGGAAAGAATGCTCTGCACCTAGTCTTTTCTTAATATGTATTCGTTGGCCGAAAATGGACCTAAGTGTGTTAAGCCATTAGTTTTCTCTTTGAAAAATTGAAGGATATGCTACTTCATGGTTTTTTCCTTCATATTTAAATCTTGCTGTTGTCGTAAAGACAGACTTTTCATTTAAAAAGTATAATTGCTAAGTAATGTGTTTTCGTTCTTTCAGGGAACCCTTCCAGCCAGATCATTTGCTTTTCTGACTGTTGAGTATAGATAGGCTTGTCCTTAGAGAAAGCAGACTGTGAGTGCCACAGTGAATGCCTTGTATTATTTTCTCTTTACAAAGATAAACGAAAGTTCTAAAAGAGCACATTGTCTGCTTTATTTGTAGGGAAGAATGTGTATCAAAAGGGGATATAATATTTTGTTGATAGAGACAAATGGACTAAAAATAATGTTATTTTTCTTAGAAACATTTAACATTTTAAGTGGCTTTTTGAGAAGATGGCTGATTTAAAGTAAACTTGCTATCCTTTGGCATGGTTGAGCCATTTAAAATAATTTGTTAGAGTGGGGAATGCTAACCTTTATTAAGTCCTGCAGTATGTCTGGCGCTTTGTGTAAATATTGTATCTATTTATTTATTTGAGACAGAGTCTTGCTCTGTCACCCAGGCTGGAGTGCAGTGACATGATCTTGGCCCACTGCAAGCTCCACCTCCCAGCTATGAGCGATTCTCCTGCTTCAGCCTCCCAAGTACCTGGGACTATAGTTGTGCACCACCACGTCTGGCTAATTTTTGTATTTTTAGTAGAGACAGAGTTTTACTATGTTGGCCAGGCTTGTCTGGAACTCCTGACCTCAAGTGATCCACCCGCCTCGGCCTCCCAAAGTGCTGGGATTATAGGTGTGAGCCACCGTGCCTGGCCTACTTTGTATAAATATTCTTATTTAAGCTTAGAAATTCACCATATAAAAATAGGTATAATTACCTGGATTTTGCAAAGAAACACCCTGAAGATCAGTGAGTTTACTGCTAGGTAGAAGCTCCGGGATTCACATGATTTTTCTGTTCATTGGATGGGCCATACCACAAACACTAGATAAGCTTTATGACATTGTCTTCTTCCTTTAGAAAAATGAAAAATAAAAACAAAATATTGAAAGGAACAGAGAACTAGACATTGCTGAACACCTGGCTAAACTAATTATTCTACTTGAGCACTAACTTTAGCTACGGGGGATAGAAAAAGTCCGTGATTCTCATTTTTGGAAAGAAATATAATTTTTTTGGACAAGAAGAGCTTTTATTTTCATATTTATTAAACTCTGTCTGTATGCTAATGTTTTAAGGACTGTCAGTAATCAGGAACACAATGCCATCATTCACAATTGCCATAATAAGAATAACATACTTAGGAATACAGCTAACAAGAGAGGGGAATGAGCTCTACAATGAGAATTAGAAAATACTGCTCAAAGAAATCAGAGATGACACAAACAAATGGAAAAACATCTGATACTCACAGATAGGAAAAATCAATATCATTAAAATGGCCATTCTGCCCAAAGTAATTTATAGATTCAATGCTATTCCTATCCAACTACCAATGACATTCTTCACAGAACTAGAAAAACTATTTTAAAATTCGTATGGAACCAAAAAGGCCTTAGTAGCCAAAGCAATCCTAAGCAAAAAGAACAAAGCTGGAGGCATCATGTTATCTGACTTCAAACTATACTACAGGGCTACAGTAACCAAAACAACATGGTACTGGTACAAAAACAGACATAGACCAATGGAACAGAATAGGAAGCCCAGAAATAAGGCCGCACACCTACGACAATCTGATCTTCAACAACGCCGACAAAAGCAATGGGGAAAGGACTGCCTATTCAACAAGTAGTGCTGGGATAACTGACTAGCCATATGTAGAAGATTGAAACTGGACCCTTTCCTTACACCATATAAAAAAATCAACTCAAGATGGATTAAAGACTTAAATGTTAAACCCAAAATGCTACAAACCCTGGAAGACAACCTAGACAGTACCATGCTGGACATTAGAAATGGACAAAGATTTCATGACAAAGATACCAGAAGCAATTGCAACAAAAGCAAATATTGGCAAATGGGATCTAATTAAACTTAAGAGCTTCTTCACAGCAAAAGAAACTATCAACAGAGTAAACAGACAACCTACCAAATGGGAGAAAATATTTGCCAACTGTGCATCTGACAAAGGTCTAATATCCAGCATCTATAAGGAACTTAAATTTAAAAGAAAAACAAAAAAAAGTCCATTAAAAAGTAGGCTAAGGACATGAACAGATACTTTTCTAAAGAAGACATACATGTGGCCAACAAGCATAGGAGAAAAAGCTTAGTATCACTGATCATTAGAGAAATGCAAATCAAAACCACAGTGAGATACCATCTCATACCAGTCAGAATGGCTATTATTAAAAAGTCAAAAAATAATAGATGCTGGTGAGGTTGTGGAGAAAAGGGAACACATACACTGTTGGTGGGAGTGTAAATTAGTTCAACCATTGTGGAAAGCAGTATGGCAATTCCTCAAAGAGCTAAATACAGAACTACCATTCGACCCAGCAATGCTATTACCGAGTATAAGAGGAATATAAATCATTCTACCATAAAGACATATGCACGCGAATGTTCATTGCAGCACTATTCACAATAGCAAAGACATGGAATCACCCTAAGTGTCCATCGGTGACAGATTGGGTAAAGACAATGTGGTACACATATACCATGGAATACTCTTCAGCCATAAAAAAGAACAAGATCATGTCTTTTGCAGGAACATGGATGGAGCTGGAGGCCATTATCCTTAGCAAACTAATGCGGGAACAGAAAATCAAATGCTGCACATTCTCATTTATAAGTGGGAGTTAAATGATGAGAACTCATGAGCATAGAGAAGGGAACAACAGACACTGGAGCTTCCTTGAGGGTGGAGGGTGGGAGGAAGGAGAGGAGCAGAAAAAAATAACTATTGGGTACTAAGCTTAGTACGTGGGTGATGAAATATCTATACACCAAACTGCTATGATGTGAGTTTACCTATATAACAAACCTGCACATATCCCCCAAACTTAAAAGTTAAAAAAAAAAAAAGAAAAAGATATGACTTTTGACCTCAGGGAACATAGTCTATACTAGACTGTTATAACTTGTATTTTAATATAACTATTGAATTGCCTTGCAAATAATAATAACCTCTTTGGAGACAGATACCACATTTTGTTAGGTTTAAATTCAAGTAAGTATTGGATATTTAGAAATATTTCACAAAACTTAATAAATAAATAGACATTAGTCTCCTGAGAGGGCAGTTCTCTTGTTTTGGAAGGCACTGTGGTGTGGCGGGGAGAATGTAGACTTTGGAATCAAACCAGAGCCCAGACCTATTTGCCAGTTATTTGCCATGTGACTTTGGTTAAGTCAGCCTCTCTGGACTTAGTTTTCTCATCTTTCAAATAAGGATAATGATGGGATTGAGATGAAGATTACATATGATAACAACCCTTAGTATTGTGCTTATTAGCACAGTGTCTGATACATAGCAAATGATCAATAAAATGCCCTCCCCTAAGTTCTTATTTAATATGATGTTGAAAGTAGTAAGCATAGTAGGAGGACAAGCTCAAGAGTAAGATATATCTACCTAGGAGACTCAGAGAGGGCTTCATGGACAAATTGATATTTGAATTGAACCCTGAAGGATGGTACGATTTGGACATACAGAATTGGGATGCATGAATATTTTATGATCCATGAAGTATTCATATAAAGGTTGTTGGTAACATAATAAAGGACCTTTTAAACCATGGTTTGGCTAAACACATAGAACCATTACTCAAGTGGAGAGTCTTACACTGAACCTTTGTAAAAGCTGAGAGCATGTTATTAAGTTTCAGTTAAAGTATTCCTGCTGGATGCTGAGAAATTACAGGTTGGTTTTATTGCTGTCTTCTGATCTTTATCTTTCTTAATATATATATAGAAGTTAGAAAATATATATGGTGGTTCCTTGATACACGTGTTTTTATTTCTTTTAAAATGTCAGATGTCCAAAGCAAGTTGGTTGAGGGTGCTGAGCTCTTTTCAGGGGTTCAATTTTCTAATCAATGCCAAGATGCTAACTTTTAGGTAGTCATTAATGAGATACATTTTGGGGCTGGGCACGGTGGCTCACACCTATAATCTCAGCGCTATGGGTGGCCAAGGTGGGAAGATCACTTGAGCCCAGGAGCTCAAGACCAGCCTAGGCAACACAGCAAGACTCCGTCTCTCCAAAAAAATAAAAAAATTAGCTGGGTGTGGTGATACACACCTGTAGTCTCAGCTATTTGGGAGGCTGAGATGGGATTGAGCCCAGGAGTTCAAGGTTACAGTGAGCCATGAGCATGCCACTTCACTCTAGCCTGGGAGATAGAGTGACACCCTGCATCTTAAAGAAAAAAAAAAAAAAGTTTTGGGCTTTGAGGTGATACAAAGATATAAGATTAGTGCCTCTCAAACTTTTTATGTTTGTCATACATTTTCTGAATATTTGAATTTTTGGTAGCATGCTTAAAGTGTCTAAGTTGAATCCATGGAAGTTATTATGGCAGAAATCACTTGGGTCACCCTTCAGCACTGTGTCATCATCCAAGCAGAACTGTTGACTGCCCTGACTTCAGTATTTACCTATTCTAGTGAATTTTTGCAGTCTTTTTTTGGCTTTACCTTGTACTTCTTATCTGCAGCTAGTTATGCCTTTCTCAAAATTGTATCTAAGGGCCTACTCAGGTCAAGATTCCATCTGACTGATTTCACAATAACCATCTTTCCTCATTTTCAGCAAAGATAAATTTACTTGCTGATTTAAAATAATTGAAGAATTGGTTTAGAATAGTACATAGGATACTTGACGGGATAGATCCTAGACAACATAGATGTAGGTATTTAACATCGCTAAGGTGGTACTGGCATACCTAGAAGATATTGCAGGTTTTGCTCCAGACCACCACAATAAAATTTAAATAAAGGAAGTCACACAATTTGCTTTCCCAGTGCATATAAAACTCAAATGTATACTACACTGCAGTCTATTAAGTGTGCATTATATCTAGAAAAACAATATAGACACCTTTATTTAAAAATACATTTTTTGTTACTAAAAATGGTAATGATCATTTGAGCCTTTGGTGAGTTGTAATCTTTTTGCTGGTGGAGGGTCTTGCCTTGATGTTGATGGCTGCTGACTGATCAAGGTGGTAGTTGCTGAAGATTGGAGTGGCTCTTACAATTTCTTAAAATAAGACAGCCATGAAGTTTGCTGCATTGATTGACTTTTCCTTTCATAAAAGATTTCTTTGTGGCATGCAGTGCTGTTTGATAGCATTTTACCTGTAACAGAACTTCTTTCAGTATTGCAGTCTATCCTCTCAACCCTGATGCTGTTTGTAAGTTAAGTGTATGTAATAATCTAAATCTTTTGTTGTCATTTCAACAGTGTTCACAGCATCTTCACCAGGAATAGTTTCCATCAGGAATAGAAACCACCTTCTTTGCTCATCCATGAGAAGCAACTCTTTATCCACTAAAAAGTTTTATCATGATGTTGCAGCAGTCAGCTCATCTTTAGGCTCCACTTCTAATTCTAGTTCTCTTGATATTTCCACTGCATCTGCAGTGACTTCCTTTCCTGAAGTCTTGAACCCCTCAAAGTCATCCGTGAAGGTTGGAAATCAACTTATTCCAAACTCCTGTTAATGTTGATATTTTGATCTCTTCCCAAGAGTCACAAATATTCTTAATGACATTTAGAATGGTGAATTCTTTCCAGGTTTTCCATTTACTTTACCTAGATCCATCAGAGGAATCACAATCTATGGCAATGATATCCTAATTAAATATATTTTTAAAATAATAAGACTTGAAAGTCAATATTATTCCTTGATCCATGGGCAGCAGAATGGATGTTGTGTTAACAAGCATGAAAACATTAATCTCATCATACATCTCCATCAAAGCACTTGGGTGACTAGGTGCATTGTCATGAAGCAGTAATATTTTGTAAGGAATCCTTTTATCTGAGCACCAAGTCTCAATAGTGGACTTAACTGTTCAGTAAACTCTGCTATAAACAGATATGCTGTTACCCATATTTTGTTGTTCCATTTAGAGGCCACAGGCAGAGTAGATTTAGCATAATTCGTAAGGGCCCTAGGATTTTCAGAATGCTAAATTGTCTTTTACTTTAAGCTACAAGTTGCTATAGCCCCTAACAAGAAAGTTAGGGGCTAATTTGAAGCCAGGCATTGACTTCTCCTTTCTAGCTATGAAAGTCCTAGATGACATCTTCTTCCAATATAAGGCTGTTTTATTCACATTGAAAATGTGTTGTTTAGTATAGCCACCTTTGTCATCTTAGCTAGTTCTTCTGGATAACTTGCTGCAGCTTCTCCATCAGCACTTGCCGCTTCACCTTGTACTTTTATATCATGGAGATAGCTTCTTTCCTTAAACCTCATAAACCCACCTGTGCTAGCATCAAAGTTTTTTTTTTTTTTTTTTTTTTTGGTGGAGATGGAGTCCCGCTCTGTTGCCCAGGCTGGAGTGCAGTGGCGTGATCTGGGCTCACTGGAACCTCTGCCTCCTGGGTGCAAACGATTCTCCTGCCTCAGCCTCCTGAGTAGCTGTGACTACAGGTGCATGCCGCCACGCCCGGCTGATTTTTTGTATTTTAGTAGAGATGGGGTTTCACCGTTGTTGCCCAGGCTGGTCTCAAACTCCTGAGCTCAGGCAATCTGCCCTCTTCGGCCTCCCAAAGTGCTAGGATTACAGGCGTGAGCCACTCTGCCCAGCCAATTGCTTCAAACTTTTCTTCTATAGTTCCCTCACCTCTCTCAGCCTTCACAGAATTGAAGAGAGTTATAGCCTTCCTCTGGATTGGGCTTTCACTTAGGGGAATGTTGTGGCTGGTTTAATCTTCCATCTAGACTACTCAATCTTTCTCCACATCAGCACTAAGCCTGTATTGCTTTTTTATCATTCACATATTCACTGGAGTATCACTTTTGATTTCCTTGAAAAACTTTTTTTTGCATTCACAGCTTGGCTGTTTGGCACAAGAAGCTTAGCTTTCGGCCTATCTCACTTAACTTTCTCAAAGAGGCTAGCTGTCAGCCCATCTTTGCTTTGTACATGGCTTCCTCACTAGCCTAATAA
Source organism: Homo sapiens (assembly GCF_000001405.40). NCBI lineage: Eukaryota > Metazoa > Chordata > Mammalia > Primates > Hominidae > Homo > Homo sapiens. The sequence continues at coordinate 60,454,453 of NC_000006.12, forward strand.
TTTCTAACTTTTTACTTAAAGTGAGAGATGTGCGAGTCTTTTTTACACTTGGTCAGAGTCCTTATTAATTGGCCTGATTTCAGTATTTTTGTGTTTCTGGGAATAGAGAGGCCTGAGGAGAGGGAGAGAGACAGGGTTATGGCCAGTTGGTGGAGCAGTCAGAAGACACACAACATTTATCAACTAAGTTTGCTGTGTTAGGTGGGTGTGTTTGTGACACCCCAAAACAATTCCATTAGTAACATCAAAGATTACTAATCCCAGATCACCAAAACAGACATAATAATAAAATATATATAATGAGATACAATAATGAAAAAGTTTGAAAAATTAAGAGAATTACCAAAATGTGACACACAGACACGAAGTGAGCATATCCTGTTGGAAAAATGGCATGGATAGACATGCTCGATGCAGGGTTCCACAAACCTTCAATATGTAAAAAATGCACTATCTATGAAGCACAATGAAATGGGCACAATAAGATGAGGAATTTGGGTATTATATTCTTCTTAGATAGTTTAGCACTCCAGGAAACACTTTAGTTCTTTATATTTACACTCAGGTGATCTCATCCTTTTTTATGGCTTCACATAGATCTATATGCCAATAACTCCTAAGGGCATATTTTCAGCCTAACCACCTCCCTGAGCTCTAGACCCAGATATCCAAGTGCCTACTTATGATCTATAGATGATCTATGTTCTAGATTATACAAACATCATAATACTTAGGAGGTATCTCAGACTTAAAGTGCTTAAAACTAAGCTGTTGGTATACCATTCTGCCCCAAACCAACTCCTCCTATCGTCTTTCCAATCTCAGATAATGGCAGTCTCATTGTTTTAGTTGCTCAGGTTAAAAACCTTGATGTATATAGTCTTTTATTTATTTATTTTTATTATTATACTTTAAGTTTTAGGGTACATGTGCACATTGTGCAGGTTAGTTACATATGTATACATGTGCCATGCTGTTGCGCTGCACCCACTCACTCATCATCTAGCATTAGGTATATCTCCCAATGCTATCCCTCCCCCTTCCCCCCACCCCACAACAGTCCCCAGAGTGTGATGTTCCCCTTCCTGTGTCCATGTGATCTCATTGTTCAGTTCCCACCTATGAGTGAGAATATGCGGTGTTTGGTTTTTTGTTCTTGTGATAGTTGACTGAGAATGATGATTTCCAATTTCATCCATGTCCCTACAAAGGACATGAACTCATCATTTTTGATGGCTGCATAGTATTCCATGGTGTATATGTGCCACATTTTCTTAATCCAGTCTATCCTTGTTGGACATTTGGGTTGGTTCCAAGTCTTTGCTATTGTGAATAATGCCGCAATAAACATACGTGTGCATGTGTCTTTATAGCAGCATGATTTATAGTCCTTTGGGTATATACCCAGTAATGGGATGGCTGGGTCAAATGGTATTTCCAGTTCTAGATCCCTGAGGAATTGCCACACTGACTTCCACAAGGGATGAACTAGTTTACAGTCCCACCAACAGTGTAAAAGTGTTCCTATTTCTCCACATCCTCTCCAGCACCTGTTGTTTCCTGACATTTTAATGATTGCCATTCTAACTGGTGGGAGATGGTATCTCATTGCGGTTTTGATTTGCATTTCTCTGATGGCCAGTGATGATGAACATTTTTTCATGTGTTTTTTGGCTGCATAAATGTCTTCTTTTGAGAAGTGTCTGTTCATGTCCTTCGCCCACTTTTTGATGGGGTTGTTTTTTTCTTGTAAAATTGTTGGAGTTCATTGTAGATTCTGGATATTAGCCCTTTGTCAGATGAGTAGGTTGTGAAAATTTTCTCCCATTTTGTAGGTTGCCTGTTCACTCTGATGGTAGTTTCTTTTGCTGTGCAGAAGCTCTTTAGTTTAATGAGATCCCATTTGTCAATTATGGCTTTTGTTGCCATTGCTTTTGGTGTTTTAGACATGAAGTCCTTGCCCATGCCTATGTCCTGAATGGTACTGCCTAGGTTTTCTTCTAGGATTTTTATGGTTTTGGGTCTAACATTTAATTCTTTACTCCATCTTGAATTGATTTTTGTATAAGGTGTAAGGAAGGGATCCAGTTTCAGCTTTCTACATATGGCTAGCCAGTTTTCCCAGCATCATTTATTAAATAGGGAATCCTTTCCCCATTGCTTGTTTTTCTCAGGTTTGTCAAAGATCAGATAGTTGTAGATATGTGACGTTATTTCTGAGGGCTCTGTTCTGTTCCATTGATCTATATCTCTGTTTTGGTACCAGCACCATGCTGTTTTGGTTACTGTAGCCTTGTAGTATAGTTTGAAGTCAGGTAGCGTGATGCCTCCAGCTTTGTTCTTTTGGCTTAGGATTGACTTGGCGATGCAGGCTCTTTTTTGGTTCCATATGAACTTTAAAGCAGTTTTTTCCAATTTTGTGAAGAAAGTCATTGGTAGCTTGATGGGGATGGCATTGAATCTATAAATTACCTTGGGCAGTATGACCATTTTCACGATATTGATTCTTCCTACCCATGAGCATGGAATGCTCTTCCATTTGTTTGTAACCTCTTTTATTTCGTTGAGCAGTGGATTGTAGTTCTCCTTGAAGAGGTCCTTCACATCCCTTGTAAGTTGGATTCCTAGGTATTTTATTCTCTTTGAAGCAATTGTGAATGGGAGTTCACTCATGATTTGGCTCTCTGTTTGTCTGTTCTTGGTGTATAAGAATGCTTGTGATTTTTGTACATTGATTTTGTATCCTGAGACTTTGCTGAAGTTGCTTATCAGCTTAAGGAGATTTTGGGCTGAGACAATGGGGTTTTCTAGATATACAATCATGTCGTCTGCAAACAGGGACAATTTGACTTCCTCTTTTCCTAATTGAATACCATTTATTTCCTTCTCCTGCCTAATTGCCCTGGCCAGAACTTCCAACACTATGTTGAATAGGAGTGGTGAGAGAGGGCATCCCTGTCTTGTGCCAGTTTTCAAAGGGAATGCTTCCAGTATTTGCCCATTCAGTATGATATTGGCTGTGGGTTTGTCATAGATAGCTCTTATTATTTTGAAATACGTCCCATCAATTCCTAATTTATTGAGAATTTTTAGCATGAAGGGTTGTTGAATTTTGTCAAAGGCCTTTTCTGCATCCATTGAGATAATCATGTGGTTTTTATCTTTGGCTCTGTTTATATGCTGGATTACATTTATTGATTTGCATATATTGAACCGGCCTTGCATCCCAGGGATGAAGCCCACTTGATCATGGTGGATAAGCTTTTTGATGTGCTGCTGGATTCGTTTTGCCAGTATTTTATTAAGGATTTTTGCATCAATGTTCATCAAGGATATTGGTCTAAAATTCTCTTTTTTTGGTTGTGTCTCTGCCTGGCTTTGGTATCAGGATGATGCTGGCCTCATAAAATGAGTTAGGGAGGATTCCCTCTTTTTCTATTGATTGGAATAGTTTCAGAAGGAATGGTACCAGTTCCTCCTTGTACCTCTGGTAGAATTCGGCTGTGAATCCATCTGGTCCTGGACTCTTTTTGGTTGGTAAGCTATTGATTATTGCCACAATTTCAGATCCTGTTATTGGTCTATTCAGAGATTCAACTTCCTCCTGGTTTAGTCTTGGGAGAGTGTATGTGTCCAGGAATTTATCCATTTCTTCTAGATTTTCTAGTTTATTTGCATAGAGGTGTTTGTAGTATTCTCTGATGGTAGTTTGTATTTCTGTGGGATCGGTGGTGATATCCCCTTTATCATTTTTTATTGCATCTATTTGATTCTTCTCTCTTTTTTTCTTTGTTAGTCTTGCCAGCGGTCTATCTATTTTGTTGATCCTTTCAAAAAACCAGCTCCTGGATTCATTAATTTTTTGAAGGGTTTTTTGTGTCTCTATTTCCTTCAATTCTGCCTGATTTTAGTTATTTCTTGCCTTCTGCTAGCTTTTGAATGTGTTTGCTCTTGCTTTTCTAGTTCTTTTAATTGTGATGTTAGGGTGTCAATTTTGGATCTTTCCTGCTTTCTCTTGTGGGCACTTAGTACTTAGTGCTATAAATTTCCCTTTACACACTGCTTTGAAAGCGTCCCAGAGATTCTGGTATGTTGTGTCTTTGTTCTCGTTGGTTTCAAAGAACATCTTTATTTCTGCCTTCATTTCGTTATGTACCCAGTAGTCATTCAGGAGCAGGTTGTTCAGTTTCCATGTAGTTGAGTGGTTTTGAGTGAGATTCTTAATCCTGAGTTCTAGTTTGATTACACTGTGGTCTGAGAGATAGTTTGTTATAATTTCTGTTCTTTTACATTTGCTGAGGAGAGCTTTACTTCCAAGTATGTGGTCAATTTTGGAATAGGTGTGGTGTGGTGCTGAAAAAAATGTATATTCTGTTGATTTGGGGTGAAGAGTGCTGTAGATGTGTATTAGGTCCGCTTGGTGCAGAGCTGAGTTCAATTCCTGGGTATCCTTGTTGACTTTCTCTCTCGTTGATCTGTCTAATGTTGACAGTGGGGTGTTAATGTTTCCCATTATTAATGTGTGGGAGTCTAAGTCTCTTTGTAGGTCACTCAGGACTTGCTTTATGAATCTGGGTGCTCCTGTATTGGGTGCATATATATTTAGGATAGTTAGCTCTTCTTGTTGAATTGATCCCTTTACCATTATGTAATGGCCTTCTTTGTCTCTTTTGATCTTTGTTGGTTTAAAGTCTGTTTTATCAGAGACTAGGATTGCAACCCCTGCCTTTTTTTCTTTTCCATTTGCTTGGTAGATCTTCCTCCATCCTTTTATTTTGAGCCTATGTGTGTCTCTGCACGTGAGATGGGTTTCCTGAATACAGCACACTGATGGGTCTTGACTCTTTATCCAATTTGCCAGTCTGTGTCTTTTAATTGGAGCATTTAGTCCATTTACATTTAAAGTTAATATTGTTATGTGTGAATTTGATCCTGTCATTATGATGTTAGCTGGTGATTTTGCTCGTTAGTTGATGCAGTGTCTTCCTAGTCTCGATGGTCTTTACACTTTGGCATGATTTTGCAGCGGCTGGTAACGGTTGTTTCTTTCCATGTTTAGCGCTTCCTTCAGGAGCTCTTTTAGGGCAGGCCTGGTGGTGACAAAATCTCTCAGTATTTGCTTGTGTGTAAAGCATTTTATTTCTCCTTCACTTATGAAGCTTAGTTTGGCTGGATATGAAATTCTGGGTTGAAAATTCTTTTCTTTAAGAATGTTGAATATTGGCCCCCACTCTCTTCTGGCTTGTAGGGTTTCTGCTGAGAGATCCGCTGTTAGTCTGGTGGGCTTCCCTTTGAGGGTAACCCGACCTTTCTCTCTGGCTGCCCTTGACATTTTTTCCTTCATTTCAACTTTGGTGAATCTGACAATTATGTGTCTTGGACTTGCTTTCTCAAGGAGTATCTTTGTGGCCTTCTCTGTATTTCCTGAATCTGAACGTTGGCCTGCCCTTTCTAGATTGGGGAAGTTCTCCTCGATAATATCCTGCAGAGTGTTTTCCAACTTGGTTCCATTCTCCCCATCACTTTCAGGTACACCAATCAGACGTAGATTTGGTCTTTTCACATAGTCCCATATTTCTTGGAGGCTTTGCTCTTTTCTTTTTATTCTTTTTTCTCTAAACTTCCCTTCTTGCTTCATTTCATTCATTTCATCTTCCATTGCTGATACCCTTTCTTCCAGTTGATCACATCGGCTCCTGAGGCTTCTACATTCTTCACGTAGTTCTCGAGCCTTGGTCTTCAGCTCCATCAGCTCCTTTAAGCACTTCTCTGTATTGGTTATTCTAGTTATACATTCTTCTAAATTTTTTTCAAAGTTTTCAACTTCTTTGCCTTTGGTTTGAATGTCCTCCCGTTGCTCAGAGTAATTTGATCGTCTGAAGCCTTCTTCTCTCAGCTCGTCAAAGTCATTCTCCATCCAGCTTTGTTCCATTGCTGGTGAGGAACTGCGTTCCTTTGGAAGAGGAGAGGCACTCTGCTTTTTAGAGTTTCCAGTTTTTCTGTTCTGTTTTTTCCCCATCTTTGTGGTTTTATCTACTTTTGGTCTTTGATGATGGTGATGTACCGATGTGTTTTTGGTGTGGATGTCCTTTCTGTTTGTTAGTTTTCCTTCTAATAGGACCCTTAGCTGCAGGTCTGTTGGAGTACCCTGCCATGTGAAGTGTCAGTGTGCCCCTGCTGGGGGGTGCCTCCCAATTAGGCTGCTCAGGGGTCAGGGGTCAGGGACCCACTTGAGGAGGCAGTCTGCCTGTTCTCAGATCTCCAGCTGCGTGCTGGGAGAACCACTGCTCTCTTCAAAGCTGTCAGACAGGGACATTTAAGTCTGCAGAAGTTACTGCTGTCTTTTTGTTTGTCTGTGCCCTGCCCCCAGAGGTGGAGCCTACAGAGGCAGGCAGGCCTCCTTGAGCTGTGGTGGGCTCCATCCAGTTTGAGCTTCCTGGATGCTTTGTTTACCTAAGCAAGCCTGGGCAATGGTGGGCGCCCCTCCCCCAGCCTTGCGGCCGCCTTGCAGTTTGATCTCAAACTGCTGTGCTAGCAATCAGTGAGACTCCGTGGGCATAGGACCCTCTGAGCCAGGTGCGGGATATAATCTCGTGGTGCGCCATTTTTTAAGCCCGTCAGAAAAGCGCAGTATTCGGGTGGGAGTGACCCAATTTTCCAGGTGCAGTCTGTCACCCCTTTCTTTGACTAGGAAAGGGAATTCCCTGACCCCTTGTGCTTCCGGAGTGAGGCAATGCCTCGCCCTGCTTTGGCTTGTGCAGAGTGCACGCACCCACTGACCTGTGCCCACTATCTGGCACTCCCTAGTGAGATGAACCCGGTACCTCAGATGGAAATGCAGAAATCACCCGTCTTCTGCGTGGCTCATGCTGGGAGCTATAGACCGGAGCTGTTCCTATTCGGTCATCTTGGCTCCTCCCCGATGTATATAGTCTTTTACTCCTTTCTCTCATACCGATGCTCTCAGCAAATTGTTCTGTCTCAACCTTGAAAGTATATCATTATCCAGTTTGTACTGCCACAATATTGGTCCACACCATCACCATCTCTTATCTAATTATTGCAATAGCTTCCTAATTCCTCTTCCAGCTTCTGTCTCAGAAGATTTGATCAGTGTCATTATAAGCAGAGAGTACAAGGGCCACTGTTTGGGCCAATTTTTTTCAAAAAGGGGATTTAAAATTTCTTCAAGTCCTAGGACAGAATCTCTTAATGCCCTATAGAATTTCATGTCCCATGTCTTGAGAGAGGTGATTTTCTCCTCTATGTATAGTAAATTGACCATAATATTAAGAGCTTTCCAGTATAGCCTCTGGGAATATCTGATTTTTGGGAATAGCCTTTTGATGGACAGTTGCCCTATATATCCTAAATATGTTACTAATCTTAAAATAATGAGAATATAATGAAGTGTACTCACCACTGAAATTCTCCTGAACATAATCTTCTTTTTAAACATTTAGAATGAACTTCAGGATTTGGAACATGCTTCAGGCTGATCATTAGGAATATCAGTTATCATTGTATAGTAGAGGAAGCACTGGTTAGTAGAGATTTCCAGTTGAGTTAGTGTCAGAAAAAGCAGCATTCTGTCTTCTAAAATTAAAAATAGTTTAATTCTTTCTGGTTATTTTCCCCTCTGAAATTTGGGGCATAAGGTTACCTACTGATATTGTGGTAGCAGTGATGGTTGACTGGATTTATATATTACTTAATGGCAGATTTTACTTTAAAAAGGGAAGTTCAGTGATTGAATTTTGCAAACACTTTATCTGACTTGTATATGCCTTAGCTTTTTTATTTATTTATTTGGAGACAGACTCTTGCTTTGTTGCCCAGGTTGGAGTGCAGTGGTGCGATCTTCGCTCACTGCAACCTCCGCCTCCTGGGTTCAAGTAATTCTCCTGTCTCCAAGCAATTCTCCTGTGTCAGCCTCCCGAGTATCTGGGATTACAGGCACACGCCACCATGCCTGGCTAATTTTTGTATTTTTAGTAGAGACAGGGTTTTGCCATATTGGTCAAGCTGTTCTCAAACTCCTGCTCAGGTGATCCACCCTCCTCAGCCTCCCAAAGTGCTGGGATTACAGGCATGAGCTGATGGGTACAGCCGGCCTTAGCTTTTTAAATTTTAAATGAATTTCCCAACTATGTAGACATGAAGTCCTTTCTGGTTTAGTGTCAAAATAAAAGATACTAATGAGAATGTCTTTGGGACATAATTATGTAGATTTAAAGGAGTGATGTAGTTTTAATTATGCCCTTTAGCTAGTGTACTTACATATTAAGCTCATTCATGTCTCCTTTTCCCTCTGAAACATTGCTTTTCTCAAGCCCTAAATTAGTAATCAGCTCATGGGTGTACCTGAAGGTTATGTAAGTTAAGTTGAAGGCTGCCAAAGAATGTGTTTAAACTACTAATCCAAAACATACTGTTTATAGTTAGAAAAAAATGGCCCATGGGTTTACAGTGTTCTTCGCTGGATTGACATGGAGGAAATTCCAGCCTTGTATGTTTATGTGTTCCTTTCTCTTTCCCTCCCCAAATAAAAAACATCCTTTGGTTGGAATGCATTGAAACATGTAATATATTGTCTCCCTTTGGCTATTTTTATTAAACTCAGGGAACTTGAAGTAAAATAATAATAGTAATATGAAATTATAAGTTTCCTTTCTTTTTTTTACCTTTTTACTTTTTTGGTTTGTTTGTTTACTTTTATTATGGGCTTCTAGATTTAATAGAAAAGTAGCTACCTCGAAGCTATGAAGTGATTTATTCACTTTAGGGCAAAACTTATGAGGCTACCAGCCCCTATTTTGTGGGTGGTTTTGTTTTTATTTGTGAGAAGCTAGTTAGGGAAAATCATTGGTAAATTTTAAAAAGAAAGGCTCTGAAAATGTTTTGAGGCTAAATTTTCTCTTAAATAATAGTAAAAATGTAGAATTTATAATAGGAGTCAGTAAACTTTCTTTAAAGGGCCAGATAGTAAATAAATTTTGCTTTATGAACCATATGGTTTCTGTTGCACTTACTTTGCTGCTGCAGCATGAAAGCAACCATCAACAATATTTAAACAAATGGATGTAGCTGTGTTACTATCACAAAAACAGGCAGCTGTCTGGATTTGGCCTGTGGACTGGCCATAGTTGGCCATCTCCTAATTTAGAATGTGGATTCCTTAAATTTTTTTCTTTATTCCTTTTTCAAACTGACATTAAAACACACTGACATTAAAACACACTGATATGTGTTTTCGCTTTTATATACTTTTTCTCAATGATCATAATAGTTTATGAAACAAGTGGAGAAAATACTTTAAAAAAATTTAACATTATCAAAAATTCCAAATGTATACAAATACAAATTCTCACATATCTGTCATCATACTAAACAGTTATCAGTCTTTTCCATATTTTATTTATTTATCCCTTTTTATTCTTTGTGTTTTAGCTATTTTTGAAGCAAGTTTCAGACTAAGTCATATGCCGCTCTCTCTATATAAAGATATTTTTTATGAGGAACTGGCTCATGTGATTATGAAGCCTGAGAAGTTCTATGATCTGCTGTCAGCAAGCTGGAGACTCGGGAAAGCCAGTGGTGTAGTTCAATCTGAGTCCAAAGGCCTGAGAACTGGGGGAGCCAGTAAGTCCCAGTCCAAGGATAGGAGAAGACCAGTGTCTCAGCTCATGTGGTCAGGCAGACAGGAGAATTCTCCCTTCACCTTTTGTTCTATTCAGGCTCTCAACAAATTTGGTGCTGCCCTCCTACATTGGGGAGAGCAGTCTTCTTTACAGAGCCTACTGATTCGAATACCAGTCTCATCTGGAGACACCAAGACACACTCCAAAATAATGTTTAGCTAAATATCTGGGCATGCTATGATTTAGTCAACTTGGCATGTGAAATTAACCATCACAGATACCTATACACAGCAGTATGCACCTCTAAAAAAAATAGACACTTTCTTACATAATTGTAGTGTTACTGTCTTATGACTTGGCAAAATTAGCAATAATTTTTGGTGACATCAGATATCCAGATCATGTTCCGATTTCTCCAATTGCTTAAAAAATGTTTTGTTTTTGTTTTTACATCTGGTTTGTTTGAACTAGGATTTACATCAGGTCACGTTAGATTTGGCTGTTGTCTCATAAATCTTTTAGTAATCCCTTACCTCTCCTTTTCTCTCTCCTTTTTTGTTTTTGTTTTTTTCAGCCCATTAACTTGAAGAAATGAGCCAGTTCTATATGTTTCACATTTTGGGTTTGCTTTTTTTGTGGTGTCATTTAATTTGTTACTGTATAACCCATTGTTTTTTTTTTCTGTAAATGGAATTAGCTCTAAAGACTTATGTAGATTCAGGCACAACCTTTTTGGCAAGAATCCTTCATAAGTGGTACTTTATTTTTCATATTGTGTCACATAGGAAGCGTATTGGGTAGCAGTAGTTTGAAGTCTCTGTTTTGTTAAGTTCTTCAACAAGTCTATATCTAATGGTTTGTCTATCGAATGATCTTTCCAAAATCACTTACATTATTTTTATTTCTAAAGTTATTAGCTGGAATTCTTCTGTAAGAACATTTCCAAATCATCTTAAGTGTTTGGCTTCCTCAGAAATAAATAAGGGAGATCATATTTTTATTCCATTCTGTACCTTAGTATTGAGTCTCAAAAAGGTTAAATGAATTGTCCAAACATATAAACTTTGTATCCTATATAGCTCAGAATCAAACCTAAGTTTTTGATACCAATTCTAATTATTTCAGATGCACTGCCAATGGGAGTCAGTCAGTTGACATCGTAACAGGTTCTTCTTTGTTGTTGTACGTATAGCTTTAAAAGTTAAGGGATGAGAAATAGGATGATTTAGGATAAGCCCCTTTCCTGTTTTATTTTCTGCATAAATTCAGGAAAGAATAGGTAATTTCATCTGACAAACTACAGATATAGTTTTCAGAGCAATTAAGTGCTTGGAAATACAATTACTTGGATTCAAATTCTTGCTCTGCCACTTAGCAGCTGTAACCTGACTTTTGGCAGTTTCCTTAACCTTTCTGTGCTCCAGTTTCTTCATTTGTGAAAAGAGGATCCTAATAGTATCTGTCCTAAAGGGTTGTTGTGAGGACGAAATAAAGCTAATACAAAGAAAGTGCTTAGAACCATGCCTTGTACATAGTAAGTACTCAATATCATTTTGCTTTTCAGAAATAAAACTGTCCCATGGCCATACCTTTACTTCTACCAGTCATCCAAACCAAACATTAGAAATATTGTAATTTTGATCAGCATGGGGATTAGAAAAAAAAAAGAAAAATATTGTAATAATCATAAACTTGTAGATAGTGGTTGAGAAGATGTATAAAATCTGAATGTTTGTGTTTTAGATTTTTTGTGTTTGAATTTCTTGATGGCTTGATTTAAAATTTTTTTATTTTATGATGTAAAACCATTCTGTTTTTCACTTTTACTACAGTGTTCAATACATTACATGAGATATTTAATGCTTTTATAAGGTAAGCTTTGTGTTGGATTAGTTTGCCCAACTGTAGGCAAATGTAAGTGTTCTGAGCATGTTTAAAGTAAGCTGTGATTTTTGGTAGGCTGGGTGTATTAAAATTCATTTTTGACATGATATTTTCAACTTATGATGGGTTTATCAGGACATAACCCCACCATAAGTTGGGGAAGGTCTCCACTTTTCTTTAGAGTCTTAAAGCTCTTCCCCAAGTGCAGTAGGAAAAGCGATCATAAGTATTGCCTTATATTCACTAGGACATAAAATACGTTATTGTGTAGTATGTGAGAAAGCAAAATGCCCTTTGCCTTTTCCCCCCCGTTTTTCATTACCTACTTGCTAGAGTTATAGATAGTATCACTTGATTGAAATTGTGTTTATAATCACATCTTAGTCATGTTGGGGGAGATTTTTTATAGACATGTTTTAAAAGATCCTTTTAGCAGGCTATTTTTCATCATTTAAAGAGCAAGAGAAATCATATTTTTCCAGAAGTACTGCAGTGAAATCTGCCTATAACTATAATTCTGCATTATGTTTTCATAGTTGACATCTTAAAATGTGAATGAAGGTATGTATATGCATTTGGTTTGATTTTAGACTGTTTGTTCATAGGCATTTCTTCTCTGATTTGTTATACAATATTATGAAAAGCTTTTTGCTATATATTTCCTGAGCTGTCAAAAAGTATCTGACTTTTTGAGTATGACTGAAAAAAATACTTCAAAAGGACAATTGTGTTCAATAAATATATAGTCCATATTATTTAAAAATTTGCCCAGTATTTGAAAATGCTTTGTATTTGACCACATAAATCAGAGTGGGTATGCCCAGTCCAATTTTCTAGGTGGATAGGTAGGAAAATATGTTTTTCCCTGACCAATAATGTCATCTATTATGTCACCCAAATGCAATGAATAACTTGGTTTTGTTTTACTGTAAAGATCCTAAACCTTCTTTTATTGGTCTTTTCCCCTTTGTTTATGTGAGATTACATCATCTAATCTGAGGTAGGAAGAGCTGCCATCTGAAGAACTGCAGGTTTGTAGGCTTCTGTGTCAATATTTTATGGGGAAAACCCCTACTATTTATTATTTATTCCTTGAATCAGCTTTTCAGTATTACTTGTTCACTACATGCCCCAGCATTTCTGTATTTGAGAATGAAACACCATTGTAGAACATTATGATAGACTAGAATAAAATTGGAAGCAGTAATCATGGCTTTTCTATTTAACAGTTTTGATTGTCAAAGGAAAATGTATAGAAAATTCTATTCTTACAAAGATATTAAGGGAATAATAAAAATGGTGAGCAACCATGTGGTTAAATGTGAAGATTGGAGAGCTATCTAAGACTTAAAGGGGGTGTGCCTGTCCAGGTACTTTGCTACAAATACATGCGTTTTCAACTATGCTGGTTAAAGCCTGAGCATTAGAAAGAAAATTGGATCTAAAGGCTGAAGGCCACAGGCCAGGCCCTTACAACCTCTTTGGGAGCTCTGAAAAGCTTTTTACCCTCTCTGGGCCTGTTTTCCCCCCAACTAAAGGAAAGAAAGAGTGCCTGCTTTTTGGTGACGATCAAGACTTAAGTACATTTTCTATAAGTGTAAGTTCTTTCTGAACTTCAGATTGCTATTCCACCAAAGTTAGGATGAGCTATATTGGTTATGAGGGAGTACAGTGATGATTATTTGGGTCTGTTAAGATTTAACTTGGTTCATTTCATCATTCTGGTCAAGATACTTACTTTTCCTAAGGTCTGTCTTATGCTCTCATTTTTATATGGGAATAATAATCTCTATTTTTTGGGTTCTTGTGAGGAGCAGGGATAATGTCTGTCAAGTGCCTGACACACTGCTGAGCACATATAGGCACTCTAAGTTGTAGCTGTTGTTAATTTACTTTAAAAAAATTATTGATAGTTAACAAATACTATTTTATGCATGTTAATTTGAAAGGAAGTAAATGAGCCCTTTTGATAGCAGGAAAAGTTGCAGATATTAACAGTAAGTGGCATTTGTGAAGAGCATAATTTTCCAATAATTTTTTAAGTAATTGGATTAGTTAAAAATTAATTGTTGCAAAATTAAGTAAACAATATTGATTTTTCTTAAAACCAAAACACTGATAACTACAAAAAGTAAGGAAGTTCTAAGTCTAGATTTGCTTATGGTCTTTCTTTTCTCCCTGAATGCCATCATCTATGTTCATTACTCAGACTTTTTTGAAAATAGAATTTGAACATAAACTTGTAGAAGTATAATTAAATGAGAAAAATATATATTGAGGTTTATAATCTGCCTGTGAATTCTAAGGTGAATTCATCAACCTTCAGTTTTTATTTCAGTTCTTACCCTTTTCTTTTCTTTTCTTTTTGAGATGGAGTCTTGCTCTGTTGCCAGGCTGGAGTGTAGTGGCACGATCTTGGCTCACTACAACCTCTGCTTCCCAAGTTCAGGCTATTCTGCCTTAGCCTCCTGAGTAGCTGGGACTACAGGCACGTGCCACCATGCCCAGCTAATTTTTGTATTTTTAGTAGAGACAGGGTTTCACTATGTTAGCCAGGATGGTCTCGATCTCTTGACCTCATGATCCGCCCGCCTTGGCCTCCCAAAGTGCTGGGATTACAGGCTTGAGCCACCATGCCCTGCCGCTTTGTTTAACTTTATTAGTTATTCTTGCCCATTATTTTCTTGTGGATGTGAACATGAATTGTATGTGCATCAGAAGCCATATTTTTAGTTCGTTAACTCATGGCAGCTGCTGAGCCATGGTGAGATCTTTAAGAAAGGTAATAGAAACACTTGTCTAAGAAAATGGTAGGAATCTAAGTTAACTGATGTGAAAGAGCTGTGTATACGTCTCTTTATTGTGCTGTTTTATATAGGTCTATAATGAAAGCCAAATGCCTTTGTTTCGTCTTTTTGGTTTGATGCCTTGCCAGTATCATAGAGCAGGAAATGAATTTTATCATTTCTTTTGTGATCACCTAATTAGCAAATGTCTTTAATTTCCTTTTAGAATTCATGAACTTGATTATATTTTCCTATTCACTGTCAGTAATAATCTTGACTATCCCATTTCTCTATATGCTGCTGGCTTTCTCTTCATATCTATGAACAGCACTGTTTTTCTAACATTAAGATAATTTTTCTAATTGTGTTGTCAAATACTCAGGAAATGAACATTGAAAGGATGGATTCTTTTCTGGGGATTCTAATAAAAAAGTATCAAGTGGCTTTCCAGGATGTAAAGGAGCAATAATATAGGTAAAACAGTGCCTAGAACAGAGTAAGCCCTCAATAAATAGCTATTATTATGGTTAGAAAATAACTTTTATTTGCCAAACAGTAAATCACAAATTTTGAACTATGCATTCAAGATTATTGAATTTTGCAGTCACTATTTTATGGCTGTTGAGAAGAGAAATTTCCACTGGTCATCAGTTTTTAGTGAGAGACTTCAAGAAAGTGTGTAAACTTTCTTCATCTTCAGGTTGTAAAGCTGAGGAGCATTTTTTTTATTAAAGTTACCATGAAATTGGTGTCATTCCTGTAATTTTTTTGCCAGCAAGATATGCACAGGGGCAATTTACAGATAGAATTTTATTGGAAAAGAAAATCTATTTGATTTACATAATGATAAAACAGTAAAGAATGCTGTGTTCCTCTAGTTCCCTCATATTGAGGTATCTAAAACCCAAATAAAAAATACATGAAAAGCATTTTCTCATCTTTTTTACCTTTTAATCATTTCCCTTTAGAACACCTGTCATTTCTGTCAAAAGATTTTGCATAAACTTATAATTTTATTGCATTATTATTTTGAGCTTTAAGATGGCAAATTAGAAATGGCATATCTTCTTTAAATTATTATCAAAGCAAAAGTTCCTACATATCAGTAAGGTAATGAATAAGAATTATGTTTTTTCCTCATGATCTCCCTATTGTGCCTATTATTATACAGAACAAAAACAACAATGAAGGCTGGGCGTGGTGGCTCACACTTATAATCCCAGCACTTTGGGAGGCCAAGGTGGGCAGATCGCTTGAGGTCAGGAGTTAAGACCAGCCTGGCCAACATGGTGAGACCCAGTCTCTACTAAAAATACAAAAAATTAGCCGGGCATGGTGGCGTAGCCTGTAATCCCAGCTACTTGGGGGGCTGAGGTGGGAGAATTGCTTCCACCTGGGAGGCGTAGGTTGCAGTGAGCTGAGATAGCGCCACTGCACTCCAGCCTGGGCAACAGAGCAAGAGTTCGTCTCAAAAAGAAACCAAAACAAAACAAAACAAAAAACAAAAAAACACAATAACAGTGAATACATTCCCTTCTTACGTAAGAAACACAAGTCAGGCTCAGAAAACCAAAATTTATTTCTGAGGGTTCCAGCAAATTTGGCAAATTAGTCATTATTAATTGGGTCCATAGCCTCCAAAGACTTAAATTCATAACCCCATTTCTAGTGGATGACAGAAAATGTGCGAGGCACCTGAATTGTTTCAGTTATCAAGGTGGAGCTGTCTTGATTCATGTAAAATCCATGAGAGGAACCTCTAATCACTCCTAGTTCTGCCTCCATGTCAACCCCTGTATGTGTTAAATACTTACCATCTTACTTTGCATTTGTTGAAATGTTTCTCTATATTTGTTTTATCGTTCATGAATATTTTGTATCTCCAACTACAATTTTTAAATCCTAGATTTTTTTCTAAGTTATGCCTCTTATTTCCTGCCTGCTTCCTCAGTGTCCAGTATAGCACCCTACAGTCTATTTCTTTAAGGGAAGAAAAAGTTTAATTAATGAACAAGATGCTGTCAATGTAGTATAGCAAAAAGGAGAAGAAAATGCACATTAAAGCTCCCTTTTATTTTGCTTTGTTCAATCCCCAGTTGAATGGAATAGTGTTGAGTGGCAGCCAAAACCATGGAATTTGAGATTACTTGTTTCAATATTGAATGAAGCCTCAGCTCAGAGAGATGGGTTTTAGTGCATTTTTTTTCCCTTAGTGGAATTAAGGTGACTTTCCTTTGCACGTTGTGTCACCTCAATTTAAGAACTAAACAGCTTGCGCTTGTTGGTTGGGTAACTTAATTTTGCAGGTTTGTGGGATATGATGTTTTCATAACGGAAGGGAAGATAGATAATAATCCTCTGAACCTTTAAGGAATTGAGATTTAACAGTACATTATACATTTATATGCAATTTTGTGTGCATACCTGTGGAATTTATAGTTTTTCAAGATCCTCACTGTCAAGCACAGTGGGCATAAGGCAGAGAGATTTAAGGGAATAGAGAGATGTCCCTGCCATCACGGTTCACTGTCCAGATTGGATGAATATAGCTAAGAAAGAGAGACCAAATCACGTGATGGGGGATACATCCATTGTTTAAACAAGCCAGAGCAGCACATTTTGTGAAAGGTGAATTATTTGGTATTATAAGGTAAAACAAATTCTAGCCTTTTTACAAATCACCTAATGTAGCTGCTTGGGAAAGGGCTCTCATCTGCCACTACTTAAGTTTGAAAAGTAATGTTATGCTTTTCTTTATTTAGTTACTTATTTATTTACTTTTGTTAGAGATAGGTTTTTTCTCTGTCTCCCAGGATAGAATGCAGTGGCACAGTCATAGAGTAACCTCACTGTATGTGAGGTTAACCTCAAACTCTTGGGCTCAAGCAATCCTTCTGCCTTGGCCTCTCAAATTGCTGGGATTACATGCTTGAGCCACCGCACCTGGCCTATACTTTCATTTATTTAGAAGCAAGTTAATTTGTCAACTTGTCTTGGGGATTATTATTAAACAAATTACTCTTTAAGCTGCACGTCAAAATAGTATTATTCCCGTAATTTTACATGTGTTGTGTTTCTCATTATTGTTCTGCTCATTTGTATGCTATATAGGACATCAGAGGCAGCTTTTGAGTTTTAAAGAAAGTTCATCTACATGTGAAGTGGCTAGTGGAGTTGTGATCCTAGAAGTTATCCTATCAGAACACCATGCTCAGATTTGCATAGTCATCCTCAGCTTTCTTTTTTTATTACAGTCTATTTAAATGATTAAATTTGAATTAATATATATTAAAGTTCTTCAGGAACAGCATTTCTTTATAAAACAGAATAGAAAATAATTCTTATTTTATGCTCAGTTTATGACATGATAAACCAAAAAGAGAACTTTGGAAATTGTGTATAGCAGTATGGTAATTTAAAGATCACTCATATAAGCTTTTAACGATTATATATACGTGTGTGTGTGTTTCAGGAGAAAAGTCGTTTCATGTGATAATCTATTCAGGTAAAGTATCTAGGTAAAATGATAAGCAATTGGATTTGTCTTTGGAAGTTTCTAAATGTGATATAGCATAGGAAAACAAATACGGGCAGAAAAATCCCTTAATGTAATTAAATAGCATAATAACATCCTTACACACATATATAGAGTTTCCGCGTAGTTGGTGGTAGAGACAAGTTGTAATGAATTAAGCCCAAATTTGAACTTCAGGACTTTTGAGTTTACCTATCTACTCTTCTGCTATGGCTTTGGAGAAATAATCTATTACTCAGAAACTTTAGCTATAAAATGATAACTGTAGTAGTGAGGCAAAAGAATAGGCTCTGAAGGCAGGGAACCTAAGGCCAATTCATGCAAACTTCCTGGAACTAAATCCTAGGACCTTCATTTGCATAAGGTGCCTATTCACACCAGCCTCCGATTGGCCATGAGGCAAACCTGCACTGTGGCCTATGATTGGTCTATTTTACAACCTTCATTTGCATAAATAAGGTGCCAATCCCACTTGTCTTTGATTGGCCATGGGCCAGTTCACTTTGGCCTCTAATTGGCATGAGCCAGCCCTTCATTTACATAGGGTGTAACCAATGGGAGACCTCTAGAGGGTACTTAAACCCCAGAAGACTTTGCTACCAAGGCTTTTGAGCCACTTTCTCGGGCCTCTGCCATTCTATGGAGTGTGCTTTCACTACTATTGCCTCCCACTTCAGTAAGTCTACACTTTCCTTGCTTGTTTGTGTGTGCTGTTCAGTTCTGTGTTCAGTGTGCCAAGGACCTGAACAACTCACGATCAGAACCTTCTACCCAGTAACAGTACTGAGAAAAATACTGTAAATTTATTTAAAATCAACTAGTTATATAATTTGCAAGTTGGCAACTTTTAATTTTCTAATAATTACCTATAGGAAATATTAGGAAAAGGTAATTTCTGTCATCATCACCACCAACAATATTTAGTGTGCCTGTAATGCACTAGCCAGGAAAGAGGGAGACTGAGACCGTTGGGGTCTGAAAAGGAGCAAGGACCAACTTCAGGATCTTCTACCCACTCTGCTGTACTCTTTTTCCAGTAAGGCAGGAATTCTTTTAGCTCAGATCCAGAGGAGAGACTGTGAAATGAAAAATTACAGGGTATCGTTTATTCAGTAAGTACTAGATAGAATCATATGAAGTTGCTGTTAATATAGATCAAAAATAGTACAATGTCATGGCAGTTTCATGTAGTCCCATCTAATATTTATAGAGCTCTCGGTATGTCCTGGGCATTGTTATGGGTGCTTAAAGGTATAGAACTTAACAAAATAGACAAAATCCCTGTCTTCCTGGAGTTTGCATTCTCAGAGAACCTCCAGCAAGACTGCTCTTCTTACCCTAGAGTCAGGTATACCCAACTACCTGCTCTGTGTCTCCCCTTGGATGCCAAATAGGCTCCTCAAACATAACATGGCCCAGATCAATCTCCTGGTGGATAAACAATACACTTAGATTTTCTTCCTGCCTTATAGATAGAAATCAGGGCTAGAAGGACCATGAACGACCTAGCCCAAGATCCATCTTTTTCTCTCTTTCTCACTGTCGAGTTAATAGAGCCAATAAATAAGATAGTAATTTCTATCACATTAAATGGTGATTTTTATCTGTTGAATTGTAAAATGTACCCAGACATGAAAAGGGAGGCTGGTAGACTGCTGAACACAACTATGATGTATTTGCTTTTTCTAATACATTGCGACAAGCTATTCTGTATCCTTCACTACACATTGTAAATAGCTGAGAGGTGTTATGATTCAGTGAATGAGCTGTGGATAGGGAATCAGCAGACCTAGATTGGAGTTTTAGATTTGCTATTGAGGGACTCTGTTACTCAGCTAGCCATCAGCAAATATAAATAAGTTAACTATTCCTACATACTTAAATGATATTGTGAAAATAAATGAGATAATTACCAAGTGGTTGGAAAATTTACTCTTGGGTGATAATTGATATACAAAATATAGGTAGTTTTAATATTCAGTTTAATTAATCTGTTTTTTTCTTAATTAAGGTACTACAGACTTCAAAACTTTGATACGCTTTAAAATGTATTAAATTGTCTGTTTTTGATTGTTTGTTTGTTTTGAGATGGAGTTTTGCTTTCGTTGCCCAGGCTGTAGTGCGGTTGTGCGACCTAGACTCACTGCAACCTCCACCTCCTGGGTTCAAGCTATTCTCCTGCCTCAGCCTCCCAGATTGCTGGGATTACAAGCAAACGCCACCACCCCTGGCTAATTTTGTATTTTTAGTAGAGATGGGGTTTCACCATGTTGGCTAGGCTGGTCTCAAACTCCTGACCTCAGGTGATCCACCCACCTCGGCCTCCCAAAGTACTGGGATTACAGGTGTGAGCCACCATGCCCAGCCTAAATTGTCTGATTTAGTCTGTGCTCAGCTTGTTTTTCCCAACTGTTGTTTTAGGCATGTTCATGATAATATACCATTGATATTTTAATTTTTAAGTTAAATTCCTATAAATAAATATGAGAAATTTGTTAGGATATTTAAAGCATCTTCTAACCTTTAAAAATATGTGCTTTTAAAAATTATTAGGTTGTAGAATTGGGAAAAAATGCAATTTGTCTTATCTTTTTCTATTAGCATGTTTCCAGTGTACAGTTCATTCAAAGGGTGGTTAGTGTGGCAAAACAAATTCAGTTTCTTAATGATAAATCACAGTGAAGTACAGAAGTAAACAGATAACCTGAAGCCAGACAATGAAGTTTACATAGCCCTTCCTTGGCAGAGCCATCTTTCTGCACTGCAGAGAACACAATCCATCAATAATTTAATTCAGTTACATTTGGTTATGAGAAAGGAACCACTTTGTTTAGGGGCTTTAATTCTGATCCTTTATCATCATTCACAAAATGAAGTAACCTATCATTACTGTGATGCCTGTAACGTATCACTAAAAGGGAAAAGGGGGAAGCATTTCTCTTCCGTCATGGACATTTTCTCAGATATTTCTATAGGGTTTGATATGCTGCTTCTTTGTATTAAATAATATTTATGTGGTGTTTATGTAGGTAAATGGTTTAATGTTGCAAAATTTCAAGGAAAAAAAAACACTAAGACATCTTAAAATTCCCCTCATCTGTTTTAGGTATCTTTGAACTATATAATAAAACATCTATGCCTATTGAAGTTAAATGACCTGTTACAAAATCATCTTTTTTATATTTCATATTGGGTAGCATAGCAGTATACTGTAATTTGTATAGTTTTATAAGACTTGCTGGATGTCATAGTAAATACAAATGACTTTATTTAAATATATAGTAATTTGCCTTTTTGACAGAAAACCATGTTTCCCCAAAAACTGCATATTTTAATCAAATTAAAAATTGCCACTAGATTCTGAATATAGCCTCTGCTGCTTTTTTAGCATTGCTGCCACTTTAAAATTTTACTCTAGTTTTAGAAGAGATTACTTGTGTTTCTTGGGTGGGTACAGGCCTGTGCAGAGCCTCATAACATGGTAGAAAGAATGGAGACTTTGAACAAGTCATAACAAGGTTTCAGTCCTGACACATCTTACTGTGTGCATTTGAACATTTCACTTAATATTTCGAAGTCTCAATTTCCTAGGCTGTAAAATAGGGATATTCACACCACCTTTGCCTAGTTATTAGGAGAATCAAATGAGGTAATCTATGTTGTACTTTTCCATTGCCTGGTATATAAATTTTTTTTTTTTTTTTTTTTGAGACGGAGTGTCACTCTGTCGCCCAGGCTGGAGTGCAGTGGCACGACCTTGGCTCACTGCAACCTCCACCTCTGGGTTTAAGCGATTCTCCTGCCTCAGCCTCCCGAGTAGCTGGGATTACAGGCGCCCACCACCACGTCCAGCTAATTTTTGTGTTTTTAGTAGAGATGGGGTTTCACCACATTGGCCAGACTGGTCTCAAACTCCTGACCTCAGGTGATCCACCCGCCTCAGCCTCCCAAAGTGCTGGATTTACAAACATGAGCCACTGCACCCGGCCATAAACTTTTTATTTGTGAGAAAAGTTTAGATTAATGGAAAAGTTACAAAAACAGTACAAAGAGTTCCATATACTCTTCACTGAGCTTCTCCTAATATTAGCATCTCGCACAAATATTATTCAACTATCAGAATCAACAAATTAACATTGGTACAATACTGTAACTAGAGACTTCATTCACATTTTATCAGTTTTCTCACTAATGTCCTTCTGCTGTTCCAAGATCCAGTTCAAGACTCCACATTGCATTTAGTTCTCATGTCTCCTTAATCTCTTCTAGTCTTTTACAATTTCTCAGTCTTTCCTTGTCTTTTCATGACCTTGATACTTTGGAAGGATACTGGTTACTTTGGGTTTGTCTGAAGTTTTCTTGTGATTAGATTGAGGTTATGCATTTTTGGCAGGACAGGCGTGATGTTCACTTCTCATCGTATCCCTCTAAGGGCATGTGATATCAACACTTATTACTTATTATTATTAATTATAACTTATTGCTGGTGATATTAACCTTGATCACTTGGTTAAAGTGGTATCTGCTGGGTTTCTCCACTGTAGAGTTACTATGTTCTCCTCAGAACATCTTGGGGGACATACTTTTAGAGTATGTAAAAATCCTGTTTCCCCACTGATTTTTGTCATCCCTCCATGGATCTTGCCTGCAAGTATCATCACTAAGGTGCTCTAAAGGTTATTTTCTATTTCCCCTATTCCATCTACATTTATTATTGGAATGTTTCTATAAGGAAAAACTGTCCTTTCTCCCCGTTTATTTATGTATTCCATTATTTATGTTGGTGCACATTCATGGATATGTATTTCATTCTATGCTTTATAATCCAGTCTTTGTTGTTGATTTTGTTGTCCAAAATGTTCAGCTTTGGCCACTGGGAGCTCTTTCAGGTTGGTTCCTGTGCTTTTTTGACACACCTCCTTCCTTCTTTTGAGCACATCCTCCCTAGCACCACAAGATGCTTCAGACTCATCTTGTATTTTCCCTGCCTCAGTCCTGAATCAACCACATCTCCAAAAAGTCTTGTAAATTCTCTTAAAAAAATAATAAATTAGCCATCTGTCAGCTAACATACGTTTTTTCTAATTCTTGATACAGTTTTTTTTTTTTCGATACATTTCTCTCTTGATCTCCTTCAGAGGCAGCCCTTAGGGAATTTAGTCTCACCAAGTGTGAACTATTGGCTCCTGACCTTTAGAAAAGAAACAAACCCTCGCCTACAACAGGAGGCTTATAGATCCATGTTTTCTTTGTCCTTGAAATTGTACAGGAACAGTCTGGCTTGTCACAGTAAATTAAAACTTCATCTCATCACATTTGTCATTTCAAGGCATGGTATAGTCTTCTATTATTTATTGCTAGCTTTAAAAATTTTATGTAATTTTGTTCTTTTGGTTGTCTGTTATGTAGTAATGCTTAGATGACTAGAAGATAACATGTAATCTAATAAGTGAAACATCTCAGGATATTGTTGTGACTTTGTGAAAATAATTTAATCCTTCAGCAATTTAGTTTAAGAGTTATTCTGGAGCTAATTTGATAATTAACAGTGTAAGTAGAAGTGTGCTAAAGATCTTGTTTTTTTTTGTAAAGTTTGATTAATTTTGACATTGATAGAAAAAGGTATATTTTAATATGCTGTGAGTAACCACTAGAGGGTAGCCCTGGGTAACCAATTGCCCATTTGCTGCTTATTTAAGTTGTCCTGACACAGAAAGATTGAAAATAAAGGTGGGCATGGGGAGGGAGGGTGCAGATAAAAGCAAGGGGAATTTAAAAGAAACTTGGAGTGACAATGTTATACAAAATGCAGTACAAGGAGAAAAGTATTAAAATGGACAAAGTTATATTTTTATATGTGATAAAAGGTATAGTCTACTAATATAAGGCCATTCTAAACCTTTATGCACCCAGAAACATATTGAAATATATCAATATATAAAAATATTTAAATGTTTATATAAAAATATTGTTTTTCTTAACATTTGTAGGATTAAGGAGTTATATTTTGCAGTCTTCTTGGTAGCTCTTCAAAACCCTAGACTTTGCCAGGTGCAGTGGCTCATGCTTGTAATCTCAATGAGGCTCAAAGGCCTCATGCCTTTGAGAGGCCCAGGACAGAGGGTTGCTTGAGGCCAGGAATTTGAGACCTGCCCCGGCATCATAGCAAGATCTCCTGTTTACAAAAAATAAAATTAGTTAATTAATTGAAAGTTTAAAAACCTTAGACTTATTGCACATAATAGTTTTACTAGGTTATGAGTAGTGTAGGGGAGAAAAGATTTTTTCCTTACCCATCTTTAGGTTCATGGCTGAGGTCCTATAGCAAAAGACAGATTAATAAGAGAAATGCATACAAATTTATTTCATATGGGTTTTATATGACATGGGAACCTTCATAAGGATATGAAAACTCAAACAGGAAAAACGTTTTATGCTTAGTTTGATGACAAGTTGTCATAGGGAAGTATGATAAGATAAAAGGGGTATAATCTAATAAACTGGGGAGAAGCTTGCAAGGCCTATTTGTTCACATTCTTCTCTGTATCCCTGTGTCTTCAGTGATAAGGACATTTCTTTCCTCCAGGGCATCTCTGGAATGAAGTTCTTACTGAGAAGAGAGGTCAAAGAATTCTTTCTAGGTTTTATAACCTGCTTTAGGGGAGAAGGGTCGAGGGGATAATGAGAGTGATTTTTCTGCTTTTGCTATTTCCTGAAATGCCAAAGTGCCATATTTTGGGATAGCATGTTTTGAACCCCATCTGTAGTATCTTTAGACATCTTTTTGATGATCAAGTTAGATTTTAAAAATTCTATCAAAATAGTCAATACTTGAAAATATTCACTGTTGAGTAAAGTGACCAGATAATGAATTCTAGAAAAACAACTATGAAAGAAAAAAAAAAGAAAAGTGAGGTGAGGACAGAAAATAAATCTGGGAAAATAAGTAAATAGGGTGAAACTAATCTAGTAAAAGTGAAATAAATTTGCATTTAATTCCTCAAAACATTTTTAAAAATCATAATTCTTGTTTCTGTGAAGAAAAGGCAGCTTCTCTCTAGATTAGCTCTGATCAGCTAATTGTGCAGTCTCTGAATGCAGTATTGGATGATGTTTTCAGTTTTCTTGTTTCTGTGGAGTGAAAAGACCATTTATTCAAGCTGAGCCAACTATCTGGGACTAGCAAATTCTACATCACTCAGCGTACTCCTGTGGTTTTCTGGTGATACTTGTTTTATGTTGGCTCCTTTTCTGCTACTGAGGTAGAGACTAAATTGACCACCTTTTAAGGATTACTAAATCTAGTCTTTTAGGCTAGAAGTATGTGATTAGTAAATGTTTTACTTCCTGAGTGAAGGGTTGTCTGTGGTTTCTATCTCAAATTTTGGCAAATTATATTTGGAAGTTTAATAAATTTTCATTGCTGTTACATCAGTGGCATTCATATCAATGAATAAAGCAGATTTTTCTAAAACAAGGGTGAAAATTTTATCATTAATATATCATTAATAGTAGGCACACCTGTCTGAACAGATAGCTGATGAAAATTATCTCCTGTAGAACTCCCCCTGACCATTTCCTCCAGGTTGAACTGTTGAAGGCCTCTATTTAAATAGTATGTTAAGTTATAGTATTTTGGGGCAGGAACTTACTTGCTAAATCTTTTTTTGGCACTGAAAGTTAACAGAGAAGTATGTCATAAGATTAGCTTTCAGTCCTCTGGTGGGGATGACCCTGTGAACATACAGTCCTAAAAAGATTCCTAACAGTTCAGCCAAGTAAACATTCATTGAGCAGCTGCAATTTGCTAGGTTTTGTGCTACACACAGGGTTTAAAGAAGTGAACAAGAGGCGCATGAACTAGGCAACGCAGGGTCTAAGGCCTTCCAGACCAGCATCCCATGTAGCTGGGACTACAGGCATGGGTCAACATGCCTAGCTAATTTTTTAAATCTTTTGTCTCACTATGTTGCCCAGGCTGGTCTCAAACTCCTGGACTCAAGCAGTTCTCCTGCCTCAGCCTCCCAAAGTGCTGGGATTAGAGGCGGGAGCCACCATGCCTGTTAGAAAGTTTTTTTTTTCTAACTCACTTAGAAACTGCAACTTAGGGTTAGACCCTCTGTTCCTTGTTTTACTATCAAATAATGGCTGCACTAGGTAAGGTCTGAAGCCTGTTCCAGCTTTTAAATCCTAATTCTAACTGGTAAGAAAACTAAATTTGCTAAGGCTCCAGATCAAGTTGCTAGTTTAATAAGCAATGGCATGTTCTGTATCCTTTCCTCTCCATTTGTATACTTCCTTTTCTCTGATTTTGTACTTCAGTTCCTTGTCGTGTCCTCAACTTGATAATTATAGGAAGTTGGAATGTGAAGAAAACTGGCCATTTGAAAGCATACTGAAACACTATTTAATATTTTTTAGTTCAGACTTTTAACTTCAAGTTTGCCATATTTTATTATTCTAAAATTCTGTTAAATTAGAAACTGGATAAGTAATATGAGTGACTTGTTAGAGTTACTATTTCTTTAGAGAGTAGATAACTTTTCTCTGGTTTTCGTTGAAATCAGAAACATTTTGTTTAACCGTGGTTCAGTGCGACTTTCAGATGACCCTTGAAGCAACTGAGTGACAGTGGGGAAGCAGCCTGTAGTTGAATGGATAACTGATAGTTGGTTATATGTGTTTATTTCTTTTCTCCATTTATAATTTTATAATATTTTCTTTATTATTATTATTATTATACTTTAAGTTTTAGGGTACATGTGCACAATGTGGAGGTTAGTTACATATGTATACATGTGCCATGCTGGTGTGCTGCACCCATTAACTCATCATTTAGCATTAGGTATATCTCCTAATGCTATCCCTCCCCCCTCCCCCCACCCCACAACAGTCCCCAGAGTGTGATGTTCCCCTTCCTGTGTCCATGTGTTCTCATTGTTCAATTCCCACCTATGAGTGATAACATGTGGTGTTTGGTTTTTTGTCCTTGCAATGGTTTACTGAGAATGATGATTTCCAATTTCATCCATGTCCCTACAAAGGACATGAACTCATCATTTTTTATGGCTGCATAGTATTCCATGGTGTATATGTGCCACATTTTCTTTTTATTATTATTATTATTATTATTATACTTTAAGTTTTAGGGTACATGTGCACAGTGTGCAGGTTTGTTACATATGTATACATGTGACATGCTGGTGCACTGCACCCACTAACTCGTCATCTAGCATTAGGTATATCTCCCAATGCTATCCCTCCCCCCTCCCCCCAGCCCACAACAGTCCCCAGAGTATGATGTTCCCCTTCCTGTGTCCATGTGTTCTCATTGTTCAATTCCCATCTATCAGTGAGAATATGCGGTTTGTTTTTTGTTCTTGCGATAGTTTACTGAGAATGATGGTTTCCAGTTTCATCCACGTCCCCATAAACGACATGAACTCATCATTTCTTTCTTTTCTTTTTTTTTTTTTTTGAGACGGAGTCTCGCTGTCGCCCAGGCTGGAGTGCAGTGGCGCAATCTCGGCTCACTGCAGGCTCCGCCCCCTGGGGTTCACGCCATTCTCCTGCCTCAGCCTCCCGAGTAGCTGGGACTACAGGCGCCCGCCACCTCGCCCGGCTAATTTTTTGTATTTTTAGTAGAGACGGGGTTTCACCGTGTTAGCCAGGATGGTCTCGATCTCCTGACCTCGTGATCCACCCGCCTCAGCCTCCCAAAGTGCTGGGATTACAGGCGTGAGCCACCGCGCCCGGCCAAACTCATCATTTCTTATGGCTGCATAGTATTCCATGGTGTATATGTGCCACATTTTCTTAATCCAGTCTATCATTGTTGGACATTTGGGTTGGTTCCAAGTCTTTGCTATTGTGAATAATGCCGCAATAAACATACGTGTGCATGTGTCTTTATAGCAGCAGGATTTATAGTCCTTTGGGTATATACCCAGTATTGGGATGGCTGGGTCAAATGGTATTTCTAGTTCTAGATCCCTGAGGAATCGCCACACTGACTTCTACAATGGTTGAACTAGTTTACAGTCCCACCAATATTATAATTTTATAATATTTTTTAGAATGTAGAAGACTAGGATTTTAATTTCAGGTTTCCCATTAAGTAACTGAAATAACTATCCACTTGACTTCTGGAAACCTTAGTTTCCTCATTTATAAACTACAAATATCTAATTTGCATACCTTACAGTTAGTGAAAAGTCCAGGAATAATCATCTTGTTAACCACTAAAGATCTATAGAAATGTAAGCTACTGTTGTTGAAACATCACTAAGTGTTACCCTGGTTTGTTTTTGTTTTTGTTTTTGTTTTTCTTTTTGCTAATAACAGTAGTGCATTTGTACTCAATTCCCCATTAGGAATTTAGAAATTTTATTTATTAAATATCTGACTGAATAGATATAGTTAGAATGATGCAAATCACAGAGCCCCAGGTGACAAATAGCCGTCAAGTGTTGTTTTCTGAGTCTATCTGGGTATAGTGAAAAAGATGAAACAAACCCACTAGCCAGCCTACCTCCAGTATTCCTGAACAGATAGCTCTCCATTTTCCTCTGATGATTATGGCAGAGCCTTTGATACACAGCTGACCTTTCTTTTGATCTATTGACATCACTGAAAGTGGTCTGCTTAATGAGTGGCCGCATCAGTTTACATAAGGTTATTCTATTTAATACTTATTCTGTGGATTTTTGGCATTTCACTATTTCCTTTCCATTTTCTGAAAACAATGTGGTCAATGAAAATTTTAAAACTGTGTCTTGACCTTGCCCCACGGGAAATTTGAGAAAGAAATTCTGTATACTATGGAGTCCAGAACTGAAAATGTTCTCCATGACTTCAGGGGAAGAGATTAAGAAATGAAGATGAAGAACATATGTCCTGCTTTTTTGGATGGAACCTTCATAATAGGTGAAATTTTTACAATTTTTAACACCTTTTCAGGGGAACTCCCAGGAGTCTTCAGAGATATATTTGATTATAAAATGAACTATTTTATAAATTTCACCTTTTAAAAATGGCACAAACTAGTTTCTACAA
Organism: Homo sapiens; assembly: GCF_000001405.40. Taxonomy (NCBI): domain Eukaryota; kingdom Metazoa; phylum Chordata; class Mammalia; order Primates; family Hominidae; genus Homo; species Homo sapiens. The sequence continues at coordinate 60,483,354 of NC_000006.12, forward strand.
ATTTTATACACATAATTGTAGCATATAATACATACTTACAGTTTAGTCTACAAAGAGACTGAGGTAACTTATAATTGCCTAACATAATTCAGCTAGTAGGTGGCAGAGTTAGAACCAAAATCTGTGTTATCTCTGTAACACTTTGCTGCTTCACAAGCCTGTGAAAAGTTCTCACCGATGAGAAATGAATTAACTCTTACAGAGCAGAAAAAGGAATATTTAATACACCATAGGAGGTAATTTGCTGAATTAGAGTAACAAAAGCAATGTTTTCCAGCTGTGTTACAGACTTCAAACTGCTTAACTGATTTTTTTAAGCTCCTATGAGGAGTTAGAGAGAGTAACTAGATGCAGGTTTTTCTAATGAAGAAGCTGGAGGCAAAACATAAGTAATTTAAGTAATATTAAACAACACACCGGGTCTCACCTACTCATGATAGCTTTTCCTAGTTAATAGTAAAACTGACAACCTTGGTAATGTTAGTAACTCTAAAGTATTGAGTGCTTACTATTTTTTAAAGAAAAGTGGAGCTGTACATTACAGTAGTTAAAGTGGTAAAAACAGATTTTATTCAGGAACTACTGTAATAGGGGAAGAGAGACCTTAGTATAGAACAAGGTTCAATTCTGAATACAGCATAGACCAGTGGGGATTTATAGCCAAAGAGCAAGATGGCATTAATGGATGAAAAATTACGGAGATGAAAGAAACTTAAGGAGTGGGGAGATTGTGGTTAAGCCAACCTAAAATGATTCTTGCTCAAGACAGGCTGAGTGATGAGATACCAAGGCGGGTGTTGGAGAGTGCAGGGATGCAGAATTTGATTAGATACCGAGGGTGATCAAATATTGAAGGTGAACAGATAGTGAGGGTAGGGGGTTCTCTCTAAACTGACTGCAAGATTCTTACTACAACTGTGCTATGCAAAATTGAAACCAAAGGTCAAGGCCTGGTTGAGAAGAGGATTCCGAGGAGCCTGACTTAAGTTTGGCCAAGGAGGGCATCTTGTCAGTTGCTCCTTTTGTTCAAGGAAATAAAGCATTATTCTCTTCTCTCAGTAATCTAAGTCCATCTTGTGTTCAGTTCCTTTTCAGTAAAGACGTGCTAAACCATCTGTTGAGACTTCTTAATGTCTTGAGATCATGGGTAGAACTTATGCCCAGTTCTTGTAGCTGTTCTTTCTATCTAAGTCACCACCTGAGTAACCAAGATCACCTACAACAGAACCTATGATGTTCTGGATACCTCTTTTGCTCTCATAGTGAGAGTGAGGTCAACTGGAGGGATAACTTGTTTTAGAGATAACTTTAAAAAATGAAAGAAATTGTGGGGAATCAAGTAGATGAAGGGATTAGTAAGATTAGAGAGGTAGTGAGATCCATTCCAGTTGGCTGGTAACAGCTAATAGGTTTGAGTTCCACAGACAGAGTAAGAATCATTGAGTGCTAGCCTGGAGTCATAAGATAATTATCTGATGGCTGAAGGTGACCAAAGAATAAACATTTCGATGATTGAGAAAGGATTTTTTGGAGGTGGTCTGTGTGTGGTTGGGTTGGGTGAGAGAAATTAGGCTGAGAGGGGAAGTGGGGACATTTCCATTCGTATGAGAGATGTCCAGGAACCTGTAGTGGCTTGGAGGCATTATGTTACATTTAATGACGGCTGGAGAAGTGTAATGACAAATGCTTGTTCCCAGAAAAGAATTGATGATGGTAAAATTATGATGGGAGTGGACATGACCCTTGCAAGGATAGACTGGAGTATATTCAGAGGTTTTTCTCACAATGGGTATTTGTCTGGTTTAAAATGGTGGAAGAAAAGAGAGGGAAGTTATAGCAAAATAGGAATTCTGATTTCTCACAGGAATCGTGGAAATGCCAGGTGTGCCCACAGGAAAGGAAGCACAGTACCCTCAGTCTGTGGCATTATGGGAAGTGGTGACTAGTCCAGCCCAGGCTTGCCAAAGGCTCTGTGGATGAATAGTCTTGCTAACAGATAAGGAAAAGGCAGAGCTGGGGGAGAACAAGGAGCTCCTAAATTTAGGAACAGAAAAATATAAGGGAAGACTAATCTCAGATGAAGAAAAGTCATAGTGAAGGCTGTGAACCTTAAAGGCAATCATCAGTCTATGAGAAATTAGGTATCCACATCCTACAATAGCCCACAAGATCCAAAAACCTCTGTTATTTTGTTTCAGGAAGAGGAAAATGATGAATAGTAGAAGCTCCACCTGTGAAGATAATTTTACCTGCAGCTGAAATACCATGACCCAGATATTGAACACACAGAATAATTAAACTTTTCGTCTAGAAACTTTGTGGTCTTTTCTTGCCATTGCCTTAAAGTATTCAGTGTCCTAAAGGGAGTTGTCATAACTGAAAGTGCATAGAAAGAGGTCATTTACATATTGGATTACAGTGGAGTCTTCTGGGAATTTTAACTCCATCAAATAGGTTCATGAGAAATATGTAGGGCCTTAGTAAATCGTTGGGGCATAACAGTCCAGGTGTATTGTTTATTTTCCCAGGTGAAGGCAAAGTAGTGAGATTCTTTATGAAGGGGAATATTATAAAAGGCAGAACACAGCCCAGAGCGGTGGCTCATGCCTGTAATTTCAGCACTTTGGGAGGCTGAGGCAGGCTGATCACAAGGTCAGGAGATTGAGACCATCTTGGCTAACATGGTGAAACCCCATCTCTACTAAAAATACAAAAAATTAGCTGGGCGTGGTGGCGGATGCCTGTAGTCACAGCTACTTGGGAGGCTGAGGTAGGAGAATGGCATGAACCCGGGAGGCAGAGCTTTCAGTGAGCTGAGATCAAGCCACTGTACTCCAGCCTGGGCAACAGAGTGAGACTCTGTCTCAAAAGAAAAAAAAAAAAAAGGCAGAACACAAATGAATCACCATGAAATATTGCATGTTGGAAGAGATAAAAGACAGGATAGTGTTAGGATTAGGCACCAAGGGAAATCTTGATTTGACAGTGTAATTGATAGATCCTAGGAAGGAACTGATATCCTTTCCCACTTGACTTTTTAATAGCCAAATGGGAGTAATGCACGGATTAGAAGTGGGGACTCATGTCTAATAAGCCTCTCATTATCAGGGTGATCAACCGCTAGTCCTTGTGGTTTTAAACGATATTGGGGAATCCTGGGGAGAGGCTTGGAAGGATCTGTTTCTACCTTATATGGGTTCTGTATCGCATATACCTTAGATAATTTTAATAGTTTGCTTAAATCTGTATTTAAGTAGATAGGTTGAAGTGGGCAAAGGAACTCCCTGCTTGGGGGAAGTCAGACAAAACCATTAGGGGACATAGACATGAAGAGGAAGACTCAGGGGTGGGTAGAAGCAGTCCAGCAGGAATTTTTGTACCTCCATTCATGAGAAGATACTTTCCACACAAGTTTACTGGGGTAGTGGAGCTGAGTAGAAAATTATGTTGACCTTTACGAGGTCCCATAGAGATATGAGGATGAGCTGAGGGCAAAGCATCAAAACCCACCACTGGTAAAGTTTGGTGACTGTGGGGAAGGGGGCAGGAAGTGAGGTCATGTTGAGGGTAGAATGTGTTGTCCTGGTATCGATGAGAGACGTGGAGGCCCTTTAACTTGTAGCATTATTTCTTCATGCAAGTTTAGTAGTAGTTGAGGGCATTGGGACATTTGCTTCTCTGGAGGAAAATAGACAATTCTCTGGTGAGGAGGGGGACTTGGGTTTTTCCCTCCTCTTGAGCACTGGGCAATTCCAGGCCCAGTGTCTTTTTTCCTCATGATATCAGCACATTGTTGAGATCAATGGGAGCCTTCCATTGCGGAGCTTGCTGTGAGTTAAAAATTTCAGGTTTTTCCAGTTGTTTTAACTGCAGTGCCACAAGCTTACATTGTGTATTTTCCAATGTTTTTGAAATACTATTTTCATATTATTGGGTTAATGTCTGCAGCCAAGACATGTATACATTTTGTTAATTAATATTATTTTTCTGTAATGTGTCATAGAGGTCTGGCCTGAAACTATTTATAAAGATTGCATGGCCTGAGCAGAGGCTGTTTGGAAAGTCAGTTCCACCCCTGAATTCTCTTTCCATGTTGTCTTTAATTGATGGTGATAGCCACAGTTTCATCAGTTTGTTATTTACAATGTTAGATATGTGACCAATCAATTTTAATGGGAGAGATTTTATGGATGGCTTCTAGTAATTTCTTACTTCCCTCGGGGTATCAGGGGTAGCCTGAGACCCTTGAGTGCACCCAAGGAAGGAACTGAGGTTCATCAGAAATAGTGGTCCATTTAGCTTTTTCAAAGCAAAGGGAGGCATTTCCAGGCCCAACCAACAGACAGATAAGTTGATTTAAATCAGGGAATCCCAGAGAGTATGCACCTAGAATGATTCTAAATTGTTCAACAAACCTTTCCCTTTCCTTTCTGTGGTCAGGAAAGTATTTGGTGATAGGATGCAATTCAGGCCTAGACCAAGGTTTAAATGTTCTCTCTTCTATTAGCCTCACTTGGGAACAGGTACTGGCTGATCCTGGGCTTCATCTGAAGGAGATGGAGGCCAGTGAACCTTTTGGTTACAGGGAGGTGAGGGACTGGAGGAGGGGGCAGATGGTGGAAGAGAGTTTGGGAGAGGAGGCTATAAAGGAAAGCTGGGAGGGGAATATGGAGGTGCTGTTGAGAGCTCTAGGAACTTTACTGAGTCAGAAAAATTTTTCTACAGACAGTGTGAAAGAGCCTCAGTAGTTTGAGATTTGAATTATTTAGCTGTTTTTTGGCTTCTTAATACCAAGTGAAATAAGCAGACCGCTGTGCATCCAAAAGCTTTGTTGCTTTTTGCCCTAGGGCTGTTTTTAGATGGACTAATTTAGGGATATACCAGGAGCCCCCACCATAGCTGAAGAGAGTTTTTGGTAAAGCTTTGCCAGTGAGAAAGCAAGCAGACAGTATTAGAACTATAGTGGCAAAGCAGGAGTTTGCTAAGGTGAGGTTTCAATTGAGAAGTTCCCATGGGAGAAGCAGGATTAAACAGATAGAAGAGAGAGGCCTCATAAAGAGCAGGGAAAAAATTCCAGCCCAGGCATTGGGGAGTGGATCCCCACTGGAAACAAAGAGCCAGGAGAAGTCTTCATCCCAGGAGACAAAGATCCAGGAAGAATTTTCCAGCCAAGAGCCAGGCTCAGGAGTCAGGGAGTAAATGTCTTCTTGACGCAGTGAGCCCCAGAAAGAAAGACTTCTAGCTGAGTAGATGCCTTTCAAACAAAGAAGTCTGGGCCTCTAATCCAGCTTCAGACAATGTAATCAGAATCTTAATCAAAATCTGTCCTCACTGTGATTCGATGGACGTTTATCTGGAGCACTGGATATTGGAGTCACTCACCACCAGATACCCAAAAAGCAAGCAGACTGAAGACAAAGTCTTGGTGTGTGCTTAGAGATTGGTTATTGTGTCCAAGAGTCTAACGGTGGTTCAGATCCAGATCTGAATCATGGACCAAAAACTGTTAAAGAAAAATAAGAGATAATAGTTAAAATGGTAAAAACAGATTTTATTCAGGAAAAGCTGCAATAGAAGAAGGGATTCCAGTATAGAACTGGGCTTAATTCCATATAGAGAGCATGCACAAGTGGGGATTCCTAATTCCAAATAGCATGGACAAGAGAGCAGGGATGGGGGTCAGTGGATGAAAAATTACTAAGAGGAAAGAAACGTCACGGGTAAAGGGATTCTGGTTAAACAGAACTAACAGGATCCTTGCTGCAGGTTGGCCAGGGTGATAAGATACCAAGGGTGGCAGTGAGGAATTTGATCAGATATTGAGGGTGATCTCAATATCTGGGGAGTTCTTTCTCAACTGACTTTGTGAGATTCCTGTTACAACTGGGTGATGTAAAGAGGAACACAGAAATCCAAAGCTCTAGGCCTAGTTGAGATGAGGATTCAGAAGAGCCTGACTAAAGTTTGGTCAAGGAGAGCATTTTATCACGGTGTGCAGAACGCTATACCAAGTACTTTATGAAAATGAGCTAACTTAATCCCCAAGTCAACCCTATGTTATAGATATAACTCCTTTTTTACATAAAAGAGAATTGTTGCAAAGAAGTTAAGTAAACTGTCCAAGGTCACACAGCTAGCATGTAGTAGAGACAATACTTAAACTTGAGTATCTGACTTCAACCATTAGTATTTACTGCCTCCTGGACTCCTTGGGGCCTCCACATCTCCTTTGGTGTGTTGTTTGGTTAGAATATGTGTGATGTTCCAATGATCTCTAAGAGTTAAACTGTGTTTGAAGTTAAGAGTTAAAGGGAAGTATTTGGATCTATAGGTGACTGATTACAAATTTAGTTTAATAGATAGTAATTGAGTAATTTAGTTACATAAGAATTTAAAAGGGGGCACCATATATTAAATGCCTATAACATCACTCTGGTTATGAAAATTATACATTAGACTTTAAAGTAGTGACTCAAGACAACATAATCAATAGGTCAAAAAATTATCGCAAGAATGTGCACTAAGAAAAGGCCATAAGATGGTTTTCTGCCCTTTTCCTCCTGGCAGGTTCACTTATATGTGTGACCCTGATGCTGAGCTTGAATTCTGTTAGTACTTATGATAACTAATCTTCATAGGACCTACTTCTAATGATTTTGGTATCCTAAATTCTGGGCAGTGGTGAGTAATAATGAGGTCACTTTGTAGTTTAGCAGACTCTCACTTTGTTTCTTTTAATATGTAAATTAGAGTTCCAAGTTCTTGAAGGTAAGAAACACCTGCCACTAAAAAGAAGGTTAAAATGTCCTCCTGAAGAAATGTTGTATCTGGCTGTTATTAAAAAGCAAAAAATTAATGGATGATGGCGAGATCTTGGAGAAAAGGGAATCCTTAGACACTACTGGCGAGAATGCAAATCAGTTCAGCCCCTGAGGAAATCCCCAGTTTGGAGATTTCTCAAACTAAAATAGAATTACCATTCCACCCAGGAATCCCATTACTACGTATATACCCAAAGGAAAATAAATTGTTCTACCAAAAAGACACCTGCACTTTTATGTTTATCACAGCACTCCTCACAATAGCAAAGATATGAAATCAACCCAGGTACCCATCAAAGGTGAATTAGATAAAGAAAATATGGCACATATACAACAAGGAATACTACACAGCCATAAAAAGAACAAAATCATGTCCTTTGCAGCAGCATGGATGCAGCTGGAGGTCATTAACCTAAGTGAATTAACACAGGAACAGAAAATCAAATACTGCATGTTCTCACTTATAAGTGGGAGCTAAACATTGGGTACGCATGGACATAAATATGGGAATAATAGACACTGAGGACCTAGAGCCAGGAGAGAGGGAAAAGAAGAAGGGTTGAAAAACTACCTATTGGGTACTTTGTTCACTACTTGGGTGACGGGATCATTAAAAGCCCTAACAGCTTCACACAATATAACAGTATAACAAACCTACATGTGTAATAAATTTAAAAATTAAAAATTTTTAAATGCCATATCCTTATGCTGATTTCTGTGCACATATACATGGCTCTTTTGCCTCATTTAGGTCAAGAAGATGTTCCTTTTTGAATACAAATCTCTCTCTAAAGGATACTTTTTAACCATTCTCACTTTATTTTTCAAGCCGACCTTGCATAATGAAGTTTTTGTTGCTTTGAAAATAGGAGTAGTAGGCCAGGCGTGATGGCTCACACCTGTAATCTCAGCACTTTGGGAGGCTGAGGTGGGTGGATCACCTGAGGTTAAGAGTTCGAGACCAGCCTGGCCAACATGCAACATGGTCTCTACTAAAAATACAAAAATTAGCTGGGCGTGGTGGAGGGCACTTGTAATCCCAGCTACTCAGGAGGCTGAGGCAGGAGAATGGCTTGAACCTGGGAGGTGGAGGTCTCAGTGAACCAAGATCACACCACTGCACTCCAGCTTGGGTGACAGAGTAAGACTCTGTCTCAAAAAAAAAAAAAAAGAAAATAGGAGTAATATTTAGTCTTGTGTTTTTTTCCTTGTAAGAAAGACTTTATTCTAAGGAAGACCATGCAATGCACTGTCCATGTCAGCAAAGAGATGTTTATACCATAGTGTTTGAATAGATGTGGGCATAAATACTTTAAAAAATATAATAAGGTCACTAGACCCTGGGTGGGCTCGGGATAGAAGACAAAGTTGTGAAAGAGGCTCTGAGAACAGGGTTGGAACTGGATAAAGGTGTGCCTGCTTTACAGTTTTTCTTGAGTTCATCATTTAACATAATGCCTCTGAAAGTAACTTACTGCTGTCTTTGATAGAAATGCATATTGGTGTATTGCCAGTGCCACAGCTGGGATGTCTGGACTAACTTGGAAGGTTGCAAACTGCCACGTGCCCACCTTCAGACCTGTCTTGACTTTCTGGCCTTTCCCCACACTGAATGAATGGAGTGGGAGGGAAGAGCCTAGACAGAAACATATGTTTTCTATTTACTTCTTCCTACCTCTTTTTTTTTTTGTTTTTTGAGATGGAGTTTCGCTTTTGTCACCCAGGCTGGAGTGCAATGGTGCAATCTTGGCTCACTGCAACCTCTGCCTCCCGGGTTCAAGTGACTCTCCTGCCTTAGCCTCCTGAGTAGCTGGGATTACAGGCATGCACCACCACACCCAGCTAATTTTTGTATTATTAGTAGAGATGGGGTTTCACCATGTTGGCCTGGCTGGTCTCGAACTCCTGACCTCAAGTGATCCACCCGCCTCGGCTTCCCAAAGTACTGGCGTGAGCCACCGTGCCCGGCCTTCCTACCTCTTTTCATACCCAATGCTTAGAGGTTTTCCTTTGAGTCGTGGATATGAAGACCTAGAAAGTATTTGCTAAAAAATATCTCCAAGTAAATACAGTCTCTGTACAATATTTCTTGAATTTGTAAATTTAAAAACCAGAGATGACAATTTGGCAAATACATGGATAGTTTGAAAGCTTAGTAAGATCCAAGTTTCATTTATTTTTATTTTTTTCTTGTTTCCAGTAGGCTTGGAAGGGTCCAAATTTTAGACATGTATACAAAGGCAGTGAATGAATTGGAAAGAAGAGGGAAGTTAATACTTTTAGCTTTTCTCTTTTAGAGAGATTAGCTTTCCATTATTTTAACAGAATAGCTTACCAAAATGTTCTTTTCCTATTTTGTGATGAACATAACTGAAATCTTGTATCTAATTAAATTCAATTCCTACCTAAAAGTTTTCACAAAAAAGATTATAGTTCATGTTTGTGACTAAAGAAACAAACAGAAGTTGTTTATAAAATGTTTGGTGGAAATTTTAATGTCCTTGTTTTCACCAGTGAAATTAATGATGACTTGAAAGTCTTTCTTCTTTCTTGAAAGTTTTCTTTTCTTTGAAATGCTATTTGTTTTTCTGGTTATTGGTTACTTGTGGACAGATAGCAGTTGTGAAGACATAAACTACTGATTGTTAAAAATTTCAGCATTCTCTTTTTAAAAGAAATCAGCAAGCCAATTCTAAAATTTATATGGAAATGCAAGGACGTAGAATAGCCAAAATAATCTTGAAAATGAACAAAGTAGGACTCACTTACCTTTGAAAGTTACTCTAAAGCTGTTGTAATCAAGACTGTGTTATTGGCAAAAGGACAGACATATAGATCAGTGGGGTCCAGTTGGATCTGATCCAGTCAGATCCAGTTCCAAATATAGAACTACACATATGTGGTCAAATTTGATGAGGATGCTGAAGTGATTTATTGGGAAAAAGAAAGTGTCTTCAACATATGGTGTTCAGAAAGGTGGTTTTCCACATGCAGAATAAAAAAGAACTTTGATTCCTACCTTACACCACAGACAAAAATTAACTTGAGATGAATCAGGACCTAAACTTAAAAGCTAAAAAATTACAATTTCTAAAGGACAACATAAAAATATCTTTGCAATTTATCTTAGGACACAGAGGGCACTACCATTAAAAAGTTGATAAATTGTACTTCATCAAAAATAAAAACACCTGCTCATCAGAAGATAACATCAAGTAGATAAGCCTTTGTTACAATTACATTTGACAAAAGGCTTGTGTCCAGAATATACAAAGAATTATTCAATTATGGAATAATTAAAAGAAGGCAATCAACATTTTTAAATGGGCAAAAGATTTGAACAGACATTTCATAAAATAAGGAATATCACTGGTCAAAAAGCACATGAAAAAGTGCTCATGATCATTAGTCATCAGGGAAATGCAAAGTGAGATACCACTGGCTACCCACCAGAATGGCTAAAATTAGCAATATTGATCATAACAAATGTTGGGAGGAATGTGGAACTGTCAGTGATTGCTCGTGGGGGTATAAAATAGTACAACTACTCTGGAAAATGTTTGGCAGCAATTCCACTTCTATGTATTTATCCCAGATAAATGAAAATATATACCTACAAAAGTCATATGTAAGAATGTTCATGGCCACTTGATTGAGAATAGCCAAAAACTGTAAAAGCCCAGTGTGTATGGTAGGAAAAAACCAATTTTCTCCTACTGTACTCTCAACACAGAGAGTATAGCGACCAGATGTGTGGATTTTTCTCACACTGACCAATTCTCTGATGCTAGCCGGATAGCCTATATTCAATTCACTTCTGACACTAACTAGAGCTCGTGCAGATCTCTCATGGATTAAGAGCTCAGTCTCACAAGACTGTGCCCTACTTCATATACCAATTGCAAGCAGTAGGTTCCCAGGTCACCACAACTTCTGACCGGTTTGGCCACAAGTGGGAGGTTACCACAACCCCCTTCTCAGGTTCAGTAATGTGCTGGAGCGCTCATAGAACTCAGGGAAACACTTATATTTATCAGTTTATTATAAAGGATGTTTTAAGGGATACAGGTGAATAGCCAAAGAAGTACTCTGGGTAAGATATGTAGGAAGCAGCATGGACCTTCCATGCCCTCTCTGGGTGTTCCACCCTCCTGTCATCTCCATGTCTTCAGCATCCCAGATGCTTTCTAAACTCTGTAGTTTAGGGATTTTTATGGAGGCTTCATCATATAGGCTGAGCATTTATTAACTCATTTTTCAGCCCCCTCCTTTTCCTGGAGGCTGGCATAGTGTGGCTGAAAGTTCCAGGCTTCTAATTATGGCTTGGTCTTTCTGGTGACCAGCCCCCATCTAGGAGCCCACCAAGAGTCACCTCATTAGAACATAAGACATTCTTATCAATGCCCAGGAAGTTCCAAGGGATTAGCAACTCTGTTAGAAACTGGGGCCACAGACCAAATATTAGAACAAAAGATGCACCTAGCATCCCTCTTGCTCAGGAAATTACAAGAGTTTTGAGAACTCTCTGCGAGGAACCAGGGTCAGGGATCAAATACACATTTCTTATTGTATCACAATATCACATCCAGGTGCCCATCAGCAAGAGCCTAGACAAGCAATCTGGTATATCCATACAGTAGAACACTGCTCGGCAATAAAAAAGAACAAATTGCTGATACATGTAATGGCAAGGATAAATCTCAGAAGCATTAAAGGACATGAAAGAAGCCAGACACAAAATACTTTATACTGTATGATTCCATTGATATAAAGTTATAGAATAGTTAAAATTAATCTGTGGTAACAAAAATCGGATCAGTAGTTGCTTCTGGTTGTGGAGGGAGGGGAATGTTGACTGAGAAGAAGCAAGAGGGAATTCTACAGGTTGATAGAAATGTTCTATCTTCTGGTAGGGGTGTGGGTTATATAGGTATAGTCACTTACCCAAACTGATCAAACTATAGACTTAAGATATCTGCATTTCACTATATTTAAATTATAACCTCAAATTAAAAAATCTCACACAAAAAATAGCAAGGTATTTTCCTATCTCTTATTCTGACTCTCTTTCTTATTCTCTTAAAGTATTGGACAGCCCAGTCCCACTATACTGAGGCAACTTTTGAAAGAAAATAAAATTTATTACTTTTATTATCTTTTAATGTATCCACTATACTCTATATAGGGCATCATTTAAACTCTTTTTCAGTCTTTGTTGTTGTTGTTGCAGTGAAGAAGAAAAGCTATCCAGAAGAACAAAATAGCACAGCCGTGTAAACTTGCAATGATTTGGCAAGTTTTTGAAGTTATTTAATCCTGATAAGTTAAAATCCCTTGAAGCATATTTATACATTCATCTTTCCAAACAGCTACCGCTTATTTGCTCTTTCATTCAAGTGAAGGTTATTGAGCACCTCCTATGAGTAGATGTTTTATCAGATACTGAGTAGGCATGCTACGATGAGTACGCAACCAAGTCCCTGCCCTTAACAGCATTCCTAGTTTAGAAGTGATAAATACAAAAATAAATTCCATTGCAACAAGAAAGGTACAGCACTGTACAAACTGCTGCCGGGCGTTCTTTTGAGGAAGCAACGTCTTCTGCCTTGGGTGCTTGGGAAGATTCCACAGAGGAAGTGACATTTGAGCCAGTTTGTATGAATAGTTAGAGTTGTGGATAGGAGTTGGAAGAAGGGGGACATTTTAAGAAGATGACTAGAAATGTAATTGAATAGTTTAGTGAGTCTTTTATCCTCCTTAAACCTTTAGGTAAAGGTTCTGTTAGTATCTACTGAAATAGAAGTCTTTTGCAGTAGCATAGTCAGTGTTTAAACTAGGACACCAAATATTTTCCATTTTTTCCCTCACCAATAGCAGCTAATATTTATTGAGAACAAAGGATGTGACAGGTACTCTGCTTAATGTTTTAATTTAATTTAATATAATCTCCATAGCAATTTAATGCATTAATATTACTGTCCCTATAGATTAGGATAATTGAGGATTGAAGTAATATCCTTTATAAATGGACAAGCTGGGGATTCTTTCCCAGGTTTCTCTGCTTCCAAAGCCTGGGATCTTTAAAAAGCCTACTCTGTGTGTGTTGCTCTTAGTATGAGCCCAGAGAAAGCAAGCCAAGGGCAACTCTGAAGTGTCTTGTGGTCACTTAAAAGAGGGGGGATTTACCTGTTTTCCAAAATATGACCTGCCCACCTTTTGTATTTAAGTTTCAGTTCATTGCCAATATGTATAATTATTTATAAACTCAAAATAATCTGTTTTATTTTTATTTCTATCTACATGATACTTTAATTTCATGTATGAAAAACTGCCAAGTAATCATTCTCTAAGCTTTCTACAGTATCCATTTTATAAGTTAAAGAATCATAGCAGTAAAAACTTTATAGCCATTTCACTCTAATTATTAGAGTGAGAACCTCGAAGATTTTGCCCTTTGAAAATGACTTGTTATTTGGGCAATCTGGCTTCTCACTATTTAACAAGTGTTGCTTAAAGTATCATGTAGGAACATTTGATGTGCTCCACAGCCACTCACAGCTTCTGATAATTCTATTTGTGACAGCCTTGAGAGATCACCCGGTGGTAGTTTAAGATTGTGCTCCAATATAAAAGTGGCAAGGTTTGTCTTTTAAACAAACATGTATTTTTTTCAGAGTAGAAGATAAATTTTTGACTAAATCAGTCATTTGCCATACTCTAAAATTCGTTTTAGAAACTTGGTTTTAGGTTTGTAGTTTTTGCCCAAATGACCACTTAACATGGGACACCCACCCTAACCCCTACCTCTTTCCCAGGAAAGTTAGATTTTTGTCCAAGATTCCACCAGTATTGAATATTTGCTCTTGCCAGATATCTTGTCAAAGGTACATTGTCTGCTTTTGGTTGACCAACGGGGTATGGGTTGTTATGCCAGATGAGTGTCACCTAGTAGTGGAATTAGAAAATCATCAACCAAGGGCCCGGCATAGTGGCTCACATCTGCAATCCCAGGGCTTTAGGAAGCCAAGGTGGGAGGATTGCTTGAGCCCAGGAGTTTGATACCAGCCTGGGCAACATTGCAAGACCTTGTCTGGTGACACACACCTGTAGTCCTAGTCACCCAGGAGGCTGAGGTGGGAAGATCACTTGAGCCCAGGAGTTCTATGAGCTGCTCTAGCACATTACTGAACCTGAGAAGGGGGTTGTGGTAACCTCCCACTTGTGGCCAAACTGGTCAGAAGTTGTGGTGACCTGGGAACCTACTGCTTGCAATTGGTATATGAAGTAGGGCACAGTCTGGTGTGACTGAGCTCTTAATCCATGAGAGATCTGCACGAGCTCTAGTTAGTGTCAGAAGTGAATTGAATATAGCCCACATTCTTTCCATAATACCACACTTCCTTAGTAATAAGAAATAACAAGATATTTAAAAATAATAACTTCCATTTAAATCTTTTTAGGACATAACTTCTCTCTTTCAGACTCCGTTTTAAATGACACTTCATTTTGTGGTCCAAAATCAGAAGTAATCTCTTCTTCCTACATATTTCAATAGCATTTTACCTATACTTATACCTAGACCTCTCTAGAAGATTTATCTTCATAACATATTTGATTTTTATAGCACTTTACTTCTTTTATGACACATTATCATGCTATTTTCTATTAATCACGCATTCACATAGGTGATTAGTTCCTCCAGGACCATAAACTCCTTGAGGTAAGATCTGTCTATTGGATCTTTGCACCCACCTCAGTACCAGCATGCATGAAGAAAAAAATGTGAAGTACTCCTTGGTCTACTATAGCATTAGGAAGGCTATCAACCCATTATTCTGCTCCATTAAATGTTTTCCAATGCCTGATGGTTAGTGACTTTTTAAATTTAGTTTTTAATTTTTTTTAGAGTCAGAATATTGCTCTGTTGCCCTGACTGCAATGCCACGATCATAGCTCACTGCCTCAGGCTCCTGAGTAGCTGAGACGACAGGTGCATGCCACCACACACAGCTAATATTTAATTTTTTTGTAGAGATGGGTTTTGGAATCAGACTTGTCTGTACATGTCTACCATTTAATAACTGTCGTACATCACATTGCTTCATTCTTTGAACTTCAGTTTTCTCAAGTGTAGCATCATAGAGGAGTTGTGATTATCTAAATGATTAAATGGGATTACACTTTTAAAAGCTGCTACAAAATGCCTGGCACTTGGTCACTTTTCATTATATGCTGGTTCCTTTTGTTCTCCTGTCTGACCCAATTCAAAGTCCCTTCTGTCCCATTAGCTTGTTTTATGAACATGGAGGCAAGGATTCTGGGTAGGAGGCAGTTGTAGTACTTCATTCATTAAGCATTTGCTGACTACTTTGTATAGTGGAAATCTAGAGGAAGGGATTATTATTATTATTATTATTATTATTATTATTATTATTATATTTTGAGACTGGGTCTCACTATGTTGCCCAGGCTGAAGTACAGTGGCACAATCATGGCTCACGGCAGCCTCAACCCCCCAGCCCAAGTGATAATTCTGCCTCAGGCTCCTGAGTAGCTGAGACGACAGGTGCATGCCACCACACCCAGCTAATATTTAATTTTTTTGTAGAGATGGGTCTCACTGTGTTGCCCAGGCTGGTCTTGAACTCCTGGGCTCAAGCGATCCTCTTGTCTAAGCCTCCTGAAGTGCTGGGATTACAGGCATGAGCCACTGCACCTGGCCTAGGATTAACTATTTTAATAGGCATTTAGGAAGTAGAATGGGTAGATATGGGAATTCAGGGAGAATTAGGGGAAGGTGGATAGAAAAGAGGCTAAACTGATTTTCTTCTATAATCTTTGGAATCAAACGAAGAAGGGCAAATCGATTATTCTTCTCAGGAAAAGATTTTCTTTATCTTTAAACGTATAGGTAAATTAGCTGTCTTCTACCTGATAAATTTGTTTTCTGTAAGTTTTGTACCTTTTTTAAAAAAAGAAATTATTTGTATCATTAAGGACTTAAATAATATACATGGCATGAATGTACATCTGCCCATGAATGCTGAATTTATTCTAGAAAATATTGCTTTGCACTCTTTGATTCTAGCTTGTGTTGCTGACCTCACTAGTATAATTATTGGCTGACTTTGTCTCTTTTTCCATTTCCTCCCAATCAGTTTGATAAAGGTTACTCTTAGAACATCCGTCACAGCTTTGGAAAGGAAGGCAAGAGGACAGACTATACACCTTTCAGTTGCCTGAAGATTATTCTATCCAATCCACCAAGCCAAGGGGATTATCATGGTAAGTGCCTCCACTGGATATGTTGGCCAAGTACAGAAATCCAAGAGCTCTGTTGGAAACACTGAAACAATGTTGTGGCTTTTTGCATTCCTGTCAAGACCTAGTTTGTAGCTTATGTCAGTCGTCACTGTCAAGCTAGAGCTCCATTACTCTTAGAACAATTTGTCTTATTACTGAACTAGGTCAGGCAAGAGAAATTCATTCAGCTGCACTTCAGTTTGTGCTGGATTAGGCTTTTCAGTTCTCACTTTCTTCCTTCCCGCTGTTCTCTGTCTCCCTCATCTTCTGCAGTGTTCTGCGAGTGTCTTAGAGGGCGATGTAAGTTTTACAAAGCTTTTTGAAATTAGAATGTTCTAAGTTTGGAATAGTAGATTCATTAATTTTCCAAAGGCTAACTACTAAGGAAAAGTGTGAGGTTTTTTTCTTATCACCATCATCTGATTAACCAACAAAGATTAAGTGGGCAATTTAACATGTCGTGATATCTGCCATAACTATCAGTTTTCCTGAGTTATTTAAAAAGAAAAACAAAACATCTCATTTGTCTGGTACGTCCAAGAATGAATTAATAGTTTATATCAGTAAATTTTCTGGATTATCAAAGCTTACTACAGTATGTGTCAAAACTTATTTTTGTTTTAGAATCTTCAACACTTTTTAAAAGACTGCACACTTTTGGACTGCTAAAGATCAAATAATCATAAACAATATTTTTAGAAAGACATTCTATGTGACCAAATCACTAAAAAATGCCCATACATTCATTAGTTAATAGATGAAGAAGTGGCCAGCACTCGTTATATAGATAGACAGATAAGATAGATCTATATATAGACATAGATTTTTTTTTTTTGAGACAGAGTTTCATTCTTGTTGCCCAGGCTGGAGTGCAATGGCGTGATCTCGGCTCACTGCAGGTCTCCACCTCCTGGGTTCAAGCAATTCTCCTGCCTCAGCCTCCTGTGTAGCTAGGATTACAGGCACCTGCCACCCTGCCCGGCTAATTTTTTGTATTTTTAGTAGAGACGAGGTTTCGCCTAGTTGGCCAGGCTGGCGGGCCTCAGGTGATCTGCTCACCTTGGCCTCCAAAAGTGCTAGGATTACAGGCCTGAGCCACCACACCCAGCCTGGTAATAGATATTGAGTGGTTTTTATCACTTATTTCAGAGTCCCTTGAGGTGCTTTTTTAGAAATGCAGATTCTCAGAGTGCACCCTCAGTCATATAAAATCAGACTTTATTTGCAAGTACACTGGGTGAGTTTTATGTCTTCTAAAGTTTGAAAACCATGGGGCCAGGTACTTCTGTTGGGGAAGCCTGAAGCCTTTTTTAGCCTAGCAGCCATACCAGGCAGTCAACTTATGATTAAGCTTGTGGCCAAGTAAAACTCCCAGGGATTTGTCTGCAAATTTCCAGGTTCTAGCATTTGTCTCTTAATTAGTTGGTTTTCATTAGCTTAAATGCAAAACTTTATTTCTCTTAAGTTGTATCTTGTTATCCCAGTGCTTTATGTTATTATTTTGTTTCTAAGTTCAACTCTGTCAGTCAAGAAATATTATACTTAGCACTCAATGAACTCATTATTTGTTGGAAACATTTACTTATTCCATTTTTAAAAAGTAATAAACTTAATTTTTTAGAGCTGTTTTAGGTTCACAGCAAAATCGTGTGGGAAGTTCAGAGTTCCCATGTACCTCCACGCCCCAACACATGCACAACCTCCATTGCTGTCAGTATTCCACACCACACTGGTACATGTGTTACAATTGATGAAACTACATTGACAAATTCTTATCATCCAAAGCCCATAGTTTACAAGAGTTCATTGTGTATTTCGCATAACAGTACTTTATCAGATTTGTCTTTTGCAAATGTTTTCTCCCCATCTGTGCTTCTGTTCTTTTCTCTCTTTTTTCACCTTTTGGGATTTCATTTACACGTTATACCTTTTATAGTTGTCCCATAGTTCTTAGGTATTGTGTTTTGTTTTGTTTTGTTTTTGTCTTTTTTCTCTTTGCTTTTTAGTTTCAGAAGTTTCTATTTGTTATATCCACAAGATCCAAGGATTTTCCCCAGTCATGTCCAGTCTATTGATGAACCCATTGAAGACATTCTTCATTTCTGTTACAGTGTTTTTGATCGCTAGCATTTCTTTTTTGTTCTTAGAATTTTCATGTCTCTGCTAGCTGGTTATTCCAACACATTTATTGAATAGGGAGTCCTTTCTCCATTGCCTATTTTTATTGACTTTGTTGAAGGTCAGATAGTTGTAGGTATGCTGGCTTATTTCTGATTCTCTATTCTGTTTCATTAGTCTATGTGTCGGTTTTTGTACCAGTACCATACTGTTTTGGTTACAATAGCCTTATAGTATAGTTTGGAGTTAGGTAGAGTGATGCCTCTGGCTTTGTTCCTTTTGCTTAGGATTGCTTTGGTCATTTAGGCTCTTTTTTAGTTCCATATGAATTTTAGAATAGTTGTTTTCTTATTCTGTGAAAAATGACATTGGTAGTTTGATAGAAATAGCATTGAATCTGTACATTACTTAGGGTGGTATGGCCATTTTAATGACATTGATTCTTCCAATCCATGAGCATGGAATGTTTTCCTGTTTGTGTTGTCTCTGATTTCTTTCAGCAGCGTTTTGTAGTTCTTCTTGTAGAGATCTTTCACTTCCTTGCTTAGATGTATTCCTAAATATTTTATTTATTTAATTTTTGGTGGCTACTCTAAAGAGAATTGTGTTTTTGATTTGGCTCTCAGCTTGAACATTGTTGGTATGTAGAAATGCTACTGATTTTTAAGGCTGGTTGTGGTGGATCATGCCTGTAATCCCAGCACTTTGGGAGGCCAACACGGGTAGATCACTTGAGGTCAGGAGTTCAAGACCAGCCTGGCCAACATGGTGAAACCTCATTTCTACTAAAATTAAAAAGCAAAACAAAAATTAGCCAGGCGTGGTGGCGTGCACCTGTAATTCCAGCTATTCAGGAGGCGGAGGTTGCAGTTGGCTGAGATGGCACCACTGCACCAGGTGACAGAGTGAGACTCTGTCTCAAAAAAAGAAATGCTACTGATTTTTGTATATCAATTTTGTATCCTGAAACTTTGCTAAAGTCATTGATTAATTCCAGGAGACTTTTTGGTGCATTCTTTAGGGTTTTCTAGGTATAGAATCATATCATCAGCAAAGAAAGATAGTTTGACTTCTTTTCCTATTTGGATGGCTTTTATTTCTTTCTTTTGCCTGATTGCTCTGGGTAAGACTCCCAGTAGTATTTTGAGTAAGAGTGGTGAGAGTGGGCATCCTTGTCTTGTTCCCATTCTCAAGGGGAATGGTTTGAGCTTTGGCTCATTCAGTATGATGTTGGCTGTGGGTTTCTCTTAGATAGTTCTTATTATTTTGAGGTATATTCCTTTGGTATCTAGTTTTGTGAGGGTTTTTGTCATGAAGGAATATTGGATTTTTTTTTTTTTTTGAGACGGAGTCTCACTCTGTTTCCCAGGCTGGAACGCAGTGGTGCGATCTGGGCTCACTGCAAGCTCCGCCTCCTGGGTTCATGCCGTTCTCCTGCCTCAGCCTCCTGAGTAGCTGGGACTACAGGTGCCTGCCGCCATGCCCAGCTAATTTTTTGTATTTTTAGTAGAGACGGGGTTTCACCGTGTTAGCCAGGATGATCTTGATCTCCTTACCTCGTGATCCGCCCGCCTCGGCTTTCCAAAGTGCTGGGATTACAGGCGTGAGCCACCGCGCTTGGCCAGGATATTGGATTTTATTGAAAGCTTTTTCTATTGAGATAATATGATTTTTGTTTTTAATTCTGTTTATGTGGTGAATCACTTTTATTGATTTGCATAAGTTGAGTCAGATTTGCATCCCAGAAATAAAGCCTATTTGATCATGGTGAATTAGCTTTTTGATGTGCTGCTGGATTCAGTTTGCTAGTATTTTGTTGAGGATTTTGATTCTATGGTCATCAGAGATATTGGCCAGAAGTTTTCTTTTTTTCATTGTGTCTTGGCCAGATTTTGGTATTAGGGTGATGCTGGCTTCATAAATTGAGTTAATGGGGGGAGTCCCCCCTCCTCAGTTTTTTGGAATAGTTTTGGTAGGATTGGTACCAATTCTTCTTTGTACATCTGGTAGAATCTGGCTATGAGTCTACCTGGTCCAGGGCTTTTTCTGGTTGTTAGGTTTTTTTATTCCAGATTCAATTTCAGACCTTATTATTGGTCTGTTCAGATTTTCACTTTCTTCCTGCTTCAGTCTCAGAAGGTTGTGTGTTTCGTGGAACTTAGTCATTTCCTCTAGATTTTCTAATTTGTGAAAAATGCACAATTATTAACTTACAAATCTATCATCTGTATGACTGAAAAAAAAGACTTTTCTATATTAAATTTTTAATAAGCATTTTGACTTACCATTGCAGTTTATTAAAATATCTAAAATTTTCTAGATTTTTGTCCTAAAACAGCTTTTGTATTTCAAATTCTTCTGTATTCTTATTTATGTGAATATTTCTAGTGGTCTTTCATTTTTTTCATGAAATAATATAGAGATGACACACATCCACCATAAGTTGTTTTTCTATGAAATAGTTTATTTTTTCATCTCATTTCCATCCATGATTCTTTTACTTTTTCATAGATTCTACGCTTTAGGAAATAGGCATATAATTTACATTTGAAAATGATGTTGAATTTTTTTCTTTCTCAGAGTTTGCATGTTTTTCATTTTGTTTATCTATCTTCCTTCTCTCATATGCCTTTTATATAATTTTTAGACTAGAATATAAGAAGATTGTATAAAGTTTTAAAATAAACTATTATGCAGCTATTTTGTGATTATTTGTGCTTGTTAGCAAGGAGAGTAATTAAAGCTGTTTTCCCTCTTCTTGTGGAATGGACATCTTAGCCTGAGAATGCTGCAATGTTTTATGTAACTCTTGAGCCTGGAGTGCCCTGATAACCATACAGCTAAGTAATCATTTAGATAAAAAGAGGAATGCAGTTGCACCCATGGGCAATTACCTTTTTTTATTAATAAGCCGTTAGACAATTAAGGGGAGCTTAGATGGTCTCTCGAGTGTGGTATTGTACTAAGTTGTGAGTAAATAACCTTGTTTGTGTGCTGGCTTATTTTTTGTTGTCAGGGTGCCCATTCCGTCACAGTGATCCAGAGCTGCTGAAGCAAAAGTTGCAGTCATACAAGATCTCTCCTGGAGGGATAAGCCAGGTAGGTCATATTCTTCTCTCTGCATCTGCAGTAATGAGGCCTTAGACAGATCTCTCGGTTTTATTTAATGTTCTTGCAGTGATGCTGTGTATTACTTGTCAGGCCTCACACCAGACATCTTATCTTCAAGATGAATTAAGTTAAAACCTTGACTTATCTGGTTTAGACTCTTGGGAAATTCTAGTTCTTCTGTCTGCTAAGCTGCATTTTTATTTTTCCTAGTCATAAAGGAAGCTGGAAAGCTTCCCCCACACCTCAGTTTGTTTTACTATCTCAATTGAGGACTACATCTTTAAAAATAAAATTTTTGAGCAATGCATGGAAGCTTATTAATGAAGCTGAAAATTAATGACAGCATATTTCATTTTGGGAAATTGTTTTCTGAGCAGATGATAATGTAGTACACACTGGCTGAATGTTCTGATAGGCATCAGTTATTGCTGTGTTTAATCTACACTTCTGATGGCAGATCAAAGAGTTTGTCAAAATACTTTGTCTTATGAACAATGGAAATGCTCAGATTGTAAAACCAAATGTTAAACAGTACATTTTTTAGTAAGTCTACCTTTAAAAAATTAATATTGTGACATAGCAAAGACTATTTTCTATAGTGTGCTTTCAAGTTGACTGGAATTTTGAAGGAATAGGGGAAGAGCTGCTGCTTCCTTAGCTTAAGAAGAACATTATATATTTTAGAGTTAGAACATCTAAATCATCATACATCTTTAAATTGTTATTTTTATTTAAAGAAAATTGTTACTCTAGACAACTTTATGGCTGCTTCTGTGTCCAAAGTTCAGATAACAAATCTTACATAGTTTTTTAGTACTTTGAGCAAAGCAGTGTTCAAGGTGCCATAGAGTATGCAAGGAAGAATCAGATATAAATCCTGCTCCCGCAAAACCAGTGTCTGAAAATAAAAACATAAACCAAGTGTCATGAGAGGTACACATAGACTGTCTTGGGTCTTCTGATGAGGGAAAGACTATAACCAGCTGAAGAGGTCAAGGAACCCTTTATGGAAGAGATGCCCTTTGAATTAGGCCTTGCATGAAGGTTGGGAATTAGGGAGAGAGAATGCACAAATGAAAGACTATAGGAGTGTTAAGATTTCAAGCTTAGGATAATGGTGGCACCAATACATAAATACTAATAGGTAACTTAAAGGAAGTATAGTTGGTTTCAGTTTGAGTGACTTAATTTTAGTGGTTATAAACTGCTGCTAACATATTTGATAAGGAATCTAGAAATAAAGAATTACTGGCTTTTTTTTTAAGCAGTCATAAAGGATCCCCTTTTTGAAAACAATACAAGTTCTTAACGTATCTATGTTAACATATTATGTCTGCATTTAAATGGTATTAATGTGGATTTAGGGCATTAGATAATTTAAGACTAGAAATCTGATGGTCTTTTCAGTTAGAATTGTAGCATAGGTAGAAAGCCATTCTCTTTTTTGGAGTCCTAGGATGTGACATGCCATGGTGCATAGGTAGGAAGTCAGTGGTAGAACCAAAAATTGAAGCCATGCTTTCTGACTCCTAAGATTTTTTTTTTTTCCCCTGAACTCCACTCTACTTTAGAGCTTATTATAATGAGTTTGCTGGAGAGAGAGAAGAGGTAGGGAGTCAAAAGCTGTTTTATGAAAATGTAATCTTGGCTAATCCTTCTCTTTGTCAAGCATTAAAAGGAGGTGGGATCAATGAAGACTGAACAGAAATGGGGAGAGAGGGAGAAAATACATTAAGGTAGTGAAGTATCACAAAAGTCAAGGAAAAAATTTTGAGAAGAGAATAAGTTCCACAGAGTCCCTTGTAGCAGAGATTTCTTTTCATGGAGGAACTAAGAAAAGGTGGTTGGATATGCTGAGAGGATTATTTGACTTTGACTTTGGTGAGGTGTCAGTAAAATGGTGGAAACCAAAAGCAAGATTATACTTGCTTAAAAAATTAATGAAAGACAGTAAATAACCTTTTCAAAAAATGTGTCAGGCCAGGTGCAGTGGCTTGTACCTGTAATGCTAGCACTTAGTAGGGAGGCTGAGGCAGGCAGACTGCTGAGCCCAGGCATTCAAGACCAGCCTGAGCAACATGGCAAAAACCTGTCTCTACAAAAAATTAGCAGGTGTGGTGGCATTCAACTGTAGCCTTAGCTACTCAGGAGGCAGAGGTGGAAGAATCACCTGAGCCCAAGAAGTTGAGCCTCCAGGGAGCCGTGATCATGCCACTGCACTCCAGCATTGGCAATGGATTGAGACCCTGTCTCAAGAAAAAAAAAAAAAAAAAGTGCCAGTAAAGGGGATGCTAGAGTGGTATTAGCTTAAGCATCATAGGATTGTTCATTTCTGGGTTTAAGACCTGAGCCTATCTGTAGAAAGAGGAGGAGAAGAAAGAACTGTCAGAGAGGGTGGGCTTGATGAAGATATAAAAGAAAGAAAATAACTCTCTAACCAAGTAGAATTAAGTTCTCTTTCCTTTATACCATGACTGGATTGCACATGCCTTTGCTCTTAACATTTGTTACACTTGATTGTAATTATTTGTTTACCTGTTCATCTTTCCCAATAGTTTGTGAGTTTCCTGAAAGGAGGACTGGATTTTTACTTAACTTTCTATCTCATGGTAATCTAATGAGTTACACTTGTTAGGTGCTTTAAAAATGTTGGAAGAGTGAATGGGCATATTTAGGTATGAGGTGGATCCTAGAGTATGCATGGTGGTATGCAGAGAGAGGCAAATAGGAACTCAAAGACACAAGTGAAAAAGTAACTTATTGGAGGAAGGACGATATGCACTTGAACCAAAGAATGGTGACAGAGAAAGGCATACCCCTCAGCAATGTGGGAACATAGAGGAAATAGTTAAGACACAGCAAAGGGAAGTTGATGGAGTATATCAACTGGTCTTACTCTTCCTTGTAAGTAAAGTAAGGTCATCAGCTGGAGAGTAAAGGGGTTATGAATGATATTCTGGTTATAGAAAAGGTTAGAAACTACCACCAACAAATGTGATAGGGAATCTAGAAGAAATTAGAAGCGTTTTTTAGCAGTCATAAAGAATCACCTTTAAAAAAATAATCTTAATATACTAACATTATCTCAAGAAAATTAATGTTTATAGTTAATAGTAATGACCATGTTTGTATACTCTTTGCTTTTGACTCCACTGTATTTCTCCATTTGCCCTTGATCCATAAGTATACTCCTTACTTAGCTGAAGCTGGTTAGTAATTTTCACATTACCCTTTAGACCTGCATTGTAACCTTTTATCTGAGATGAACACAGATGTATAGTGCATGCCAGCAAGCTGTAAATAATATCTTGCTTTTATTTGATGTCTTTATTGAGTAGATCTCACTAGAGTGAAGCAGCTGGTGGACTGTATTCTAAAGGGCAGAGAGTTAATGAATGAAAATTCCATGTAAAACATTTTGATAAGGTTGAATTTTGTAGGTTGGCCTAAGTGCAGATTAGATCTTGAAAACTCCAAGCGTACATTAAAATATTGAATGAGAGTTAAGAAAAACATCATTAAAATGTACGTAAGGTAGAACTCCATGTGGTTATTTTTATCTCAGAGAAAACTACTTGAAAAAGATACCTTCAACTATAGGAAATAGATTTTTTTTTTAATTTTTGGAGACAGAGTCTTGCTCTGTCTTCCAGGCTGGAGTGCAATGGTGCAATCTCGGCTCACTGCAACCTCCACCTCCTGGGTTCAAGCGATTCTCCCGCCTCAGCATCCCAAGTAGCTGGGATTACAGGCACCCTCCATCATGTCCAGCTAATTTTTGTATTTTTGTAGAGATGGGGTTTCACCATGTTGGCCAGGCCAGTCTTAAACTCCTGACCTTGGGTGATCCGCCTGCCTCGGCCTCCCACTGTGCTGGGATTACAGGCGTGAGCCACCACTCCTGGCCAAGAAATAGATGTTTTAAGTAATCAAAATGTTGGTGATCAGAAAAGAGATCATTGTGACTCAGCTGGTGTTGCTGATTTTTTTTATAAAGCATACTTACAGGATCACATTTCATTTTCCTTTTTAATTAACCTTAATAGTGTTACAAAATCACTGAAAATTAATGAGCTTGGTATCCAGCTTAAGAAACAGCAACTAAACAACAGAATATGGCCAAAGAAAATGGATACCCCTGCATTTATTCTCCTTTCCTCCCCGAAAAGAGAAATACACAGCAGTCAATTCACCAACACGATATAAAAATTGTAAATATTTATGCCCCAAAAACATAGCTTCAAAATACATGAATTAATAATAGAGAACTGAAAAGACAACGAGACAAATCCACAGTTATGTTTGGAGACTTCAGCACTCCTCTTAATAATTAACAGAAGAAGCAGGCAGAAAGTCAGGAGGATATAGAAGCCTTGAACAATACTGTCAACCAACTTTACCTAATTAACATCTGTAGAACATGTTACCCAACAACAGGAGACATGAAATAGTAAACCAGGTAGATCATAGTCTAGGTCTTTAAAATCCATTACAAATGTAAATAATTTGAAATCCTATAAAGTAGGATTTAAAGCAGAGCAATAAAGCAAGAAAAACAAAAGATTAGAAAAGAAGAAAGAAAACCTTTTTCTATTCTCAAAGTGATTATCAATGTAAAAAATCTCAAAGAACCTAGCAAGATGCTACTGTAACTAGTAGGTGGAAGGATACTAACTCAATATACAAAAATCAATTCTATTTCTTACAGTGAACAATTGGAAATTAAACATTTCAAAAAGTATTAGTTTGCTGCAAACATAATTGTGGCTTTTACTGCAAATACTTTTGTAGCAACCTAATACCATATACAGCAGTACCAGAAATCCAAAATATACATAAGATCTTTATATGAAAGACTGATGAAAATGAAAAACAAAGTGGAGACACATTTTCCTGATTTCAAAACTTACTGAAAACTATTGTAATTAAGATGGTGTGGTATTAGGGAAATGATGAAGACAGATTAATTGGACAGAATAGAGTTCAGAAATAGACCCACATATATATGGGCAACTGATTTTTAAACAAAGGTGCCAGGGCAATTTAATAAGGAAATGGTAATGTAGAGTTCCAGAACAACTCCAGAGTTCTAGAACAAGTAGATCTAGAACAATTGGATATCCAAATGCAAAAATCCCAGACATATACCTCCAAGCTTATATAAAAATTATTTTAAAATGGATTATAGAACTAAGTAACTGTAAAATGTGAAACTTACAAAAGAAAACAGAATATCTGCACGACCTTGGGTTTGGTGTGTTCCCTGAAAGAAAACAGTGATAAATTAGACTTTACCAAAATTAAAAATTTTGCTCTGTAAAAGACAGCTTTAAGAGAACAAGATAAGCCACAGACTGGAAGAAAATATTTGCAAATCATAAATTTCATAAAAGATGTGAATCCAAAAGATATAAAGAACTCTCAAAACTCAGTAATTAGAAAACAGTTTTTTAAACGGGCAAAACATTTGAGTAGACAGTTCACCAAAGAAAAAGTGTGAATGGTAAATATAAGCACATGAAAAAATATAGCTCATTAGTGAAATGAAATTTAAAACTACAATGAATACCATGATATGCCAAATAGAATTGGTCTAATTTAAAAAAATCTAGCAATACTAAGTGCTAGTGAGGATGCAGAGTGACTGAAGGTCTCATACAATAGTGGAGGAAATGCAAGTCATAGAGTCACTTTGAAAAGGAGTGTGAATGGCAATCATTAAAAAGTCAGGAAACAACAGGTGCTGGAGAGGATGTGGAGAAATAGGAACACTTTTACACTGTTGGTGGGACTGTAAACTAGTTCAACCATTGTGGAAGTCAGTGTGGCGATTCCTCAGGGATCTAGAACTAGAAATACCATTTGACCCAGCCATCCCATTACTGGGTATATACCCAAATGACTATAAATCATGCTGCTATAAAGACACATGCACACGTATGTTTATTGCGGCATTATTCACAATAGCAAAGACTTGGAACCAACCCAAATGTCCAACAATGATAGACTGGATTAAGAAAATGTGGCACATATACACCATGGAATACTATGCAGCCATAAAAAATGATGAGTTCATGTCCTTTGTAGGGACATGGATGAAATTGGAAACCATCATTCTCAGTAAACTATCGCAAGAACAAAAAACCAAACACCGCATATTCTCACTCATAGGTGGGAATTGAACAATGAGATCACATGGACACAGGAAGGGGAACATCACACTCTGGGGACTGTGGTGGGGAGGGGGGAGGGGGGAGGGATAGCATTGGGAGATATACCTAATGCTAGATGATGAGTTAGTGGGTGCAGCACACCAGCATGGCACATGTATACATATGTAACTAACCTGCACAATGTGCACATGTACCCTAAAACTTAAAGTATAATTTAAAAAAAAAAAAAAAAAGGAGTGTGGCAATTTCTTATAAAGTGAAGCTTACACATGCTATGTGACACAGTGATACCTGTAACTAGTATTTATAGAATTGAAATAAAAGCATAAGTCCACATAAAAATCTGTTCCTAAGTGTTTATAGTGTAGGCATTATTCATAATTGCCAAAAACTAGAAACAACCCAGATGTTCTTCAGTGTGTGATTGGATAAACAAATTGTGGTATAGTCATACAATGGAATATTACCTGACAATAGAAAGGAATAAATTACTGGTATACCCATTAAAATGTAAGGTTCTCAAATACATTATACCAAGTGAAAGAAGTCAGACTCAAAAGCACTATAGTGTATAATTCTATTTGTATGATAAATCTGTAGGTACAGAGTGATTGCTGGGAGCAGGAGAGGTGTTATAAAGGACAAGGGAAATATTTTTGGGTAATGGGAATGATCTGTGTTGATTGCAGGGTAATATGAAAACTGAATTTGTCAAATGTTGCAGAACTATGATAAAAGGAAATATATTTTATTTAAAAACTTTTACTTTTTTAGAAAAAACTTAGTCCCTGAGTAAAAAGGGGATATATTTTACTGTGTGGAAATTATACCTTAATTTTTTTCTTTTTTTTCTTTTTGCTTTTTTTTTTTTTTTTTTAAATAGACAGGGTCTTGCTCTGTCACACAGGCTGGAGTGCAGTAGTGTGATCATATCTCATTGCAACCTCGAACTCCTGGGCCTAAGTGATCCTCTTGCCTCAGTCTCCTAAGTAGCTGGGGTTACAGGTGCACATCACCATGCCCAGCTAATTTTTTACTTTTTTGTAGAGATAGAGGTCTTGCTGTGTTGCCTAGGCTGGTCTTGAACTCATGGCTCAAGGAGTCCTGTCACCTTGGCCTCCCAAAGTGCTGAGATTATAGACATGAACCACTTAATTTCTTTTTTTTAATGGGGGGAGAAAGAAAGGGTAGATGGTAAGTAGCATAATGAGCCAAAATATTTACTTTTCATAGTAAAAATGCAGTGGATTAAGTTTATATCAGGAACTTAAAGTATAAACATATAACTTAGAGTGACATAGACAACATCCTATGTAACAAAAAAATGGAAATGGTTAAAGTAATTGCCTCTTGGGAACTAACCAAGTAGTGGGAAGAAATGTGATATGAGAACTGTTGATTTTAATAATAAGCCATAATGTACTTCAGTTTTTTTCCTCACATACATTACTTTGATTAAAAGTTAGAAAGAAAGTATAATGTTATTAATGAAGTTTAAGTTAAATGGTCGTGTGCCTAATGGATAGATGGTAATAGCAGTAGTACTAGATGACTGCAAGGTCTTTGGGTATGAAATTCTAACCCTTATCCCTCTGAGCTCCCAGTACCTAGCATAGTATCTGATCCATGTTAGGAACTGTGAAGGATCTGAGATTTTACCCTACTTGCAAGCTAAGAACTTAGCTGCCACACTTTTATGGATTCTGGCAGAAGACATGACAATTCCAGCAATAGCAGTATGCCAGCCTTTTCTTGCATTCGTTCCTTGAGCCCTACTTCCCACAGAGCAACATGAGGGCCAGGTACTACCTGCACATGCAGTGGCTTGTGTTGGAGGAGGGAAACGCTGAATTTAGGGAATCTGAACCTTTTATTATGGACAGTAAGTATGTCTACTCTTTCTTTATTTTTAATTAATTAATTAATTTTTTGAGACAGAGTTTCACTCTTGTCACCCAGACTAGAGTGCAATGGCGCGATCTCTGCTCACTGCAACCTCTGCCTCCTGGGTTCAAGCAATTCTCCTGCCATATGTCTGCTCTTTAATCCAGTGGAAGGAACCATTGTCTTCCAGGGCTGTTCATTATATCAGAGGTCCCCAACCCCTGGGCCACGGACTGGTACTTGTTCATGGCCTGTTAGGAACAGCAGGAGGTGAGCCAGGGCAAGCAAGCATTACTGCCTGAGCTCCACCTCCTGTCAGATCAGTGGCCATGTTACATGGTACTGGTCCATGGCCTGTTAGGAACAGCAGGAGGTGAGCCAGAGCAAGCAAGCATTACTGCCTGAGCCCCACCTCCTGTCAGATCAGTGGCCATGTTAGATTCTCATAGGAGCTCGAACCCTATTGTGAACTGTGCATGCGAGGGATCTAGGTTGTGCGCTCCTTATGAGAATCGAACTAATAATGTCTGATGATCTGAGGTGGAACAGTTTCATCCTGAAACCACCTCTCCACCCTGGCCCATGGAAAAATTGTCTTCTACGAAACTGGTCCCTGGTTCCAAAAAGGTTGGAGACCATTGTGTTACATGAACATCTTTGAAAAAATGGTCTGAAGTAAAAGCCGTTGTTGCCTCTATTTGCAAAATGTTCAGAAATTTAAGACTATTGGAAAATTATTTCTCAGGAATACATAGCTGATGACCAGTGAATAATATATAGATATACAATCTATATTGGTCATTTCTTATTGGCACCTCAGCTTTTTCTCCTTAAAATATTGGTGTACGTTGGCTGGGTGTGGTGGCTCACACCTATAATCCCAGCACTTTGGGAGGCCGAGGCAGGCGGATCACAAGATCAGGATATCGAGACCATCCTGGCTAACACGATGAAACCGCGTCTCTACTAATAATACAAAAAATTAGCCGGGCGTGCTAGCGGGCTCCTGTAGTCCCAGCTACTTGGGAGGCTGAGGCAGGAGAATGGTGTGAACCTGGGAGGTGGAGCTTGCAGTGAGCAGAGATCATGCCACTGCACTCCAGCCTGGGCAACAGAGCGAGACTCTGTCTCAAATATATATATATATATATATATATATATATATATATATATATATATATGTGTGTGTGTGTGTGTGTGTGTGTGTGTGTGTGTGTGTACATTTTAATCTCAATACTTTCATTAATTTCTTTTCAAAATTGGCAGTGAGTTAAAAAATCCTTTCAATATTTTGTTAGTTTGGGTATCTTATCTATCTATCAATAGTTTCTGCCTTAGTTAGATGTCTGAAGTTTCTAATTATTCTAAAAACACTTTTGTTTTTGTTTTTTAGCTTTTATTTTCCACTTCAGCTTTTCCTTTAAAAACCTGCAATTTTATGATAGAAATATTTATATTTTGAGATACAGAAATTTTAGAGCTGGGTGCGGTGGCTCATGCCTGAATCCCAGCATTTTGGGAAGCCAAGACCTATGGGTTGCTTGAGCCCACGAGTTCGAGACCAGCCTGGGTAACTTGGCAAAACCCAGTCTCTACAAAAAAATACAAAAATTAGCCAGGCGTGGACGCATGCACCTGTAGTGTCAGCTATGCAGGAGGCTGAGGTGGGAGGATTGCTGGATTGCTTGAGGCCATGGGGACTGAGTGAGCCATGATCATGCCGCTGCACTCCAGCCTGGGCCACAGAGTGAGACCCTGTCTCCAAAAAAAAAAAAAAAAAAAAAAAAAATTGAGAATATGTGTTCAAAATATTGACAGTAAAATCTCTCATTGGCCTGAAATGGTTTGTTTCTCAGAAGAAGTTTTTTCTATTGTGGAAAGATGCACATGAAATTTTCAAGTTGTACTTTGTTTCATGGGCTTATAATGGTGTGCTATGTCCTATTTTAATAGAAAAATTGGGGCTGGCCACAGTGGCTCATGCCTGTAATCCCAGCACTTTGGAAGGCCGAGGTGAGAGGATTGCTTGAAGCCAGGAGTTGGAGACCACCCTGGGCAACATAGGTAGACCCTGCCTTTAAAATAGTAATAAAAATAACAGTTGTGGTGGTGCACACCTGTAGTTCTAGCTGTTTGGGAGGCTGAAGCAGGAAGCTCGCTTGAGCCTAGTAATTGTTACAGTGAGCTATAATTGTGCCACTGTACTCCATCCTGGAAGACACAGCAAGACTCCATCTCTCCAAAAATTAACAAACAATAAATATATAAAGTTTATAGGAAAATTGTCTTTTTGTTATACTGAATCACTTGTGGCATATCTTTAATTCTCACAGAGCTTAATAAATAAACAATAATTGCTGCCTACAGACTAATCTAAAAGTGGTAGTTCATTGTAATATATGCCACAATGAAGGTAACATCTTTTATTGTAATCTCTGAATGCTATTACTCCTTAATAGTTTTTCTTTCTTATTATGTAGTAATCAGGGGTGTGCTTGATCTGTCTCTGGAAATAGAACAATTTGAATCCACGGTAGTTTGTTTTATTTTTGGCCTGCTTATGCAAAGCATTGTGATGGAGGCTTTACACAAATAAACTGTATCTCATTTGATTCCCACCACTACATTATCCCTATTTTATAGATGAGAAAGCTGAGGTTTGGAGAAGGCAAGAAACTGCTCAGAACCATAGAACTAATATATGATAAGGCCAGAATTCGCACCTATGCCTGACAGTGAAGCTGAAGTTTCTTACAATACATTGTTCTGATTCTCTGTAGTATTTTTCTATTTTAAATCCAGTTGAAATTCTTTTTGGTTTCTTCTTTCATGGAAAGCCATCACTGTGAAGTGAATGGTAATTCTTATGTACCTAAACTTAAGAAAATGTATAATGCATTGTTGAAACACTGACAAATGTGAAACAAAGATGAGAATAATTCAGAAAATGTAAATTATATATGGTAACAGATTTTCAAAAGATCTGATTGCTTTTTTTATTGAGGTGAAAGTCACATAACATACAAATAACTATTTTAAAATGTACAATTCAGTGCATTTAGTACATTCACAATATTTTACAACTACTATTTCTATCAAGTTCCAAAACTTTTCATCACCCCCAAAGAAAACCTTACACCTATTAAACAATCACCTCCTGCCGCCCCTAGAAACCAATAATCTGCTTTCTATCTCTATGGATTTACCTATTCTGAATATTTCATAAAATAGCATCATACACTGTCTGGCTTACTTCATATAGCATGTTTACAAGGTTCATTTGTGTTTTGTTCTTTTGAATGGCCGAATGATACTCCATTGTATGTCTGTACCACATTTTGTTCATCCATTCGTCCTTTGATGGACACTAGGTTGTTTCCACCAACTGGGTAACTTTAAAAATTTATCTCACGGTTTTGGAAGCCAGCAGTTAAGGTGTTGGCAGGTTAGTTCCTTCTGAGAGCTGTGAGGGAGAATCTGTTCCCACATTTTCCCCAGATTCTGGTGGTTTGTTGGCAATCTTTGACTTGTAGATGCATCACTCCAAACTCTATCTTTATTTGCACATGGCTTCCTCCCTGTATGTCTTCTCACCATCTTTGCTCTGTGCATTCTTTGTCTAGTTTCCTCTTTTTAGGAGGACACCAGTAATATTGGATTAGGGCTTACCTTAATGACCTCATTTTGATTACCTCTGTAAATACCCTATTTCCAAATAAGATCACATTTTTCGGTAGTGGGAGTTAGGACTTCAACATATCTTTATTTGAGGGACACAATTCATTTCATAACACCATCCTTTTAAGTATGCAGTGATATCTCATTGTGGTTTTGATTTGCATTTTTCTAATGAATAATGATGTTGAGCATCTTTTTATATGCTTTTTGGCCATTTGTACATCTTCTTTGAAGAAATGTCTATCCAATTCCTTTGTCTATTTTTGAATTGGGTCGTCTTTTTGTTGAGTTTAAGAGTTCTTAATATAGTTTGGATACAAGACTCTTATCAGATAGATATATGATTTGCAAATATGTTCTCCTATTCTGTAGGTTTTCTTGTCAACAACTTCTTAATGTCTATTGGTGGACAAAAGATTTTAATTTTGATGAAGTTTGTTTTCTTTTGTTACTTGTGCTTTTAGTGTCATAATTATCTATAGTCAAATTCAAGGTTGTGAATATTGACATCTATGGCTTTGTATAAAAGTATTATAGCTCTAGCTTTTATATTTAGGTGATTGATCCCTTTTGAGTTAATTTTTGTAGATGGTATGATGTAGGGGTTTATCTTCATTCTTTTGCTTGTGAATATCCAGTTTTCTAACACTATTTCTTGAAGAGACAATTTCCCCATTGATGGTCTTGCACCCTTGTCAAAACTCAATTGGACATAGATGTATGGGATAATTTCTGGAATCTCAATTTCTACTGTATTGGTCTATATGTCTGTCCGTATGCCAGCCAGTACCACACTGTTTTGATTTCTGTACCTTGTATTGAGTTTTGAAATCAGGAAGCATGGAATCTTCCAATTTTGTTCTTTTTCAATATTATTTTGGCTATCTGGAGCTCCTTGCAATTCCATATGAATTTGAGGATCAACTTTTTTATTTCTGCAAAAACAGCCATTAGAACTTTAATACAGATTGCATTGAATCTGTAGATTGTGTATAAAGAGGGATCATGGCAGATGGGAGGCAGGACTAGATTGCAGCTCCTGACAGAGGAGCATGTGGAGGCTTAAATTGTGAATTTTAGCTCCAGATCGACTGCAAGAACAAACCAGCAATCCTGAGAGGACCCTCAGACTCTCTGAAGGAAGCGGACTGCTTCTGCAGGACCCGGGAGACACCCCAAATACTCTGGGAGGTGAAAGCCTCTGGCAAGTTTTCAAGCCCGCCTTCCACCTGGAAACAGATCTGGGGCTGTTGTGGGGGGCATGGTAGGAGTGAGACCAGCCCTTCAGTTTGCATGGGAGGTGGGTGAGGCCTGTGACTGCTGGCTTTCCCCCACTTCCTTGACAACCTGCATGACTCAGCAGAGGCAGCCATAATCCTCCTAGGTGCACAGCTCCAGTGACCTGGGACTCTCACCCCATCCCCCACAGCAGCCGCAGCAAGACCCACCCAAGGAGAGTCTGAGCTCAGACACGCCTAGCCCCGCCCCCACCTGACAGTCCTTCCCTACCCACTCAGGTAGCAGAAGACAAAGGACATATAATCTTGGGAATTCTAGGGCCCCACTCACTGCTGATCCCTCTGCACTGCTACTGCTGATGCTCTCTGGAAAGCGCCACATCTTGGCAGGAGGCCAACCAGCACAAAAATAGAGCATTAAATCACCAAAACTAAGAACCCTCATGGAGTTCATTGCACCTTCTGCCGCCTCCAATGGAACAGGCACTGGTATCCGTGGTTGAGAGACCCATAGATGGTTCATATCACAGGACTGAGCAGAAACCCCCAGTACTAGCATGGTGCCAGGTAGACTCACTGGATGGTTAAACCCAGAAGAGAGACAACAATCATTGCAGTTCGCCTCACAGAAAGCCACAACCACAGGAAAAGGGGAGAGTACTACATCAAGGGAACACCCTGTGCGCTAGAATTTGAACAACAGCATTCAGCCCTAGACCTTCCCTCTGACAGAGCCTACCCAAATGTGATGGAACCAGAAAACCACCCCTGGTAATATGACCAAACAAGGCTCATCAACACCCCCTAAAAATCATACTAGTTCACCAGCAATCGATCCAAATCAAGAAGAAATCCCTGATATAACTGAAAAGGAATTCAGTAGGTTAGTTATTAAGCTAATCAGGGAGAACCAGGGAAAGGCAAAGCCCAATGCAAGGAAATTCAAAAAGTGACACAGGAAGTGAAGAGAGAAAGATTCAATGAAATAGATAGCTAAAAGAAAAAACAATACAAAATTCAGGAAACTTGGGATACACTTTTAGAAATGCAAAATGCTCTGGAAAGTCTCAGCAATAGAATTGAACAAGTAGAAGAAAGAAATTCAGAGCTTGAAGACAAGGTGTTCGAATTAACCCAATCCAACAAAGACAAAGAAAAAAGAATAAGAAAATATAAACAAAGCCTCTAAGAAGTTTGGGATTATGTTAAACCCAAACCTAAGAATAATTGGTATTCCTGAGGAAGAAGACAATTCTAAAAGCTTGGAAAACATATTTGGGGGAATAATTGAGGAAAACTTCCCCAGCCTTGCTAGAGACCTAGACATGCAAATATAAGAAGCACAGGGCCAGGTGAGGTGGCTCACACCTGTAATCCCAGCACTTTGGGAGCCTGAGGCAGGTGGATCATGAAGTCAGGAGATCAAGACCATTCTGGCTAACACAGTGAAACCCCATCTCTACTAAAAATGCAAAAAATTAGCTGGGCGTGGTGGCACACACCTGTAGTCCCAGCTACTTGGGAGGCTGAGGCAGGAGAATCGCTTGAACCTGGGAGGCTGAGGTTGCAGTGAGCCAAGATCATGCCACTGCACTCCAACTTGGGTGACAGAGTGAGACTCCATCTCAAAAAAAAGACAAAGAACACCCAAGAAATTCATTACAAAAAGATCTTCGCCTAGGCACATTGTCATCAGGTTATCCAAAGTTAAGATAAAGGAACGAATCTTAAGAGCTGTGAGACAGAAGCACCAGGTAACCTATAAAGGAAAACCTAACAGATTAACAACAGATTTCTCAGCAGAAACCCTACAAGCTAGAAGGGATTAGGGCCCTATCTACAGCCTCCTCAAACAAAACAAACATCAGCCAATAATTTTGTATCCAGTGAAACTAAGCACCACATATGAAGGAAAGATAACAGTCATTTTCAGACAAACAAATGCTG
Source organism: Homo sapiens (assembly GCF_000001405.40). Taxonomy (NCBI): domain Eukaryota; kingdom Metazoa; phylum Chordata; class Mammalia; order Primates; family Hominidae; genus Homo; species Homo sapiens. The sequence goes on from NC_000006.12 coordinate 60,519,627, forward strand.
AGAGAATTCGCCATTACTAAGCCACCACTAGAAGAACTGCTAAAAGGAGCTCTAAATCTTCAAACAGATCCAGGAAACACATCAAAACAGAATATCTTTAAAGCATAAATCTCACAGGACCTGTAAAATAAAAATACAAGTTAAAAAACAAAAACAAAAAACCAAAGTACGCAGGCAACCAAGAGCATGATGAATGCAAAGGTACCTCACATTTCAATACTAACATTGAATGTAAATAGGCTAAATGCTCCACCTAAAAGGTACAGAACTGCAGAATGCATAAGAACTCATCAACCAACAATCTGCTGCCTTCAGGAGACTAACCTAACTCATAAGGACTCACATAAACTTAAAGTAAAGGTGTGGAAAAAGGCATTTCATGCAAATGGACACTGAAAGCAGGCAGGGGTAGCTGTTCTTATATCAGATGAAACAAACTTTAAAGCAACAGCATTACAGGCAGGAGCTGCCATGCCAGGCATTTTGCTCATTGCTTTCAATGATGTCATGTCTTTTTTGTCCCTCGGTTTCTCCATTAGTACCTTCTTTTGCATTAATTTTTTTTTTGGTAGTGTACTTAGTCAGTTTTGTGCTGCTATAACAGGATATACAGATCAGCTAATTTATAAATGAAAGAAATTTATTTCTCACAGTTATAGAGGCTGAGAAGTCCGAGGTTGAGGAGCCTATCTCTGATCTGATGAAGACTTTCTTGTTCAGTCTTCACATTGCAGAAGGACAAGAGAACAAGCTAGCCAAATGCCACCTGAAGCTGCTGCTGCTTTTTTTCTTTATAAGGGCCTTAGTTCTATTAATGAGGAATGAGCCCTGATGGCCTCATCATGTCTTAAAGGTTCCACCTCTTAATACTAGCAGATTTGCAGCACCTGAACTTTGGAGGGGACACATTCAGACCACAGTACCATAGTACCATTTTTATTCCCATCACTTTTTTTTTGATGTATTTTTTTCTCATTATTTGCTTAGTGGTTATCCTGGGGACTGTAACCTTTTATATGTATAACAATTTTTAATATCAACTTAGCATCTATTATATACAAAAACTCCACTTCTGTATAGCTCTGTCCCTCCCCCTTATATTGTTGTCACAAATTACATCTTCATACATTGTGTGCCCATTAACTTATAATTACTGTTTTATGCATCTGTCTTTTAAATCATTTGAGAAAAAAGAAGAGTTACAAATCAAAAACACAATAATACTGGATTTTTAATACCTATATAGTTACCTTAGCTCGTGTTCATTCTTTTTGAATGGCTTTGAGTTACTTTGTAGTGATCTTTTCTTTCTGCCTGAAGGATTTACTCTAGCATTTCTTGTTGGGCAGGTCTACTAACAACAGACTCCCTCAGCATTTGTTTATCTGGGAATGTCTTACTTTTTCCTTATGAATCTTGGTTGACAGTTTTTTTTTTCTTTCTTTCTTTTTTGAGATGGAGTCTCACTCTGTCGCCCAGGCTGGAGTGCAGTGGCACGATCTCGGCTCACTGAAACCTCTGCCTCCCGGGTTCAAGCAATTTTCCTGCCTAAGCCTCCCAAGTAGCTGGGATTACAGCCAGTTTGTGTTAGCTCCAGTATACCACTGGCTGTAGTAAAATGTACACCAAGTTTCACAGAGTAATAATAGTATCGAAAAAAAGCATTACAAAATATCTCAGTAATATTTTTATATTGATTACATTTTGAAATGACAATATTTTAGATATATTTCTTTGAATAAAATATATTACTGAAAGTAATTGCTTATTTTTACTGTTTTAATTGTGGTTATAGAAAATCTAAAATTACAGATATGTCATATTTCTGTTGAGAGCATGGCTTTAAGTATCGAGCACTTGAGAATGTTGAGTATTCAAGTGATTAGGTTCTGTTTCTACAGTGTATTTTAATGTTTGCTTTGCTGTACAGTTGTGTTAGACCTATTACAACCAGTACTTACTTTTACATGTTGGCCCATAAGTAAGTATACATAAGGCTATTCATTTTTCAAGATTTTGATTGAAATGATACATTATTTACAAATGTATTTCTGCACTAATGTTTTTAAAACTCTCTTTTTATTTCTCATTTTAGTTTTTTTAATAGAGGAAGGAAATGTGTTTTAGAATTTTCACTCAACTATTAATGATTTTTAAAACAAATCTAATTGGTGCTTCTAAGAAACTTAAGAGTGAATTAAAACCATGAAATATGAAAAAATGTATGCTCTTATTGCTTCTTGAGAGGTTGGTTAACCTCTGTTTTTCACAGTCAAAAATTCTCAAGAAGTTAGTGACTATATTAAATCTAAAACTGGCAAATGCCTTTTAATGAAGAAATCTTTCAAAAGGGACAGTTTAAAAGACTTAAAAGTAACTCTTTGTCAAGAAGATTTTATGACAAAGATAAATTTCAATGACTCTTTACTTAATGTTCCTAAAAATATAAGCTACCTAAAAACTCCTATGATTTTCTTAGGTAAGGGGGACTTACCAGTGGATGCTAGTATTCAGTCTGTCTATTACTTTATGGAAAGTAACTGCTTTTAAGGGCAGCTTTTGTATCTATTTCATCTTCAGGAGTATCTCTTCTGATTTTTGAGAACAGTAGTTTGATTGCTGCACTTAGCTTTGCTTTTCTTAGTGTTGTAGTTGAAAATGTGTAACGTTCTTGGTAAAACTCAGAACTGCATTAAGGAAAAGATGGGAAGTTGAGCATTAGAATTGGTGTCACCAGGCCATGGTTGTACTTTTGGCTTTAATACTTGATTTCTGTGTATATCCTTCCTTTCTTATAGGCTGAAGATAAATGGTTGCTTGAAGATTTAATGTTCAAGGTGGTTCAAAGAAAAATCACTTTGAAAATCAAGTAACATATGTCATTGTTAGCTAAGCCTATTAATTAAAACTTATATTCATTAAAATTGCATTCAAATGGAAAACATCCTTTCTTAAAATTTAATACTGTTTATATAGTTACACATCTTTCTATATTTATTATGTATTCATTACATGAAAAATTACTGATACCTATGGAAGAATTTTATTCAGTCACATATGATACTGTCACTTAGGATATTTTTGTAAAGTCAAATCTAACTACCTATAGTCATAAAACTGTTCTAACTTAGTTCTATTTCTTGATCAGTTTTATAGAGTATACTCCCAGAGGCATCCCGGCTTCTTTTGAAGAAGTAAGCTTAAGGTACCCAGAAAGTTAAGTAAATTTATTTCATAAAGCAAGTAGTTTAGATTTTTAGACTGGGTAGCTTTAAGTCATTTCATTCTTCTTGGTGGTGTTTACCATCAATTTGCAATGTATTTCTTGTTAAAGTTTCTATCTCTGAATTTATATGATTATTTTTACTTCTTAATTCTTAAGTGACAGATTTTAACATTAGCTTCTGTTTTCAATAGATATGATACATCTTTTAATAAACAATCTAAAGTAATTATTAAATCAGTACATGATACATCTTTTAATAAGCATAACCTTCTAAAGTAATTATATAATCAGTATAAATATCTTTCATTATTTTCATAAAGATCATAGAGCATAGTGACTCAGAAGTGGCTTGCTTTTATATTAGGCCAAAAAATAGAATACTCAAAGCACAGTAATAATTAGTAACTGAACCATGGAACTGAGGTTTGACAATACGTTTCTCCGTATCTCTAAGCAGGCTTTACATGTGTCTTCTCGTTTGTCCTCCCTTCCCCCTCATTATCTTTCCTCTCTTCTTCTTTCTCTTTCCTTCCCTCCTTGCTTTCTAAGTTTACTTAGTTGTTAATGTTCCCTAAGAGCTTAAATCCTTTAATCCAAAATGTTGGTATTAATGTGCACTAAGAAAATCAGTATTTTGGGTAGCAGTTTAAATTGCTTCTCAAAATCCTTTTATTGGTACCTAACTACAATAGAGTATGATAAGTGCTTTAATAATTAACTATTATAAAGTATGCTAAATGCTTTTATAAAAATATATTCAAAGTGCCAGAGGGGAAAGATCTTCTGTTGAAGAGGGAGCAGAAGAGAATGCTTCATATAAGAAGTGACATTTTAATTGGGTTTGAAAGTTGAGTAGGAGTTTCCCCTGTGCCTGATGTAAGGCAGATTAGGCAAAAGGAGCAGCATTCATTCAACATCAACAAATAATAATTGCGTGATGATTGTATTCCATTTACTGTTCAAGACATTGGGAATATAATGATGACTAAAACTAGTGAGACTTCTACCTTCATGGAGCTGATATTCCAGTGGGGAGACAGACTGTATTAGTCTGTTTTCATGTTGCTGATAAAGACATGCCCAAGACTTGGTACTTTATAAAGAAAAAAAGGTTTAATGGACTCACAGTTCCATGTGGCATAGGAGGCCTCACAATCATGGTGGAAGGTGAGAGGCATGTCTTACATAGCAGCAGACAAGAGAGACAATGAGATCCAAGTGAAAGGGGTTTCCCCTACAAAACCATCATCAGATCTTGTGAGACTTACTCACTACCACGCGAACAGTATGGGGGAAACCGCCCACATGATTCAATTATCTCCCACCAGGTCCCTCCCATGACACGTGGGAATTATGGGAGCTACAGTTCAAGATGAGATTTGGGTCAGGATAGAGCCAAACCATATATCGCAGATAAACAAGTAAGTGTAGTGAAATAAAACTATGGCAGGATAAGAGAGAAGAATGAGACTTGTGGAGGTGACTCTATTAATTTAAATAAGGTTGTTTGGTGTGTTTTGAGAAACCCTAGTCCTGAGAGATCTATGAGAAATGGATTCTGGGGACAAATTAGTTTGAGAAACGTTACCCTATTAAGTTCTGCCATAAAGAAACTTATGTAATTGTGGATTAAAGCCAGTTAAACAAGTTATTAGACAAGAAAACCCCCGATCATCACTAGGATTTTGTGAGCTAAAGTTCCAAAGAGCACATTGCAGGAGAAGCTGGACCAGAGTATGAGGATCCAGTGGCCAGGTAGGACAGGGTAGGAGCCTTTGAATCATGATGAAAAGTTTGTGCCCCAGCCATGCCAGGATTAGATTTGGCTTTTAGAAAAGGTACTCTTGTGGCAATGTGGCAGCTATCTTGAGTGAAGAAAGTATAAATCAAGAAGCTTTCCAATAAAAAAGAGAATGATGAAGGCTTCAAAAATGGAGAGAAAAGGGTAGATTTTAATGACATTTGGAGGTAGAATTGACTTAGATAACTTTGTTTATAGATAATAAAGAGTCAGAAAAATTCTTGACATATAATGTTTTAAAGAAATGAAAGTACATCTTCAAGAGAGGGAAACTTGGCCCTGATCTGCCAGTCAGTGTAGGTCACAGCAAGTCAGCAGCAGGCTAAGCTGTGCTGAGTGTGTGAGAAATGGGAGCAAAGTCATATGTTCAAAAATGTGCAAGACTTGGCATCTCCACCACAGTTTTCTTTCACCTTTGAAATATGGGAAGGTTAGAAATGGAGTGGAAAAATATCAGCCCAGTCTAGTTTTGAAAGATTGAGTTTTTTTAGGAAGAAGCAAGCTTGTTATCATTTTTAAATAAGACAAAACATGACCTTGAATTAGATTAGCCACATATCTAATTGGTGAGTACAGCATACCTAGCTGTACAGCGCTCTGCTCACCAAAGCCAAAGATGGGCAGGTGGCTGAATTCTGCTGCCAGGTAATCATCTGAACCTCGCTGGCAGGCATTGAAGCAAAAGAGAGAGAGGAATTTGCAGCTGGCTGGAAATATTAAGAGTATTAGCAAGAGGGAGGAAGTGTGGCTCAAAGTTATAAAATGTTGTGTGTGTATAAAAAGAAGAGAGTTCTATTTTTGTATATGTATGTGTTATAAATAGACATACCTATAGCATTTCCCACCAGTGTTCTGTATCATCTATGTTCCATCACTGATTAAATCAGAAAAATATCACCTTATTTGCTTTTTGCTCCTCAACCGCAAAGAAGTCTTTGGTGAGGTGCTTTACTAGAATTGTCTTACAGAAAAAATATCAGTAATTCATCTTGAGGATGAAATAGTAGATGAAGTATAATTAATGCTTCTAGCAAACTTAGCAAATACAAATATGAACTTTTTGTGAAGATGAAAACTGCATTTTTTTTTTTTTTTTAAGACAGGGTCTCATTCTGTCACCCAGACTGGAGTGCAGTGGCATGGTCAGGACTCACTGCAGCCTTGACCTCCCCGACTCAAGAGAACCTCCCACCTCAGTCCCCCAAGTAGCTGGGACTACAGGCATGTGCCACCATGCCTGGCTAATTTTTTGTATTTTTATTAGAGACAGGGTTTCTCCGTGTTGCCTAGGCTGGTCTTTAACTCCTGAACTTAAGCAATCCACCTGCCCTGGCCTCCCAAAGTGCTGGGATTACAGGTGTGAGCCACCACACCCAGCCTATTTTTAAAAACTGTAATATTCTTACTGGTGGACTTTATTCAACTGATAGAGAATCGTTAAAAATAAAGAGAGGCCAGGCATGGTGGCTCACACCTCTAATCCTAGCACTTTTGGAGACCAAGGCTGGTGGGTTGCTTGAGGCCAGGAGTTTAAGAACAGTCTGGCCAACATGGCAAAACCCCATCTCTATTAAAAATTCAAAAATTAGCTGGGTGTTATGGTGCGCATCTGTAATCCTGGCTACTTGAGAGCTGAGGCAGGAGAATCACTTGAACCTGGGAGGTGGAGGTTGTAGTGAGCCGAGATTGTGCCACTGCCCTCCAGACTGGGTGACAGAGTGAGACTGTCTCAAAAAAAAAAAAAAGTTTAAAAATATATAGAGTTTAAAAATACGAATTACCAAAATATTGTAGTTTGATGTCACTACTACTCACTTTTTCTTTCTTTCTTTTGTTTTTTTCTGAGATGGAGTCTTGCTCTGTCACCCAGGCTGGAATGTAGGGTTGCAATCTTGGCTCACTGTAACCTCCACATCCCGGGTTCAAGCGATTCTCCTGCCTCAGCCTCCTGAGTAGCTGGGATTACAGACACGCACCACCACACCCAGCTAATTTTTGCATTTTTAGTAGACATGGGGTTTCCCCATGTTGGCCAGGCTGGTCTTGAACTCCTGACCTCATGATCCGCCTGCCTTGGACTCCCAAAGTGCTGGGATTACAGGCGTGAGCCACCGTGCCTGTCCACTACTCACTTTTTCTTAGCCTTTTGATTACTGATGAACTAGATTAGAACAGTAAGTGGATTGTTACACTTGACATTTTGTACTTTATCTGGAAATACTGGCATTAAAAACTAAGTCATACTGCCATCTGTATAATATTCTTAGATCTTTATATGAGTTTTTTCTTCAAATAAAAATTGTGTTTTTAAATGTCTTTGATATGATTGTTCAAAATGTTTGATATTTTTCTAAAACAGATTTAGGAAACTTCTGGCCCCAGCATCAGAATGGACCCTTGATTTGGTTTCCTCTGACCTTTGGAAAACTGTTCTTTGTTATTATTGCAATATGCAAGAGGACCTCATAAGGTGCTCTGGTTCTTTCAGAATGGAACATGAAAACTGGAGAGTTAGTGTCAGTGCTCATTGAAACATCTTTTGTGAGCTATGGGTTAGACTTTGATGCTTACAAGCCACATAAATGGCAAGCCATGGACTCATTTACTTATCCCATTTCTCTGGATTTCCACATTTTTCTTCCTATTCTTGTTTTTTGTCTCTTCATTATATTTCTTCCTCTTGATGGGTTTCCACCTCTATGTAGTATGTGTTTTCCTGACCTATTCTATTTCTGACCCTCACTCTGCGCAGTCCTGGCCTGCCATCTTGGGAAGCTATCTTTTTAGGAGCCAAGACCAGCTTGTGAGGATGGATGTCTGGGCTTTCAGAAGCTATGTTGCAGAAACAAACACAGGCAAAAAGTACTCTTGCCTAACAACATCTTCATTACTTTGTGGAGTATTTCAGTTTTTTCTTAATACGTTTTTTAAAATTTTTATTTTAGATTCAGGGGGGCACATGTGCAGGTTTATTATATGGGTATATTGCATGATGCTGAGGCTTGGGCTTCTAATGATCCCATTGCCCAAGTAGTGAACATAGTACCTGATAGGTAATTTTTCAAGTCTTGTCTCCTTCCCCCCAGTTTTAGAATCCCCAGTGTTTATTGTTGTCTTTTTTGTGACCATGTATAACCAATGTTTAGCTCCCACTTTAAGTGAGAACATGAGGTATTTGATTAATTTTTTCTGCATTAATTTGCTTAGGATAATGGCCTTCAGCTGCATCTGTGTTGCCATAAAGGACATGATTTTGTTCTTTTTTTGTGGCTGCATAGTACTCCATGGTGTATAAGTATCTTGTGGAAATTTGACCCTAAATTCTGTTTCACACAGTGTACCTTAGGCATCTGTTCTTGGATTTTGGTGTTCGCCAGGTTTGTAATTTTGATCCTATATCATAAGCTGAATTTTAGTGTCTTGGTCATACCTTAATGCTTCATTTCCTTCACCTGATTTTTAGTTTGTATTTCCTGCCTTGGAGTCATCCAACCCCCTCAGCAAGTTGTATTAGTATCAACATCAAAATAGAGTTACCTGCAGAATATCTTAATACAGTGCTTAGTGGTGATGTTCATATTGGAAAAATTTAACAAAACGAAGTGCAGAAGAAGTTTCAGGTTGCAGTCCATATACAAATTCTAGAACATCAGAATCACTTGGGAAGATTTTGACGTCAGCAAAGTATGCATCTAAGAAGTCCTAACTCTAAGAGACATGAGGTATCATACTCCTGTTTCTACATAGAAAATATCTGTTTGTTAATCATATTGTTTAGTGGCTACTACGTGATATTTTGGGTATTTTACATTTATTTTATATGATAGGTTTGTTTTTCATATTGGCATTTTCCCGAGTTTTAGAACTAGTTATTTAGGAAATCAGTTGGCAGGGGAAGGGGTTGAGTGGTAGCTCATGCATTATTTTAAGACATTGGAGGACAGGTTCCTCTTGAGTATTTTCATGCAGAACATCTGATTTTAGAAATATTTTATAGCCATTAAGTGGGAAATGCTCCTGTTTCCAAATCTGACCACTTACCATCGCCACTAATATTGCCACCCTGGTCCATGGATCTACCATCTATTCCCTGAATTCCTGTAATGAGCTCCCTGTTTCTACCTCTGTCCTTTCCAATCTGTTCCCAGCACAGCAGGCAAAAATGAACCCTCTGTAAATGTCAGTTCACTTTAGTCCTGCACATAGAATATTGTATTAGCTCCCCATTTTACTCAGAGAAAAAGTCAAACTTCATTCCTTGGTCCATCTTTTCTTTTCCTATATCTCTGTATTATAGATCATAATCTGAAATGAAACTATATATTCATTAGTTGGATTTTTTGGAGTAATGTTTTATGTTTTCTACCTTAATTTTAAAAGCATGTAAGTTATCTTCCTTTAAAAGAAAGATTATTAATTTGTATGTGATTTTTAAAATTCTTTCTGCGGTTAATGGCCCTCACCCTCAGGAGACAGATACTCCAATTTTAATATATTTCCTCATTTCTGAAGTGAAGATAAAAGTATCTACCAATAATACTTGTTTACCTCAAAAACCTCTATTGCCTTTTTTTCTCATCACACCTTTACTTATTTATAGAAACCTTCATCTATCTCAAATATGCTGGGACATGATTAAAGTTCTTTAAGCTATCCTGATCATAGTTGAATGACTTGTTTATAGATTTGCAGCAGATTTTAAATAAAAATTCATCCTAATAGAATAAAACAAAAATAAAAGTAAATTATTTTTGTTAAGGAAGAGCCCTCTCTGCGAGTGGGGTCTGGTCAGGGGAAGATTGTAGTGTGATTAATTTAAATTTAATTTTTTTATGGACCCTAAAAATTGAACCTAAAATTTGCAATACATCTGTTTTTCTCACATTCTGTGGCTTTTATGTCAGTTTTCTTTAGTAAGTTTTTTACACATGTGGATTACCCAACTAAAATTTTTATTAATATGATTTATTATTTCTTCATAGCATGTTTCCCAAACATATACATACTAGATTGTATGTATGTATGTATATCATGTTACATATTTACTTTTTATATGGTTGAGCTTTTTTATTTCTGTGAATCCATTTCTTCTTCAGGTAATTTATGGGATCATCTAAAGCTTAAATTTATGTTTGAAGTCTTCACTTCTCCAAAATTCTAATTCAGATATTAATATATTATTATAGATGTTTGTCAGTAATTATTTGCAAGTTTATCTCATCACAATTTGAAAATATGTATGAAGAGCATCAGACAACATGAACTCAGTGTTAGCGTTACT